>NW_025791793.1:0-344606 GCF_000001405.40 Homo sapiens
GAATTCATTCACTACTGTCAGATTGTGTTTGTCCATTCAAGTAATTCAGGGAACCTATATTGGGAATAAATATAAAAATAATTATTAACTTCTAAGAAATATGACAAAAATATGTATATGTATATATACATGTGTATATATACAAGTGTATATGTGTGTGTATATATATACAGAAGTATATATATGTGTATATATGTATATATGTGTATAAACATACATATACATAAACATAAATATGGAGAAAATTATATGTACATAATTATTTTATATGTATATATATAAAAACATAATTTCGTATCTCCAACTTTAGTATTTTTCCATAAATCTTGAAGGTTGAGCAAATGAAACTTTCTTTTCTGTAAATTGATAATATCATCACACACAGTATACAATTATTTAATTGTCCCTTAAGAATATTTTAACACAGTGCATTAAAATAATGGGATATAAGCTAAGATCAAAAAAGTAACTGAAAAAAACAGTGTAAACACCACCAAATATGTTTACTTTCAATGGGGGGAAATTTGTTCAGAAAGTGGTATTCATACCATGCCAACAATTTGTCTCACATACTTGTTAGCTGCAAAACAAATGCCATAACTTTAAAACATTCTAACTACCAGAATCACAACCCAAGATTTAACTTAGCATCAGTAATAATGAACCAACTTGATAAGACAAACTATGGGTTGCACAGAATCTTAAGTATTTGTAACAAAGGTTTTTATCCTGAATATAAACAATACTTTAGATATTACTTCCTGCTTGTGGGTAACACAAGCAATAGAGAAACATGGCAATGACAGTGGAAATAATGTCAAGATATTTAAAGAAATAAAGGCTTGATATTAAAGAGAAATTAAAGTCATTAAGAGAGACATTAACATTATTAATATGATTAACATTATGAAAACCTACTGAAGAAATCCTATGTGGATGCATAGACCCAGAAAGAGAGAGAGAGAAGGAAAGAAAGGATAAGAGAGAGAAAAAGAGAAAAACAGAATAAGAGAGAGAAAGAGAGGGAGAGATCACATTTTTTATTTGTTTTACCTGAATGGCCCAGGCAACAGATATTCATTATTCAGATTAAGTTAAATGTAGACCACTTAGAAAATTTGTAGAATCCATTTATTGTAATTATTATGTAAAAAATACACTTATTTTTATTTCTTCAATTATATATATATATATATATATCACTCCTTGTAATCAATACATTTGAGTTGACAATGTTGTATGACATAGATATTATTATTTATATAATACCTATCATAGATAGACATCACTTTTTGGTAGAGTAGGAAACTCTAAAACTGTATATCTCTATTAAAGCAACAAAATTAAGATAACAAAACTATCGGAATCTACATTTTTAAGATTATTAAAATCTAGATTTTGGTTGATATTGTTGTCATGTTTCAACTCATCTGCCTACCAAGCCCATTCCTCAGCACCGTGGCAGCCATGAAGATGGTGACCCACATCATGGTGTGGCTGCCTGGTGACCAAGGGAGCAAAATAAGCCTTGCTCTGCAGGAATTGTAGTTGTGTTTTAACCCATCCAGTGGTTCCATGAAGGATCCACTCAGAGATTGGAGCTGGAATAGTCTCCTGATAGGACTTTGTTGAAACTATTTAAAGGCAAATATCCTAACTGCAGTTGCATGGGGAAAGGAAATAACAGACAAGTCAAACAGCATATAGATCAAAAAGCCCAAAAAACAAGAGGCTAAGCAAGGAGATAAATGGGTGAATAAAAGCTTTGAAAAGCTTCAGAGAATTTTGAGAGCTAAACACGTCTAGGTCTACAAAATTGCTCAGAAAAAAATCTGATAAGACCCTAAGATTTCAACTCTGGCTGAACTTTAGGCTCCACTCATGTTTCAACTTCAAAAGCAGGAAGTGAAGGCTAAGGCAAGTTTTTAAATGGTTGGCTAAGAGTTTAAGGACTATCCCAAACAGAGTCAGTGTTAAAAAATATGAGAAATTTATTTTCTTTCTCTTTTTAAAAATTTTTGCTCTAGAAATTTAGTGATACCTCTGAAAAATCACTGGCAGGCAAATTGACAGAATATTCTTTACTAAACATGCATAACAAAGAATTTTCTTTAAGAAAAAAATTAGAAAAGTAAATTTAGGAAAAAATAATTTCTAAAAACAATTTAGAAAAAAAAATCAAAACTACGGTCCACAACAACAAGGCAAACCCTGTAGAGGAAATAATACATGGTTTCTGAAGAAACCTCATTAAAATACTCAAAAAGTTAAACTTTAAATGAAAAATAAATATGTAAGCCAAGACACAAGAAAATATGTTTTATTCAGAAAAGGATTAAAAAAAATGGATAGAAACTATCTTGAGGAAGCCCAGAAACTGGAGTTACTAGACAAGGACTTTAACTGACTTATCAGCATAAGCATAATGAGAGTTCTGGAAGGAAAGAAGGGAAAGAGAAAGAAAGAACACTTGGAGAAATCATGACAAAAAATTCACAAATTTGATGAAAGATATGAATATACACATCCAAAGAAGCTTAATAAACCCAACAGAGGATAGATTCAAAGGGACTGACAGTGCAACATATTTCAATCAAAGTGTTGAAAGCACTTTGAATCTTAATGGTAGCAAGAAAGAGGTGGCTTATCATGTAAAAGGTATTCTTAATAATATTAATAGGTAACTGTTCATAAGAAACTATGAAAGCCTGAAGGTAGAGTGCTGAGAAAAATAAATCTACTAACGATTGTATATCTGGCAAAACAATTCTTCAAAATTGAAGCTGAAATAAAGACACAAACAAAAGTTGAAGGAGTTTGTCACTAGCAAACATGCCCTGCAATCAACAATATAAAAAGTGTTTTAGGATGAAATAAAAGGACAAACCAGACACCAACTAGAAGCCATACAGAGAAATTAAAAAAAAAAAAAAACAGTAAAAGTAACTAAACAGATGAATAAACAGGTGGTATAAAATCTAGTGTTACTGTTTTGGGAGTTCCTAACTCCTCATTATTTTGCCCTTTTATATGATTTAAATATAAATTCATAAGATAATAATTACAAATTTTTATTAATTTGTGCACAATTTATAAACATGCAATGTGTGAAATAGATAATTTGATAGTAGAGCTGCCTAAAAATTTTTAGGTACTATTGATCTTCAGTAGGCATTATTCAAATTAGGTTATTATAAATTTAGGAGTTCAAAAATTCAGAAGATAATATGAGAACAGAATCAAATAGTACAGTTTTGTGAGGTTGTATGTTTCCAGGGGGTTCATTGCACAGTAGGGTGACTACAGTTAACAGTAAGATTTCACAAGGTATTTCAAAAGAAAGCATTGTTATCACAGAAGATGACAGCTCCATGTATGTTATTGCCCCTCCAGATGTTCTAGTGGGAAAAGACATGGTTGAAGACAGTGATATTGATGATCCTGACCTTGTGTGGGTCTAGGCTAATGTGTGTGTGTGTCTTCATTTTTGCATGAAAAGTAAAAAAAAAAAAAAATCAAACAGGTTAAAAATAGGAAAAAAAGCATATAGACCCAGGATATTAAAAAAATTTTGTACAGCTATACAATGTGTGTTTAAAGCTAAGTTATTACAGAAGAGTCAAGAAGTTTAAAACATTTAAAAGGTTATAAAGTTAAAAACTTACAGTAAGCTAAGGTAATTATTAAGGAAATAAAAATAATTTTTATAAATTTAGTGTGGTCTAAGTATATAGTGTTTATAAAGTTTGCACTATTCTACAGTAATGTACTAGGCCCTCACATTCACTCACCTCTCACTCACTGACTCACCCAGAGCCACTTCCACTCCTGCAAGCTCCATTTTTTAGTACGTGTACTGTACAGATATACTATTTTTAATATTTTATACCATATGATTACTGTACCTTTTCTCTGTTTAGATACGTTGAGATACAGAAATAATTACCATTGTGTTACAGTTGCCTACAGAATTCAGTACAGTTACATGGTGTACAGGTTTGTAGGAGCAAGAGGCTATACCACATAGCCTGTGTGTATTGTAGGCTATACAACCTGGGTTTATGTGAGTACAGTGTATGATATTTTGCAAAAAACAAATCATATAATGACACATTTCTCAGAATATATTACTATCATTAAGCCACCCATGACTGTATTTCAATTTCTAACCTGGCACCTTTATTCCTATGACTCTGTCTTAGAGCAGAGGTTTTCTCCAGGTGCCTATGCCGAGAGACCCTCTATGAGAAGAGGAAGGGGAAATTTTAAGGATAATTTTCTCCGCTATTCATTATTTTCCAGACCTCATCGTCACTCTTTTAATTTCCCCTCCCTGTATACACACACCTCAATGTCCATAAAACTGCCAGTGCCTATTTTTCTGGGACTCCCTCAGAAGTGAGACAATCTCCATGTCTTTACTGATCCACTGGATGCTAGACCAATGTGCCAATTCCATGAAAGAAAAGAAACAGGAGGAGTTGGTGCTTTCTCAGGTCTTAAAATCTTGCTTATGTCATTGCAGTAACTGATTAACTCTTTCATTTATGGCTTATTGCCTTAATTAGCTGCACCAACATCTAGCAGTACAGTTCTCTTTCTCCAAACTCAGCTGAGTTCCTGACAGTTTTCTTAGTTAGGACACCAGAAGCACAAGCAACAAAAGTAGAAAACATTGATAAATTGGACTTTATCAAAATTGTAAAAAGAAACAAGATTGTGTATATCAAAGGGCATTATCAAAGAATAAAAAATACAACCTCTATAACTTTAAAAAATTATAATCATATATCTAGTAAGAGTATAGTATCTAGAATGGATTCTTACAATTCAACAACAAAAGATAAGCAAGTCAATTCAAAAATGCACAAAGGGAAAATATTCTGTATTCATGAACTGGAAGAATCAATATTGTTAAAGTGTTAATACTACCCAAAGTGATCTACAGAGTTAATATGATTTTTATCAAAATTGTAGTGTCACTTTTTATAGAAATAACCAAAAAATCCCAAAATTTATATGGAACTACATATAAAAAATCCTGGATAGCTCAGGCAATGTTGAGCAAAAGAATAAAGCTGAGAGCAACACACTGCTAAATTCTGAACTGTATTACAAAGCTTTGGTGATGAAAACAGCATGGTACTAACAAATAGACCAAATCAACCAATGGAACAGAGATTCTAGAGTTGAGTACCCAGTGGAAAAAAACAGTCTCTTCAACAAAGTGTGTTAGGAAAACTTAACATTCATAAGCAGAAGAATAAAATTGGACCCTTGTTTCACACTATATGCAAAATCCAGCTCAAAATGGATTAAAACTTAACTGTAAGACCCGAAACTATAAGAATCCTAGAAGAAAACATAGGGGAAATCTCTATGATATTGCTTTGTGCAGTGATTGCTTGGATAAGACCCTGGAAGCTCAGGCAATAAAAGCAAAAATATACAAGTGGGAATGCATGAAAATAAAAAGCTTCTGTATGTGAAAGGAAACAATTACCAGAGTCAAGAGACAAGCTACAGATGAAGAGAGAATATTTGCATCCATGCATCTGATAATGGGTTAATATCTAAAATAGATAAGAAACTCAAACTCAATAGCTATATATATATGTAGGCAAAGGATCTGAACAGGCATTTCTCAAAAAAAGAAAAAAGAGTTACAAATGATCTGGAGGTATTTGAAAAAAGAATGTTCTAAATCATTAATCATTATGGAAATGCAAGTTAAAAATGAGATATCAGTCCACACCTGTCAGACTATTGTAAAAATGATGAAAGATAATAAGTGTTGGCAAAGATGTGGAGAAAAGAAAACCCTGTCACACTGTTGGTGGAAATGTACATTTGTACAGCCATTATAAAAAAACTGTAGGAAGGTTCCTCAAAAATAAATATAGAAGAGATAGAATTACCATATGACCTGGCAATCCCACTTCTGGATATATAGCCAAAGGATTTAAAATCTGGGTATATATCCAAAGGATTTGAAATCTCATGTTTATTGCAGCACAATTCACAATAGCCAAGATATGGAAACAAACTGTTTCCATCGACAGGTGAAAGGATAAAGAGAATGTGGTATGTATAAACAATGGGATCCTATGCAACCTTTAAAAAGAAGGAAATTCTGTCATTTCCAACAACATGAATGAATCTGGAGGATGTTATGCTAAGTAAATAAGCTAGACAAAGGAAGACAAAAACTGTTTGGTGTATTTATATATGGAATCTAAAACAATAGAACTCAGAAGCGGAGAGTAGAATGGCAGTTACCCACCTGGGGAAGGAAAAAATGGGGAGATATTGGTGAAAGTGTACAAAGTTTCAATTAGAGAGGAGAAGTAAGTTTTGCTGAGATCTGGTGAATAGCATGGTGACTGTTGATAATACTGCATTGCATATTTCAAAATTGCTAAAACACTACATTTCAAATATTCTCACCACGCAAAATAAAAAACATTTGAAGTGATGGGTATGTTAATTAGCTTGATTTAATTATTCAGCATTGGATACATAAATAATAATAAACTAACTTTGTACCCAATGTATATATACAACTTTAATATGTCAATTTATAATAAAATATATGAAACTGGGCAAAGAAATTGAACAGACATTTCTCATTGAAGATCTGAAGATATACAAATGGCCACCAAGCACATGAAAAGATGTTCAATACCATTTCTCATTAAGGAAATACAATCAAAACCGTAAGGAGATACTCCTTGGTAACCACTAGGATGGCTGTAATAAAAAATAAATAAAAAGGAAAATTAAAAATACTGGCAAGAATGTGGAGAGATTTGTACTTTCATACATTGCCTTTGGGAATGTAAAATGACACACCTATTAAGAAAAGAGTTTGACAATCACTCATTAAGTTACACATAGAATTATCATTATGAAACATATGTAAGTTCACAGCAGCATTCACAATAGCCAAAGACTGAAATAACCCAACTGTCCGTCTACTGATAAATAAACAATTGTAGTATATCCATTCAATGGAGTATTAATCAGTCATAAAAAGAATGAAGTATTGATACATTCTAAATATAGATAAGCCTTGAAACCATTATGATAAATAAAAACTGTCAGGAGTATTGTATAATTAAATTTACATAAAATTTCCAGAATATTAAAGCTCATCCACATAGGTAAAAAGCAGATTGTTTCCAGGGCTAGAAGGTAGGGCAGAAGGTATAGCAATTGCTTAATGGGTACAAGAGTTTCCTTTCAGAGTAACAAAAATATTTTTTAACTAGATAGTGGTAATGGTTATACAATATTTTGAATGCATTAAATGGCACTAACTTGTAAACTTTTAAATGTTGAATTTATATTATGTAAATTTATGTGACATTTATTTTACTCCAATAAAAAATGATTTCACATTAGGACTATTTTGCTTTCATTTACCTTTATGTTACTCATCTTGATAACAAACATGTTATTATTTAATTATAACTAACTTTTGATACATGCTGTTTTATGTAAATTGGATTTCAATTTATAAAAGATAATTGAGTAATGTTTATTGTGACTACATACTACTGTTCACTACTTCCTTGAGTAACGCATTTTTGAACAGCGAATTCATGTTTTTCATTTAATAAAAGAAAATTGCTTGGCCATTGTGAAATTACAGCAGCATCAGCATTCTTTGAATCGCACTTACCCTGCAAATAAAAACATATATTTCTATGGGAACTTTACAATAGTAATAAGCAATCTACAATTATTTCACATTAATGATGACTTATAAAACAATGGTTTTTTAAATATAATTTCCTACCCACTATAGACTAACATTCTTGGCTTATTCAGGAAAACTGAATTAATTTTCTGGAGACAATGCTTTTTATGTATATACTAATGGATATGAAAAGTAGTAGTATGACCCATGTTTGGCTGCATAAGTGAGAGGTTGCAAATATGTTCTTTTCTACATCTATGCTAGTAAATACTAGTTTCCCTATGTATGAGAAAACATATGAGCTATTTCTTTAACTTATCTTTAGAGTTCCCTGTAAAGCACTAAACTCGTTTTACTTGATTTTATTTACATTTTCATGAGTTTATGTGACTATTGAAAATGACCTAGTTCTGGACATTTAAACATTTTTTTTCAAGAAAATTTCATTTTGTTAGACTCTCTAAACATATAAAAAATCACACTTGGACATATCTTAGCCTTGGACCTTCACTATGAAACTAGACCAGGTATAGAGATTAGAGAAGCTAGCTCATTCCCTGGCCCTGCCACTGTCCCCACTCCACAAATAACGACCTTCAACACTAAAATAGTTAACAATAAATGTATTACGCAATGACAGACCAAGAAAATATGCATTTGTATACATTTGTTTAAACATCAAAGTGAATTTTGAGTGGGAAAAAATAGTTTTAGAAATAGCCAATAAATAAATAAGGAATGGAAAAGACACCTTAATTTTAAGGAAAATATATATTGCTGCTTTGTAATTTTTAAAGGACTATTCTTTGCTTGTACCTGTATTTGTGCAGGTTTTAATTTTAGTTCTTATCTCCACTAGATGTGCATTTGATCATGCAAGGGACAATTTTATGGCATTTCAAAGACTCTTCTAACCCTTATAGGTACAGGGGATGATCTGTTCTCTTGCAAATCGGATATTATAATGTGATGGAGGCACTACGTAGTAAAATAGATGCTTTAGTATTTTGCTTCGGTCTTATCTCCAACTAAAAGTAATGTTTTGCAAATGACATTGACTCCTTCAATAATACTGGTAAATTTGGGAAACACATGAACAATGCATGATGCCTCTGAAAGAGAAAATGCAAAAATCATAAAAATACTGACATAATTTCTTTAATTAAGAGGTAACTGGAAATCATCATGCAAATCTGTTACTTGAGGTTAAAGTTCTGAAACAAATCCAATTAACTACAAATCACAAGATCATATTTGACATCTTGGTTGGAAATCATCATAAAAATCTTAGGAACCAAAGTGGGAGCTTGCTAACAACACTAACTTCTTTTTCAGAACTTGAGTTCTTGCTTTTTGTTTTTACTATTCAAAGAAATATCAGCTAACTACAGAGAAGTCATTATCTAGCTTTCACCAAAGATTATACTGAAGATGGCTGCAACATTGCACTAGCTCAGAAACTTCACTTAGAAGCAGATTGTTAAGGCTGTGGCTAAATCACCTAGATCAGTTGTTAGAAATTAAAGATAAAGGAATACAGGACCATGAAGAGTAACTGGAACTCTGAGGTGTAGTCACAGAAACAGGTGTAGTCTACTAAACTCTAATAAGGAATCTTTCTGTGCTTTCCATGTGTCCCTAAAGTAACCCAGTAAGAAAAATTTATGGGTTTCTTTCCTCCTTTGAGACTCTCCCTGAGGAGATGGAACACAATTTGTTAATTATGGCTAAAGCATTTGGAAGCTTCAAACAAAGCCAATGGGATATCTGCTAATAATAGAATATGCTTATATTTCCAAACAAGTAGAGTTATGTTAGTTACCTTTCCACCACTATTCTTGGTTATATTTTCTCTACTGCAACACAGAGATCTGGAATCAAAACTTCTATCTGTAGGACATAACTTTTTTTCTTGTAACTCTTAATATCTCTTTCCCAATATAGTGGATTTTTATGGCTTTGTAGCTAAGGATACAATAAAGTGCTTAAACACTGCCGATTGCATTATTTCAAAAATTTACATGAGAAAGTAATAAGTGTGTAGCTGTTTTTTCTGTACTTTGTGGTGTTTTAGATTTATTATTGAAGTAGAAAATACATATAAGCACATAAGCAAATGTACAAATCATAAATAAATTTTTACAAACTTAATTTCTAACTCAAGTTTTACAAACTTAACCTAAGTAACCAGAATCCAGATTAAACAGAAACAACAATAACAACAAAATAAAACATTGTCAGGACCCCATAAGAATCCTTCATTCTCTTTTCCTCCATGAACTTCCCCCAACACACTCAAAGAATGAACAGCTAGTATTCTGACTTCTAACAACATAACGTACAGCTATTTTTGTTACATTATATGAATAAAATCCTATGCATGTTATGTTTCCATTCCTGGGTTCTTTCATTCAATATATTGTGACGAGTAGTTCTACATTGCTCATTCTCATTTCTGTGCACAATTGAACATTTTATATATATATATATATATACACCACAAATTAGTTATTCATTATTCTAGAGGTTTTATGAATAGTGATGATATGAACATTCTATTGCATGTTTCAATTAACATAAACATGTATTTCCATTTGGGTATATTTCTTAGACTGGAATTGCTATGTCATAATATACACATGTTCAGCATTAGTAAATACTTCCAAATGAGTTTACAGAGTAGTTATAGCAACGTGCACTCCAATGAGAAAGACATAATAGTCATGATTGTTCACTATCCTTGTCGAGACTTAGCCATTCTCTATGGTGTGGGTATCATTGTCGTTTCGAGTTTCATTATCCTAATCATGAATTCATTGAGAAGCTTTTCATATGTGCAATGGTCATTTACATATTTTCTTTTGAAAAGTGTTCATGTCTTTTCTCCACTTTTACATTGATTTTCATATCAATTATGTATTGATTTGTAAGAATTATTTTCACATTTTGCATGAGTCCTCTGTCAGATACACATGTATATTATTTGATAAAGCATGTGTAATAAAATGTTCTCTCCTATTATAAGGATTGCCCTTTTGACACTGTTAATTTTGATGAAAAGGACTTCTTAAAATTGATTAATCTTTAATTTTATATGATTATTGCTTTGTTTATTCTGTTTAAAATTTTGTACATACTCCAATATCACAAAGATGTCCCTCATGCTTTCTTCTAAAAGCTTTATTATTTGTATTTTATATTTAGATCTTTAAACCATTTGAAATTCATTTTAAATAAGGAATGAGGTAGATGCTCAGATTTTTTAATTCAAAATAGATATATAAATTGTCTAATGCCATTTATCAAAAAGATCATTCTTTCTTTTTTAGAAAACACTGATGCCTCTATCATGTCAGTTGATACTATATGTGTGAATAAGTTGATAGCATAGGTTTCCATAAGGCAGCCTGAAAACAAGGATGCCTCTTGGGATATTAAATACTTTTTGTCTTTTCTGTTATGTTTTTTTGTATAAATACAAGTGTCTTTCTGGGTTGAGTACTCTGGTTTCTACGGTATTTACATTCTGTCTCTGAGGCATGTCTTTACAGGTGAATTTATTTTGGGTTCTCTCTACACGTCTAATTTAACATTTTGTTTGATCTGCACATATGGGCTAAAAATTTTGACAACACCCTTATCTTGGTTTCTTTTGAATTTATTATTTTATATATGTAAATGATTTGACTTATTTGTTTTGCTTGTTCCTGAAAGTTTTCTGAGAGTAAAAATATACAGCCTAAATGCTGGACACGAGATGGCTCATTAAAAGTCACTAAGGCAACACCACCAACTAAAACACTGATCTAAACTCCTGACATTTTCTTTATTAAATTATTATTATTATTATAATTTAAGTTCTAGGGTACACTTGCACAACATGCAGGTTTGTTACATATGTATACATGTGCCATGTTCATGTGCTGCGCCCATTAACTCGTCATTTACATTAGGTATATCTCCTAATGCTATCCCTGCCCTCTCCCCCAACCCCACAAATGGCCCCACTGTGTGATGTTCCCCTTCCTGTGTCCAGGTGTTCTCATTGTTCAGTTCCCACCTATGAGTGAGAACATGCAGTGTTTGGTTTTCTCTCCTTGCGACGGTTTGCTCAGAATGATGGTTTCCAGCTTCATCCATGTCCCTATAAAGGACATGAACTCATCCTTTTTTATGGCTGCATAGAATTCCAAGGTGTATACGTGCCAAATTTTCTTCCTCCAGTCTATCACTGATGGACATTTGGGCTGGTTCCAAGTCTTTGCTATTGTTAATAGTGCCGCAATAAACATACGTCTGCATGTGTCTGTATAGCAGCATGATTTATAATCCTTTCGGTATATACAGGATGGCTAGGTCAAATGGTATTTCTAGTTCTAGATCCTTGAGGGATCGCCACACTGTCTTCCACAATGGTTGAACTAGTTTACAGTCCCACCAACAGCATAAAAGTGTTCCTATTTGTCCACATCCTCTCCAGCACCTGTTGTTTCCTGACTTTTTAATGATCGCCATTCTAACTGGCATGAGATGGTATCTCATTGTGGTTTTGATTTGCATTTCTCTGATGATCAGTGATGATGAGCATTTTTTCATGCATCTGTTGGCTGCATAAACGTCTTCTTTTGAGAAGTGTCTGTTCATATCCTTCGCCCACTTTTTGATGGGGTTGTTTGATTTTTTTCTTCTAAATTTGTTTAAGTTCTTTGTAGATTCTGGATATTAGCCCTTTGTCAGATGAGTAGATTGTAAAAATTTTCTCCCATTCTGTAGGTTGCCAGTTCACTCTGATGGTAGTTTCTTTTGCTGTGCGGAAGCTCTTTAGTTTAATTAGATCCCATTTGTCTATTTTGGCTTTCGTTGTCATTGCTTTTGGTATTTTAGTCATGAAGTCCTTGCCCATGCCTATGTCCTGAAAACTCCTGACATTTTCTAACAGGATTTATAAGCTTCTCTTTTCTCTCAAGAGATTAATAAAAAAAAAAGTTATTTTCAAATATTGAGGCATGCCAGGTTTTCTAGGATTACAGCCAGCAATATAATATGGTCCATTCTTATATACATTGTTTAATTGATGGGAAAATTACATTGAGAAAAATTAAAAGTTCAAATGGTCATTAGTCAAACCCTTTTAAAAAAATAAAGCCCTGAAACTATAGAATTAACATGTAAATTTGTCAAGGTTTCCTATTTCTCTATTTTTCTTTTCTGCCTATTTTAAATCTGCTGACTTTTGTATTAGTGTTAAGCCAAAACTCAATTATTATGGCATTCCAGCCAAGACTATTTTTAAAAAAATAGATTTTAAAGAATTTTCAAATTAATGGCTTTACAAGCTACAACAGCTTCATGGTAACTTGGAAATATAAATGTAACTGTGTTTGACTAACAATTAGGGTAGTAGAATAGTTAGTTAAAGGATTAATAGTGTAAAAGAAAAAACTAAATAAAAGTTTATAAAAGTTTGGCTAACAGATCAAACAGGTCAAACTGTTAAGATCAGGGAAATAATATAAGATGTCTTTGTTAAATAAGATAAAAGTTCACATTGTCTGCAATCAGGGGCCAAAAGGAAAAAGAAAAAAAAAAAAGGAAAAAAATCCAGACTTACTAAAATGGTTTCCCGCTAATATTTGTCTGGTCAAGAAACACAAGACAGATTCAAGGCTACTCTTAAATTTGTTTTTCTTATACAACTCAGCCAGTCCTAGCAAAAATGTAAGTTTTAAATATTTAATCCTAAATTTACTTAAAATTAAAAAGAAAGAGAAAAAAGGAAAAAATAGTGTAAAAAAATTCCAATTGCTATGGAAAGTGCTGCTTTATACAAAATTTTGGTCGACAGCCTTCATTAGATTGCCTATCAGGCAAATAAAATTTAGTTATGTGAGGAGGTGCCAATTTTATAAAAAATATAATTTGAATCCAACTGTTTTTTTATAAACCAGTGAGTTTCTATAGTTTACTGTCTCATGACCAAATACTAAAATAAAGACTATAAAATCACTGTGTGTATATATGTGTTTAGGTACACTTATTGATATGTAAATATATTGTTGTATGTTGTACCTATATGGTAAAACCTAGTGCAGTTGGCCAGACATTCATTATGAAATTTTATTTAAATTGGCTTAAATAAATGAGCACTCATATAAAATTATATGATATAGTAATTAACCAAATGCCTTTTAGTTCATGTGACATAGGTATATCTTTAATAAATTAGCTGATTTTAAAATTATTGGTAAAGTAAGAAAAAAAATCTTCAGGATTGGAAACATACATTTCTGCCTGAATTTACTGGTCAGACACTTTTATACTTGTCTGGGCTAGATGGTTTAAAGTGTCAAGATTTGACACACAGGTTGTAAAACTATAAACCTAGCCTAAACCAGAATAATCTTTCTGTAACTCTTTGATACATAAGGGTAATTTTATATTGTCAGTTTAATGAAAACCACTGTATTTTTTGAATTATTGATAAAATACTCATATAATTAAAGTTCTTAAGTGAACACCTGAGAGTCACAGGCTATAATAATAATTGATAGGAAAATAATTTAAAAATATTCTAGTTTTGTTTAATATGTCAATTCTCATAGATAACACAGGTAAACTGTTAAAGTTAAATAAAATTTAAGTAAATGAGATAAATGCTTATAAATAAACTTTTCATGTAATTTAAAATTGTAAAGTTATGTTATGTTAAATTAAGTAATAAATATTCACTAAATAACTGGGTCATTTGCAAATTTTAGAAAATCAAACTGATTGTTAAACAAAATACTTTTATTCATGGTTTCTTAAATTATATAGAAATAGTAAATATACTAGAGTCTATCAGTACATACAAAAATTATGCTATAGGAAAACATGTTTCAAAATATATAAAATGGCTTCCATTCCATAAAATACTGATAAATGACAGATGGTTTAACACTGCTTGGTAGAAATTAGGTTGCTAAGAGTTAAAATTCCAATTAATATGTATATAATTCTGGGACAGAAACAGTGACTCACGCCTGTAATCCCAACACTTTGGGAGGCCACCTCCTGAGGTCAGGAATTAAAGGCCAGCCTAGCCAACATGGAAAAACCCCGTCTTTACTAAAAATACAAAAATTAGCTGGGCGTGGTGGCACATGCCTGTGATCCCAGCTACTCAGGAGGCTGAGACAGGAGAATCACTTGAACCTGGTAGGCAGAGGCTGCTACGAGCCGAGATCGCATCTCCGCGCTCCAGTCTGGGCAACAGAGCGAGACTCTGTCTCAAAAAATAAAAATAAAAATAAATAAAACAACAACAGTCAAAATCAATATAATTCTGTATAGAAAATGTATTAAAAACAAGATTTTTTGACAAAAAACTATTTACAAACCTAAAATATGTTCTTTTAAAAATAATATTGCATAATTCAGAGGTTTTTTAAAGATTATTTCAACAAATAGATTTAGGAAGAAAATTAAAACAAGACAAAAACTAGTAAATAGTTGAGAGAGATGTGACAAAAGTTATGGGTAAGAAAATGTATTTTTGGCAAAGAAGGTTAAAAAATTTTGTAGAAAAAAAATCTCGTGTGATAATTTTTGTACTAAAGTAAAATGCTTATTTTAAAAGGAGCAAGCACAGGACAAAATTAAAATTCCAAACATGTCAACAATGGTCTGAATAAATCATGAAAATAATTTTAAAGAGGAATTTATAAAATAAATTTTGTTTGTAATCAAGTTCTCTATAACTAAATGTATAAATATATTTATAAGTTATTCAGTATTAAATAAACTAATATAAAACTAAATCTTTGTCCCTTATGGTAAAACAATATGGTTTTATTGAAATGTTGGTTTGCTTTTAATAAAATTGCAAAAAGTTTTGATTTTTAATTTTGAAATCTGTTTCTGTAACAGTCATTTTCTAAACTGCAAACACTATCTATTTCTGCCAAATTTCTTTCTGAGATCCAATTAATTTTCCTAATTTCTGGTTGGAAATGCTGTATTTTTTTATTTAAAATGAGAATGTTACTTCTATAGGTAGATTTCTCCTCTTAAAGTATTTTAGATTCATATTTTGAAGTTCAATTTTTGCTATATCTCACTGCACGTGATTTTCAGGTTATTATTGCCTTCAGTTTTCCTTCTTTCTCCTTTTGAGAAGGTAATTTGTTCAGTTGTCTGTCTTTTCCACATCTGCATTCTGACCAGAAGGTAATTTGAGGTTTTTCTGCAGGACATGATCATCTGCAGGCTTTGCGGTTTTATAGTAGTTCTTCTTGGGCTCCATAATCTCAAAGCCAAACTTCCTGTAGAAGTCAATTGCCGACTCACCGCTGATCTGGACATGCAGATAGATGTCAAAAGTGCCATCTTTTTCACATGTTTAAGACATGAATTAACATTGTAGTTCCTATTCCTAGCCTTTGGTAAGGTGCCAGATATCCAAGTGTCATGATGTAAAGTCTTTTCTGATTCTGTGAATGAGCCACCCTAGAGTACACTGCACCTACAGGAACATCACTGAAATAGGCAAGTTTTGATCGTTCACCACCTCCATCACATCCTTGTAGAACTTACCATTGTAGCTGACTGAAAAGATAACCCGATTCCTTCTCTTCAACTGTTTAATATTGTGTGGTGTCCCATCTCCCAGCTCCATCCAGCTACCTTTCATCCTCCCCACCTGCTGAGGCTTTTGTTATCACCAATAGCAACTCAGTCATAGTTGCTGCCCTCAGCTCAAGACACTCAACCACACAAGATGGCCTCCTCACCCGGGCAGGGAGCTGAGCAGGTGACAGAGGCAGTGCGTCCCTAAGTCTCCTGAGGGGGGTGAGAGTGTCTCGCACCACTGCGCTGGTGCCACTGCTTCTCCACACATGCAAATGGGGCTCTTGGCTCTAAAATGAAGATTTTCTGATCTATAATTAACTTTGAAATTTTCCACTTGGGCCCATATGTCAAGAACATATGTCTTGCTAAATGATTAGTTTTATTTAGTAAAGTATAAGGGGGAAACATTGTCAAATACTAAGTGATGTTAAATCTTCTTTCAGTTACATTCAGGGGCATGTTATCTATACTTGTTTTAAAATCTACATAAACTTATGAAAATCTAATATGTTAGCAGTCATAATTTTGGTTGATAAGCTTAATCTTCTTTAAAGTTATATTTATATGGATGTATTATTGATGTGAGCATTTTATGATTTTCAGTTGTGTCACTTTTTTTTTTTTTTTTTTTTTTGAGACGGAGTCTCACTCTGTCTCCCAGGCTGGAGTGCAGTGGCACCATCTGGGCTCACTGCAAGCTCCACCTCCCGGGTTCACGCAGTTCTCCTGCCTCAGCCTCCCGATTACCCGGGACTACAGGCACCCGCCACCACGCCTGGCTAATTTTTTGTATTTTTGGTAGAGACGGGGTTTTACTGTGTTAGCCAGGATGGTCTTGATCTCCTGACCTCGTGATCCACCTGCCTTGGCCTTCCAAAGTGCTGGGATTACAGGCGTGAGCCACCGCGCCCGGCCAGTTGTGTCACATTTATAAAAGTCTGATAGCCCTGATGTGATTCAGCCAGTCATAATTCTGATTGATATTTTAAAATGTAATAGGTAATAATAAATAAATTTCCTTGTCAATTGAAAACTTTCATCAGATTTTTATCCATGACTATTCTAACTTTTTGTCATTCACAATTATTGCTTTAAATTCTTCTCTAAAAGTATTTACAATTAACTATAATCCAAAATTGCCTTTCATGGAAAAGACTTTAACAAGTATTCTTGAGTAGATTTATGACAACCTTAAAGGCAATGAAATAAATAAAAATGTCTAGAACTCTGATTTAAAAAACTTATAGGTTCATAAAACTTATGGGTTCATAAAACTGCTAATCAAGATCAAGCAATATAAAAATAACTGATGAAAATAGTTTTTATTATTTTATTTAAAACGTTGTTTAAAACATTGATTCTTTACTTAAATGGTTTGTTTTCAAGATTTAAGAAAAATTTCTCTCATAAGCTATAATTTACACAAATTTGGTAAAGGATAATTTTGTGAAAAAATTGAAAGCATTTGATTTCTCTCCCAATTTAATTCCTTGAAAATTCAAAAACTATTCATAAGTATTCTTACTTTTAATGACAATCTATATAATAACATAATTTCAATAAAAATCTGATTTATCTTTACAGGAGGACACAATTAGAAATATTGGTCATATTACCATGGATTTGACTGAAAATATGTCATATTTGAAAATTTGCATAAAATACCAGATTTCAACAGCTCCCTGCCTTACAGGGAATTAAGTAAAAATTATCACTTCTTGACAGGCCTAGGAACCTTAAGATTGTAAGTATGTAAACAAAATCCAAGGTCTGCCTTGGTTTGGCTTTCTAGCTTAAGAAGTTTTTAAATCTGAGATTTTTAGGTGATCAAGGCAGAGAAAAAGTCATGTTTCTAAAGCAAAGGTATAATATATCCATTATTCGGTTATAGCACTTTGCATTGTTTTTAAGTTCTTGTTATTTACCTGTAGACTACACTAAATTTTCAAGTCTTCTAGATTCTCCCAATACAACTTTCTTCTATAGAATTACTGAAAACAAAAACTTTTTTGTTCCAAAAGCCCTATAAGCTGAAACTAGATAAATTTTAAGGAACAAGCCTCCTGCCTCATATACGGGCCACAGAAAATGTTTACCAAACCACCTGATATTGTAATCAGTTATAGTCAAACTACAAACCATGACAAAAAGTTGATGTCTTAATGCCGTAGGCAGCTTTTCCCACAATGTCAGAATAAAACTCTATAATGGGGCTCACTATTCTCAGGCCTACCTTTTTCATTTGGCAGCATAAATGGCATTTGATTTATTCAATTGGTTGTCTTTAAGCCTAGGATCAAAACTATTATACAAATTGGGACTTTCATACTACTGTTAATTTTACTTTGTGTTTTCCACTTTTAAACTTTGTGTGCTACTCGTTGAATTTTTTCCAGAAATACAATTTCTAACAAAACAATGCTTACTCAGCACTTTCAGATGATGGCAAAAAGATTATGAAACAGACAGAACTGAACTTAATAATGAATTCCAGGTAGACTTAGCCTGTGAGTCTCTTCCTTCAAAACTCTCATGTTGCTCAAATATGGCTAATGGGGTTTTGTCATTAACTCACAGTCAGTAAGCACTCTCTCCAATGTGAGATGGGATCAGGAATGCAGAACAAGTCTATTTTTATTTTGGCACCAAGAAACATCAAAACTTAATGACAGTATGACTTACTAGTGGTGCTTTTGGAAGAATATTTTGATCAAAAGGGGGAAATGTGAAAGCTGTCAGAATCAAAATGGAGTTACTTCTGTTTAAAAAATTAAAAAACAACAAACACACATACACACAAACTGACGAAGCCTTAGAAGGCATGGAGAGAAGGTTCTCAGGCTTGTATGCCTGATAGCAAAAGTATCACAAATGACGGCAAAAATCACAACCTTGCACAAAGGCCATCACAACTTTAAAAATATATATACTTCTCCAAGGACATCTCTCCAGCAACTGCCTGTCCAACCTCAGACTAGTATCACTCTTATTACTGATTTTTGAAGCCAAAGGTAATATTCCTCATTTTTTTCTCTATAAAACCCTTTGTCTTCCTTTTTCTCTCTGAATATGCACATAATTTACTATGGCACTTGCCTTCTCATTGCAATGCTGTAATCCTGAATAAATATTATTCTCTTTTAGAGAGCCTCTCTCTGTTATTTAGGTTGACATGCCCCCTGGGGTGATTAACATATAGACCAGAGCTGACAATTTAATTGTTCTATCTTGCTTCTTTGAAAACTTATCTGCTTGGTTGATTGAGTTAATTCATCACATATGAATAAAAGTGTCACAAGTGGTATATGAGTGTGTATGTTTATATGTGTATATACTTTTGCAACATTAAAACCAACTGATTTTTATTTTTTATTCAAAGAAGGCCATGTGTATACTTTGTTTACATAAATTTTATAGTAAATAATGTAGAAAGGATATATAGCATGTCAACTTTTGTAAGACTATACCATTGAGCACTAATGAATAAGACAGGTACAGGAATCTATCTGAACATGTCACATTCCATGGAAAAGGGAATTTGCTGATGTGATTAAGAATCATGAGATGAGGAGGATTTTATGGATTATCTGTGTGAGTCCAAGACAATCACAGGGGAGAGAGGGAAGAAGAGGGTGAAAGGCAGAGGGGACACAGCAGTGGAAGCAGAGGTCAGAGTGATGAGATTGCTGACTGGAAGGAGAACATAAGCCAATTGCTGTAGGCAACCTCTAGAACCTGGAAAAAGCAAGAAAATAGATTGTCCCGGAGATTCCAGTAGGAATACAGACTGCCAACACCTTGGTTTTAACCTCATGAGATCCACTTTGACTTTCTGACCCCTAGAAATGTGGGATAATAAATTTGGGTTGTTCCAAGCTACTATGTTTGTAGTGATTTCTTACAGTAGCAATAGAAAACGAATACAAGAGACAACATCATTATTTTTACAAAATACACATGTGTAAGCCAAATTAAAAGGTAGAAAACACTGGAGTACTTCTTACTGACCTTAACTAATTTAGTAATATGCATAACATTGGTATAAATGCAAGTGTGAGTTTAGCCCTGTTACTCCAATGCTATTCATCTAGCCAGACCCAAAAGAATTGTTTCTAATGGGAAGTATAGTTCTCCAGTTACAATTATATCAGTTGATGAAGCCAAATACACATATCATAAAGTAGAAAAAGATACACAAATAAACAGATAAGTAACATAAAGGCAAATGCCATAGAACTATTATTAATGTTGCCCTTGAGACCAGAAATGTCCCTCATATAGTGTGATTTTTCCTGCCTTCAGTGATTCTGCTCCTTTAAGGCTAAAGTTAGAAGTTGAAATATTGATTTGAGTCACACAGTCCCCGGATTGAGTATGCTTCTAACCTTCCTGAAAATATTATAACTGTACTTTATTTCCAGACACTACCTTTATTTCACATATAAGTGCCACTCTCCCTCACTCCATCATGCATTAGTAGCCTTTTACATGCAAAGAGATGTAGTTCATAGTAACTACTAACTTAAAAAAAAACAGGAGGACATCTTTAAGAAAATATTATTTTTAAAAAATTTTGTCTGATAAAATTTCATTTCAAATTACACTGAATGAAAATGCTAAAAGTAGTTGTGTTTGGTATTATAGTTTCATAACAAAGGCAATTAACTTTACACAAATGTTTTATGATGAGATGGAAAAAAGTTGTGTGTCTTATTTGAGAGAACATCAACATTTAGCTTTGGGTGCACACACCAACTGAGAACAATGAAAAAAGAAAATCCCCTTTAAAAATTTGTTAGCCTGTTTTCCCTTAAGTCTTATTTCCATGTGTAGTTTTTCTGTGATAAAAAATTTATTTTTAAATACAAGATAAAAATGGTTCCACAAAAGTTGAACTTGATGGATAAAATGCTACAAAACTAAAAATATAATTTTTAGTAGCTGAACAAAAGATGTCTCTTGCAAGGAGGATGATCTGAGTTTTGACCACCTTCCAAGAAATGATGCCACATACCTCCACACGCACTATCAGGCATTCTTTTCCTTGTTTGGAAATTATTTTAAAAACCCTTTAGTGGCTTACATTTTATCTATAAGTTATCTATAAACTGTGATTATTTTCAAATTATTTTTATTAATTATAGATATTGTTTTCTTGTTTGCGTATGTGAGGTTGACATAAGAACAATTAAACATTTCCCACTGAAATGAATGGAATTTCTAAAAATTTCTTGACACTTTTTTTTAAAACACAGCAGTTTTCAGGAAAAAACGAAAAGCACTAAAGGAAGATAGTTTTAGCTTTACATTTACATTAGTTTGAGTGATCGGCATGGGTTATCTAGGAACCTCTTTAGTGCATCCTTCACGTTCTTGTTCCTGAGGCTGTAGATTAGAGGGTTCAGCACTGGTATCACCAGGGTGTAGAAGACCGAAGCCATTTTGTCAGTATCTAATGAATGATTACTCCTTGGTTGCAAATACATGAAAAGGAGAGTCCCATAGAACACAACCACAGCTATCATGTGAGAAGCACAGGTGGAAAAGGCTTTTTGTCGTCCTTCTGAGGAACGTATCCTCAAAATGGTAATAACAATGTTGAAGTAGGATATCAGAACAACGATCATGGAGAAAAGCAAGTTGGTCCCTGAAAAGATAAAGACTGCTGTTTCTGGAATGTAGGTATCAGAACAGGACAATGCTAGCAAAGGGACATCATCACAGTAAAAATGGTTGATAATGTTGGAAGAACAGTATGACACAGAGAACACACAGGAAGAGACAGTCAGTGCTGTGATAAGACTCTGAAGGTATGTGAGGGACACCAGCAGACGACACACCTTTGGAGACACCACTACGGCGTAGAGCAGAGGGCTCCAAATAGCCACATAGCGGTCATAGGCCATTGCAGCCAGCGTGAAAATCTCAGCCACAATGAAAACCAAGAATCCACCCAGTTGGGCTGCACATCCATAGTATGATATGGTTTTCTTGGTAACCAGGAAGTTAACCAGCATTTTAGGGGCAACGACAGTAGAATTGCAAAGATTAATAATAGCCAAGTGTCAGAGGAAAAAGTACATGGGGGTTTGAAGTTGAGGGTCAACACTGGTGAGGGTGATGATGCCCAGGTTCCCTGCCACGGTCAGCAAATAGAGCACCAGGAAGACCAGGAAGAGGGGAATCTGGAGCTCCGGATCATCTGAGACTCCCACAAGAATGAACTCCGTCACCCATGTGAGATTTCCTGAAGCCATTTGTATTGTTGGCTTCATCTTTTACCTGAAAAAGTTGAAAGAAATCAATTGATGATAACATTGATGTTTCTGTTAGATGCTAGGTTGTTAAATATTTCATTTGAAATCAGTTTATTTTGTTTTACAAACTCTTACAAGTTTCAGAACCTAATTGTTTTTCTCCCCATGTTTTCATAAACTTCAGAAATAAAAACTCCCCAGACAATTAAGAGTCTTAAAACTGGCCGGGCGTGGTGGCTCACGCCTGTAATCCCAGCACTTTGGGAGGCCGAGGCGGGCGGATCACGAGGTCAGGAGATCGAGACCATCCTGGCTAACACGGTGAAACCCCGTCTCTACTAAAAAACACGAAAAATCAGCCGGGTGTGGTGGTGTGCGCCTGTAGTCCTAGCTACTCGGGAGGCTGAGGCAGGAGGATGCTGCGAACCTGGGAGGCGGAGCTTGCAGTGGTGCCACTGCACTCCAGCCTGGGCGACAGAGCGAGACTCCGTCTCAAAAAAAAAAAAAAAAAAAAGAGTCTTAAAACTGTTTGGACAAGCAATTTATGTATTTACTATTGGATATAGTTTATATTGAGTGAATACATATTTATTTGTTTTGTAATATGTCTTAATATTATGCATTTATCAACTATATTAGCACATAATATTGGATGAATAGATATGCATTTTATATTAATGTATATTCACATGTATTATATACATAGATTAGCATATGATATTGATTAATATATATACACTTACATGAACATGTAATTTATTACTTACAATTTTTATTTGTGTGTTTCTGTCTGTGTTTCCAGTGATAAGAGAGAGCAGCCTTAAGAAGTTGATGACACGGGGTGACCACCAGTTATCTTTTTCCTAGCTTCCACTGGTGACTTATCCAGCCCCTAACTTGTCATTAATAATTCTTGGGAATTTCAACATTTCTATGGGAAACACTTTCAGTATTCTGGATTTTGCTTTATCAATTTCTACCGCATAATGTTGCTTCAGCTGTGCAGAAGTAGGCCTACACTTCAATATTTTTCCCTCTGAGTGTAATTCTGAAAGTCAGAATCCTTTTTACTCAATCACATTTCGTTACTTCTGCTAGATAAGCCAGTCCTGTCCTATCATTGTGACTTCTCTTACTCAGACTCTTCTCTACTATTTTGTTCCAGAAGCCCTACTCTCCCTTCCCTTTCTAGCTTATACTTTTTCATTTTAAATTGTTATTGTTTTATTTTTTAATGCTTATTACTTACAACTTTTATTTGTTAAAGTTAGATTACTTTGATTTATTATACTTGTATAGAAAGACGAGTGGGGAAGGCTGTTAATATTTATTTAAAAAGTAACATGTGTTGAAAGTTATCCTAAGAATTTTGAAATAGTTATCTCATTCTGCAGGAGCACCCTAAAATATAGGTAGATGGTAATTATTTTCATGTCTAATAAGAAAATTGAGTCTCATTGAAGTAAAATTACTCAAAAAGACTGTGTAAGACATTGTTCCAAACTGCATGGTTTTATGATTTTGTTTCTGTGATTGATTGTGTTAGTCTACCAATTAATACTCAAAATTACTTGAAAATACTATGTAGACATTGATCTAAACTTCATGGTTTTATTTTGTTTTTGTGATTTTGTTTATGTAATTGGTTTGTTTTAGTCTACCAATTAATACCTAGGTGATTTTTACCAAGCATTATATTCTTGTATTATCCACATTAAATGAGATAATGCACATAAATGATTTGTTTTTATAGAGCCTGGTACCAAGTGAATGCAAAATGGATGCTACCTTCAGTTTTTGTTATTAGCATGCTTTGAATGATTTTCAATGTGAGTTCTTAATTCCAGTAATTCATTCCACCTTACTGAGTGCTTTTACAGTTAATACAGAAATAGCAAATGAATTATACTACTGCATATTTTTTAAAAAACTGGGACACACAATATCTAGCTCCTTTTTTAACAAACAAAACATGCTGTCTTGCAATCAGATTACCTCTTAAATCTTCAATGTTTCTTTGTTATGATACATTATTAAATACATCAAATATGAGTCTGAGAAACTGATCTGATTGTGTGTAGCGCCTATCCTCTATCTTTTGTTTCTTGCCACTGCGCTAAAAAGAACTGCATGTCTTATAAGCAGGCAAGCTTATGATTTAAAACATTGTGCTAAAAATTACTTTGATCAAAATATTTCCTGTTTGGCTGCCACACACAAAGCAACTCAGTGCATTGTTCATTCTGACATTTATATTCCATAGACACCCTTAATTTAACAACAAAAAAGAACATCATGAGCAATAGCAATTATTTACTGGCTACTCTTGAATTTGTGCAATTAGCTCGGGGAAGGAAGATAATTTGCAAATATTTAATATCTTTACCCATTATTAATTTCTCCTCCTCTGAAGCATGGCTGAGGGCAGAGCTGGAGTTGATTATTATTTCAGCAAGTATATGCCATTGACATAAAGTTTCCTTAGAACAAACCCAGTTTTCTCCTGTTGAGTTTTCTTTTTTTTTTTAGAATATTTTTTGTTAGAATTTTCCTGTTAAGAGCTATTATAATTTTTCACAAAAGTTTTTTTAAAATTAGTTTTTGAAAAGAAATATTTTATAGGTCTACCAATACCATGAATCTCAATATAAAATAAATAAAAATATACCTGAGGTTAATAATTTTAATGTCAATTTCACTGTAAAAATTGTCACCCTTTGGATGAGGTGTTATGTTGCAAATTAACTCTTAAATAGCTTCTGAGAAGATTTCAAGACTATATTTCATTAATGTCTAACTGTGGAATTTGTGTTAATCTTGTTGAGACATGGGTCTGGTTTGAGACAAGCACTGAATCTCAACGTGAGTTTTTGGCATCCATCAGGGAGATTGACTATTAGTACCAGGGAATCTTTTCATCCTAGGATTTTTCACCCCAGGGAATGCAAGAATAAAAGCTCATTTTCATCATTGTCAAGTATTTTTGAAAGCCCTTTTTTGAAACATCAAATCATATGCATCAGAGACACATAAGATACTTCCCTTTTGGTGTAGCATTCTCTCTAAACATCTCGGTTCTAAGGCAGAAAAAAATCAGTGTTCATATTAAGGTGGAATATACTAACTGTAATGACTATTCATTATTTGGTATAAATGTTCAAGCTGTCTAGTCTATCAATAGAGATGCTGGATACTATTGTTTATGTTGTATCACTGTCACTTCCAATAAGCAATCAGTGGGCAGATACTTGAGTTATTTGGAAAAGAAGACAAATTAGATATCATTTCAATCCTGAGTCTGATTTAAATTGGTAAATCCTCAAAGATACTTGATTTTTACATGAAACTTAGAAAGAAGTAAAATATTTGGTGTAACCTACCTGTGTAGAGAGATCTGGCCAGGCCCAGACCCAAGGTTCCTGCCCGAAGCATGCTAGAGTTTTTCAAGGGTCTGAAGTCTCTGAAGACCTGCACACTGAATATGTTTGTTTCTAGCTCCCAGTCCCCAAGCTTGACAACAAGATTTTCCAAATAAAAATCAGATTCCCTGGGGAAAGAAAGACAAACAGCATTCATTAGCCAAGATTCCACTCAAAATTTTACCCAAAGAGTGAAATGTGGAGATTGCCTAGGGACTCACTTAGATAATACTATTAAATAAAAAAAGAATGCAATTACTCCTATATAAAATGAGAATTGATACTGCTGGCCCTGGGTTGAAAAAATCAATACATAGCAAGCACAGGATTCTGGCTCCAATGGTCAATTTCAATGTGAATATTGTGAACAGAACTAAATGTAACCCCCATATTCTGCATCAAGAGCAACTCCTGATACATAAGTCATAAAAACCAGGTGATATAAAACATAAATTCAACATGTGAGTGGTTATAAAAAGTGAATATCAACTTTTAATTAACTTCTTAATGTGACCAGAAGGGGTATTAATTAAAATTCTTGTTGTACTTATCATATATTTGGTCTTATTTCTAGGGATTAATTAAAATTATTTGGTTGGAAAATATGTTTTTTTATATGATGAGCCTGTGATATTCCCTCAAAGCATATAGAAGCATCTTAAGTAAATACTGATAGCATTTCTTTTTTTTTAACTTATTATGTGGAATTTTCTAGTCTGTAAGCATTGTAGATGCAAAAGGTATGTCTGCAGTTACATTCTAGACACTGTATTTCCATCACTCAAATTAAACAATACTTTTATATTATATGCTTTATTATTTAAAATAATGGATCATTAGATACAACCTAAATTTTCACTTAACCAGCTTCTCCCATTTCCATTTCCTCCATTCTATTCAGAATTAACCACTTTTGATTATCACAACCTTTTTTTTTTATTATTATACTTTAACTTCTGGGGTACGTGTGCAGAATGTGTAGGTTTGTTACATAGGTATACATGTGCCATGGTGGTTTGCTGCACCCATCAACCTGTCATCTACATTAGGTATTTCTTTTAATGCTATCCCTCCCCTAGACCCCCAGACCCTGAAAGATCCTGGTGTGTGATGCCATCCCCCCACCCACAACGTGTCCATGTGTCCTTATTGTTCAACTCCCACTTATGAGTGAGAACAGGTAGTGTTTGGTTTTCTGTTCTTGTGTTAGTTTGCTGAGAATCATGGTTTCCAGTTTCATTCATGTCCCTGCAAAGGACATGAACTCATTCTTTTTTCTAGCTGTATAGTATTCCATGGTGTATATGTACCACATTTTCTTTATCCAGTCTATTATTGATGGCCATTTCAGTTGGTTGCAAATTTTTGCTATTGTAAATAGTGCTGCAATAAACACACATGGGCATGTCTTTTTACAGTAGAATGATTTTTAATCCTTAGGGTATATACCCAGTAATGGGATTGCTGGGTCAAATGGTATTTTTAGTTCTAGATGCTTGAGCAATCACCACACTGTCTTCCACAACGGTTGAGCTAATTTACACTTCCACCAACAGTGTAAAAGCATTCCTATTTCTCCACATCCTCTCCAACAAGTTGTTTCCTGACTTTTTAATGATCGCCATTCTAACCTGCATGAGATGGCTATCTCATTGTGGTTTTGATTTGCATTTCCCTAATGAGCAGTGATGATGAGCATTTTTTCATGTTTGTTGGCTGCATAAATATCTTCTTTAGAGAAGTGTCTGTTCATATCCTTTGCTGATTTTTGATGTTTTTTTTTCGTGTAAATTTGTTTAGGTTCTTTGCAAATTCTGGATATTAGCCCTTTGTCAAAGATCAGATGGTTGTAGATGTGTGGAGTTATTTCTGAGGCCTCTGTTCTGTTTCACTGGTCTATATATCTGTTTTTGTGCCAGTACCATGCTGTTTTGGTTACCGTAGCTTTGTAGTATAGTTTGAAGTCAGGTAGTATGATGCCTCCAGCTTTGTTCATTTTGCTTAGGATTGTCTTGGCTATGCGGGCTCTTCTTTGGTTCCATATGAAATTTAAAGTAGTCTTTTCCAACTCTGTGAAGGAAGTCAATGGTACCTTGATGGGGACAGCACTGATTCTATAAATTATTTTGGGTAGTATGACCATTTACACTATACTGATTCTTCCTATCCATTAGCATGGAATGTTTTTCCATTTGTTTGTGTTGTATCATATTTCCTTGAGCAGTGTTTTGTAGTTCTCTTTGAAGAGGTCCTTCACATTGCTTGTATGTTGTATTCCAAGGTATTTTATTCTCTTAATAGCAATTGTGAATGGGAGTTCATTCATTATTTGGCTGTTTGTCTGTTTTTGGTGTATGGAAATACTTGTGATTTTTGCACATTGATTTTATATCCTCAGACTTTGCTGAAGTTGCTTATCAGCTTAAGGAGATTTTGAGCTGAGATGATGGGGTTTTCTAAAAATATACAATCATGTCATCTGCCAACAGAGACAATTTGACTTCCTCTCTTCCTATGGAATACAATTTATTTCTTTCTCTTGCCTGATTGCCCTGGCCAGAATTTCCAATACTTTGTTGAATAGGGTTGGTAAGAGAGGGAATCCTTGTCTTGTGCCAGTTTTCAAAGGTAATGCTTCCAGGTTTTGCCAATTCAGTATGATATTGGCTGTGGGTTTGTCATAAATAGCTCTTATTATTTTGAGATACGTTCCATCAATAACTAGTTTATTGAGAGTCTTTAGCATGAAGGACTGTTGAATTTTGTTGAAGGCCTTTTCTGCATCTATTGAGATAATCATGTGGTTTTTGTCATTGGTTCTGTTTATGTGATGGATTATGTTTATTGATTTGTGTATGTTGAGCCAGCTTTGCATCCCAGGGATGAAGCCTACTTGATCGTGGTGTATACGCTTTTTGATGTGCTGCTGGATTCAGTTTGCCAGTATTTATTGAGGATTTTCACATTGATGTTCATCAGGGATATTGGCCTAAAATTTTCTTTTGTGTTGTGTCGCTGCCAGGTTTATCAGGATTACATTGGCCTCGTAAAATGAGTTAGGGAGAATTCCCTCTTTTTCTATTGATTGGAATAGTTTCAGAAGGAATGGTACCAGCTCCTTTTTGTACCTCTGGTAGAATTTGGCTGTGAATCCATCTGGTCCTGGATTTATTTTGGGGGTTGGTAGACTATTAATTACTGCCTTAATTTCAGAACTTGTTATTGTTCTATTCAGGGATTCAACTTCTTCCTGATTTAGTCTTGGGAGGGTGTGTGTGTCCAGGAATTTGTCCATTTCTTCTAGATTTTCTAGTATATTTGCATAGAGGTGTTTATAGTATTCTCTGATGGTAGTTTGTATTTCTGTGGGATCAGTGGTGATATCCCCTTTATCATTTTTTATTGCATCTATTTGATTCTTCTCTCATTTCTTCTTTATTAGTCTGGCTAGTGAGCTATCTATTTTGTTGATCTTTTCAAAAAACAAGCTCCTGGATTCATTGATTTTTTGAAGGGTTTTTCATGTCTCTATCTCCTTCAGTTCTGCTCTGATCTTAGTTATTTCTTGTCTTCTGCTAGCTTTTGTATTTGTTTGCGCTTGCTTCTCTAATTACTTTAATTGTGATGTTAGGGTGTCAATTTTAGATCTTTCCTGCTTTCTCTTGTGGGCATTTAGTGCTACAATTTTCCCTCTATACACTGCTTTAAATGTGCCCCAGAGATTCTGGTATGTTGTGTCTTTGTTCTAATTGGTTTCAAAGAACATCTTAGATTCCCACACAATAATAGTGGGAGACTTTAACACCTCACTGTCAATATTAGACAGATCAATGAGACAGAAAATTAACAAGGATTTCCAGGACTTGAACTCGGCTCTGGACCAAGAGGACCTAATAGACATCTACAGAACTCTCCACCCCAAATCAACAGAATATGCATTCTTCTCAGCACCACATCACACTTATTCTAAAATTAACCACATAATTGTAAGTAAAACAAATTCAAAAGAATGGAAATCATAACAAACAGTCTCTCAGACCACAGTGCAATCAAATTAGAACTCAGGATTAACATATTCATTCAAAACCACACAACTACATGGAAACTGAACAACCTGCTCCTGAGAAACTACTGGGTAAATAACGAAATTAAGGCAGAAATAAAGACTATCACAACCTTTTATTCTCTTTTCAAGAGAGATTTATCATCTTAAAAATTGTAAGTGTGGGGGTGGAGCCAAGATGGCCGAATAGGAGCAGCTCCAGTCTACAGCTCCCAGCATGAGCAACGCAGAAAATGGGTGATTTCTGCATTTCCAACTGAGGTACCGGGTTCATCTCACGGGGGAGTGTGGGAAAGTGGGTGCAGGACAGTGGGTGCAGAGCATTGAGTGTGACCTGAAGCAGGGCGAGGCATCGCCTCACCTGGGAAGCACAAGGGATCAGGGAATTCCCTTTCCTAGTAAAAGAAAAGGGTGACAGACGGCACCTGGAAAATTGGGTCACTCCCACCCTAATACTGCACTTTTCTAACAGTCTTAGCAAACAGCACACCAGGAGATTATATCTTGTGCCTGGCTCGGAGGGTCCTATGCCCATGGACCCTTGCTCATTGCTAGCACAGCAGTCTGAGGTCAAACTGCAAGGCAGCAGTAAGGCTGGGGGAGGGGCACCCAATATTGCCGAGGCTTGAGTAGGTAAACAAAACAGCCCGGAAGCTTGAATTGGGTAGAGCCCGCTGCAGCTCAAGGAGGCCTGCCTGCCTCTGTAGACTCCACCTCTGGGGGCAGGGCATAGACAAACAAAAGGCAGTAGAATCCTCTGCAGACTTAAATGTCCCTGTCTGACAGCTTTGAAGAGAGTAGTGGTTCTCCCAGCACGCAGCTGGAGATCTGAAAACGGACAGACTGCCTCGTCAAGTGGGTCCCTGACCCCTGAGTAGACTAACTGGGAGGCACCCCCCAGTAGGGGCAGACTAACACCTCACACGACTGGGTACTCCTCTGAGACAAAACTTCCAGAGGAATGATAAGGCAGCAACATTTGCTGTTCACCAATATCCACTGTTCTGCAGCCTCCAGTGTTGATACCCGGGCAAACAGGGTCTGGAGTAGACCTCCAGCAAACTCCAACAGACCTGCATCTGAGGGTCCTGATGGTTAGAAGGAAAACTAACAAACAGAAAGGACATCCACACCAAAACCCCACCTGTACATCACCATCACCAAAGACCAAAGGCAGATAAAACCACAAAGATGGGGGTAACAGCAGAGGAGAAAAATGAAACTGTAAAAATCAGAGCGCCTCTCCTACTCCAAAGGAACGCGGCTTCTCACCAGCAATGGAACAAAGCTGGACAGAGAATGACTTTGATGAGTTGAGAGAAGAAGGCTTCAGACGATCAAACTATTCAGAGCTAAAGGAGGAATTTCGAACCCATGACAAAGAAGTTAAAAACCTCGAAAAAAAATTAGATGAATGGCTAACTAGAATAACCAATGCAGAGAAGTCCTTAAAGGACCTAATGAAGCTGAAAACCAAGGCATGAGAACTACATGCTGAATGCACAAGCCTCAGTAGCCGATTCAATCAACTGGAAGGACGGGTATCAGCGATGGAAGACGAAATGAATGAAATGAAGTGAGAAGAGAAGTTTAGAGAAAAAAGAATGATAAGAAATGAACAAAGCCTCCAAGAAATATGGGACTATGTGAAAAGACCAAAGCTCCGTCTGGTGTACCTGAAAGTGACGGGGGGAATGGAACCAAGTTGGAAAACACTCTGCAGGATATTATCCAGGAGAACTTCCCCAATCTAGCAAGGCAGGCAAACATTCAAATTCAGGAAATACAGAGAATGCCACAAAGATACTCCTCGAGAAGAGCAACTCCAAGACACATAATTGTCAGATTCACCAAAGTTGAAATGAAGGAAAAAATGTTAAAGGCAGCCAGAGAGAAAGGTTGGGCTACCCACAAAGGGAAGCCCATCAGACTAACAGCGGATCTCTCAGCAGAAACTCTAGAAGCCAGAAGAGAGTGGGGGCCAATATTCAACATTCTTAAAGAAAAGAATTTTCAACTCAGAATTTCATATCCAGCCAAACTAAGCTTCATAAGTGAAGAAGAAATTAAAATCCTTTACAGACAAGCAAATGCTGAGAGATTTTGTCACCATCAGGCCTGCCCTAAAAGAGCTCCTGAAGGAAGCACTAAACATGGAAAGGAACAACCAGTACCAGCCACTGCAAAAACATGCCAAATTGGAAAGACCATCAAGGCTAGGAAGAAACTGCATCAACTAACGAGCAAAATAACTAGCTAACATCATAATGACAGGGTCAAATTCACACATAAAAATATTAACCTTAAATGTAAATGGGCTAAATGCTCCAATTAAAAGACACAGACTGGCAAATTGGATAAAGAGTCAAGACCCATCAGTGCACTGTATTTAGGAAACCCATCTCACGTTCAGAGACACACATAGGCTCAAAATAAAGGGATGGAGGAAGATCTACCAAGCAAATGGAAAACAAAAAGAGGTAGGGGCTGCAATCCTAGTCTCTGATAAAACAGACTTTAAACCAACAAAGATCAAAAGAGACAAAGAAGGACATTACATAATGGTAAAGGGATCAATTCAACAAGAAGAGCTAACTATCCTAAATATATATGCACCCAATACAAGGGTACCCAGATTCATAAAGCAAGTCCTTAGTGACCTAGAAAGAGACTTAGACTCCCACACAATAATAATGGGAGACTTTAACACCCCACTGTCAACATTAGACAGATCAACGAGACAGAAAGTTAACAAGGATATCCAGGAATTGAACTCAGCTCTGCACCAAGCAGACCTAATAGACATCTACAGAACTCTCCACCCCAAATCAACAGAATATACATTCTTCTCAGCACCACACCACACCTATTCCAAAATTGACCACATAGTTGGAAGTAAAGCACTCCTCAGCAAATGTAAAATAACAGAAATTATAACAAACTTTCTCTCTGACCACAGTGCAATCCAACTAGAACTCAGGATTAAGAAACTCACTCAAAACTGCCCAACTACATGGAAACTGAACAACCTGCTCCTGAATGACTACTGGGTACATAATGAAATGAAGGCAGAAATAAAGATGTTCTTTGAAACCAACAGGAACAAAGACACAACATACCAGAATCTCTGGGACACATTCAAAGCAGTGTGTAGAGAGAAATTTATAGCACTAAATGCCCATAAGAGAAAGCAGGAAAGATCTAAAATTGACACCCTAACATCACAATTAAAAGAACTAGAGAAGCAAGAGCAAACACATTCAAAAGCTAGCAGAAGGCAAGAAATAACTAAGATCAGAGTAGAACTGAAGGAAATAAACCCTTCAAAAACCTCTTCAAAAAAATCAATGAATCCAGGAGCTTGTTTTTTGAAAAGATCAACAAAATAGATAGCTCACTAGCAAGACTAATAAAGAAGAAAAGAGAGAAGAAGCAAATAGATGCAATAAAAAATGATAAAGGGGATATCACCACTGATCCCACAGAAATACAAACTACCATCAGAGAATACTACAAACACCTCTATGCAAATAAACTAGAAAATCTAGAAGAAATGGATAACTTCCTCGACACATACACCCTCCCGAGACTAAACCAGGAAGAAGTTGAATCTCTGAATAGACCAATAACAGGAGCTGAAATTGTGGCAATAATCAATAGCTTACCCACCAAAAAAAGTCCAGGACCAGATGGATTCACAGCCGAATTCTACCAGAGGTACAAGGAGGAGCTGGTACCATTCCTCCTGAAACTATTCCAATCAATAGAAAAAGAGGGAATCCTCCCTAACTCATTTTATGAGGCCAGCATCATCCTGATACCAAAGCCTGGCAGAGACACAACAAAAACAGAGAATTTTAGACCAATATCCCTGATGAACATCGATGCAAAAATCCTCAAAAAAATACTGGCAAACTGAATCCAGCAGCACATCAAAAAGCTTATCCACCATGATCAAGTGGGCTTCATCCCTGGGATGCAAGGCTGGTTCAACATACACAAATCAATAAACGTGATCCAGCATGTAAACAGAACCAATGACAAAAACCATATGATTATCTCAATAGATGCAGAAAAGGCCTTTGACAAAACTCAACAACACTTCATGCTAAAAACTCTCAATAAATTAGGTAATGATGGGACATATCTCAAAATAATAAGAGCTATCTATGACAAACCCACAGCCAATATCATACTGAATGGGCAAAAACTGGATGCATTCCCTTTGAAAACAGGGACAAGACAAGGATGTCCTCTCTCACCACTCCTATTCAACATAGTGTTGGAAGTTCTGGCCAGGGCAATTAGGCAGGAGAAGGAAATAAAGGGTATTCAATTAGGAAAAGAGAAAGTCAAATTATCCTTGTTTGCAGATGACATGATTGTAGATCTAGAAAACCCCATCGTCTCAGCCCAAAATCTCCTTAAGCTGATAGGCAACTTCAGCAAAGTCTCAGGATACAAAATCAATGTGCAAATATCACAAGCATTCTTGTATATCAAAAACAGAGAGCCAAATCATGAGTGAACTTCCATTCACAATTGCTTCAAAGAGAATAAAATACCTAGGAATCCAACTTACAAGGAACGTGAAGGACCTCTTCAAGGAGAACTAGAAACAACTGCTCAATGAAATAAAAGAGGATACAAACAAATGGAAGAACATTCCATGCTCATGGGTAAGAAGAATCAATATCATGAAAATGGCCATACTGCCCAAGGTAATTTATAGATTCAATGCCATCCCCATCAAGCTACCAATGGCTTTCTTTAAAGAATTGGAAAAAACTACTTTAAAGTTCATATGCAACCAAAAAAGAGCCCACATTGCCAAGTCAATCCTAAGCCAAAAGAACAAAGCTGGAGGCATCATGCTACCTGACTTCAAACTATACTACAAGGCTACAGTAACCAAAACAGCATGGTACTGCTACCAAAACAGCATGGTACTGGTAACACAACAGAGATATAGACCAATGGAACAGAGCAGAGCCCTCAGAAATAATGCCGCATATCTACAACCATCTGATCTTTGACAAACCTGACAAAAACAAGTAATGGGGAAAGGATTCCCTATTTAATAAATGGTGCTGGGAAAACTGGCTAGCCATATGTAGAAAGCTGAAACTGGATCCCTTCCTTACACCTTATACAAAAATTTATTCAAGATGGATTAAAGACTTAAAAGTTAGACCTAAAACCATAAAAACCCTAGAAGAAAACCTAGGCAATACCATTCAGGACATAGGCATGGGCAAGAACTTCATGTCTAAAACACCAAAAGCAATGGCAACAAAAGCAAAATTGACAAATAGGATCTATTTAAACTAAAGAGCTTCTGCACAGTAACAGAAACTACCATCAGAGTGAACAGGCAACCTACAGAATGGGAGAACATTTTTGCAATCTACTCATCTGACAAAGGGCTAATATCCAGAATCTACAATGAACTCAAACAAATTTACAAGAAAAAAACAAACAACCCCATCAAAAAGTGGGCAAAGGACTTGAACAGACACTTCTCAAAAGAAGGCATTTATGCAGCCAAAAGACACATGAAGAAAGGCTCATCATCACTGGCTATCAGAGAAATGCAAATCAAAACCACAATGAGATACCATCTCACACCAGTTAGAATGGCGATCATTAAAAAGTCAGGAAACAACAGGTGCTGGAGAGGATGTGCAGAAATAGGAACACTTTTACACTGTTGGTGGGACTGTAAACTAGTTCAACCATTGTGGAAGTCAGTGTGGCAATTCCTCAGGGATCTAGAACTAGAAATACCATTTGACTCAGCCATCCCATTACTGGGTATATACCCAAAGGATTATAAATCATGTTGCTATAAAGACACATGCACACGTATGTTTATTGCGGCACTATTCACAATAGCAAAGACTTGGACCAACTCAAATGTCCAACAATGATAGACTAGATTAAGAAAATGTGGCACATATACACCATGGAATACTATGCAGCCATAAAAAATGATGAATTCATGTCCTTTGTAGGGTCATGGATGAAGCTGGAAACCATCATTCTCAGCAAACTATCGCAAGGACAAAAAACAAAACACTGCATGTTCTCACTCATTGGTGGGAATTGAACAATGAGAACACATGGACACAGGAAGGGGAACATCACACACCGGGGCCTGTTGTGGGGTGGGGGGAGTGGGGAGGGATAGCATTAGGAGATATACCTAATGTTAAATGACGAGTTAATGGGTGCAGCACACCAACATGGCTCATGTATACATATGTAACTAACCTGTACATTGTGCACATGTACCCTAAAACTTAAAGTATAATAATAAAAAAATGGTAAGTGTATATGGCAGTAATCTTACCTATACGGGCAACAACAACAAAAAATAGATAAATACAGAACCTCTCTAGAACTTAATCCACTGGCGTGACTGAAATGCTATACCTGTTTTATAGTAACTCTCCATTTATTCCTGCTTCCTAGCCCCAGCACCTGGAAACCCCCATTCTCCTCTGTGTTTATGCATTTGATTATTTTGCATACCTTATATAAGTGACATCACAGAGTACTGGTCCTTTTGTGATGGACTTATTTTACTTAACACAATGTCTTCAAGGTTAATAAATTCTGTCTAGTTTTTAAAATAAATCAATTTACTATTATATTTTTGGTAAATAAACGTTATGTATCATTTCTACTTATGTAGTTTTAAATTTATGTGAGGGAATTTATGATGTCTACATCATTTTTGATTGACTTATTTTTTCTTCAAAGAATATGATTTTGTTATTTACATATCTTGATTGTTATAGATTTGTTTATGCATTTAAACTAGATTAAAAAATTGGTTGTGTTGAGTCTTCTATATTACATGAAACAATGTAACTCACATCTTTTTAGTCCTCATTTTTCTCTCATACAATATTCTATCAAGTCTGTACACTTGGATGACGCTTGGAAATTGTTAGGCCACATAGTGTCAATATTTTCAAATCTGTTAGATGCAACAAAAATTTTTTGGTATTTCTATTTATAATATATGTTAGTACTTACATTTGCAAATATTTAATGTTCATACAGCCAGGAAAAAGTTGGGGATATTTTTCCACTCACACCTCTAGCAGTTTTAATAATTCCAGGAAGCTCCTATTTTGGTAAATAAAGGAAGCAATAAAATATCATTAAAATTTTACTTTGAACAATAATTAAAAATACATTTAGTCTACCAGACAACTGAATAGCCACACAAAAATTAATAAAGAAGAACCACTACATCTAATTATACACAAAAATTAACTTCAAATCAACACCCTAAATATAAAAGTAAAATGATAAAACTCTTAGAAGACAACATAGGTGTAAATCTTCACGACCTTCTTTGTGTTTGGCAATAGATTCCTAAACATGCTACCCCAGCTACAAGCAACAACAGCAGAAAATTTATAAATCAAGCTTCATCAAAATTAAAAATATTTCCTCATCAAAGGACATTATAAAGACAGTGAAAAGACAACCTAAAAAGTGGAAGGGAAAATTTTCAAATAATACATTTGATAGGTATTAGATAACTAGAATACATAAAAAAAACTCCCACAACTCAACAATAAGGAGTCAAATAACCTCAGAAGTCTACTTAAAAATGACAAAAATACTTGAATAAAATTTTCTCCAGAGAGATAAACAAATGCCCAATAAAAACATGAAAGTTACTCAACATTAGTTATTAGAGAATTGTAAATGAGAATCACAATGAAATACCACTTCATATCAATCAGAATGGAAGACAGAAAATAGCAAACGTTGGTGAGGATGTGGATAAACTTATACCCTCGTGCTTTGCTGTTGGGAATGTAAATGTAAAATCATTCAGGTACTAAGCTACTATACAAAGCAGTTTGGCAGTTCCTCAAAAAGTTAAACATAGAATTACCATATGACTACAATTCCACTACAAGATATATACCCAGGTAATCAAACAAAGTCATGTAGAGGCAGCTCTACTCACATTAGCCAAGAGGTTAAGAAAAACAAAGTCAAAATTTCCATCAACAGATAAATGGATACACAAATTGCGATATATGCATACAGTAGGATATTATCCCTCTCTGTAAAATAAATATAGCTTTTGAATAAAATAGAATAAACTTAACTAAGGAGGAGGAAGGTGTGTAGACTGAAAACTACAAAACATTTGTGAAATAAATTCAAGAATATAACAAATGGAAAGTCATCCTAGGTTCATGAATTGGAGAACTTAATATTGTTAAAATGCCTATTCTATCCAAAGCGCTTTGCAGGTTCAATGAAATCTCCAAAACCCCAAAGACCTGGTTTACAGTAACAGAAAAAAAGAAAGCCCTAAATTTTATATGGAACCACAAAACACCCTGAGTAGTCAAAATAATCTAGAAGACGAAGAACAAAACTGGAGGTTCCATATTTTCTAATTTCAAAATATATTACAAATCTGCAGTAATTAAAACTGCACAGGACAAAACATAGTGTTTCACGCCTATAGTGCCAGCAATTTGGAAGGCTGAGGAAAGTGGATTGCTTGAGGCCAGAAGTTCAAAACCAGTCTTGGCAACATAATTAGATCTCATCTCTACAAAAAATAAAATAACATAAAAATTACCTGGGCATGGTGATATGCACCTCTAGTCCCAGCTTTTTGGGAGGCTGAGGCAGGAGGATCTCTTAAATCCAGAACGTTGTCTGCAGTGAACCACAATCAGGCCACTGCACCAGTGCACTCCAGCCTGGGTGACACATTGAGACTCTGCCTCAAAAAAATAACAAAACAAAACTGTATGGTACTTACATACAGACTGACATATAGACCACTGGAAGATAGAGAGAGATCAAAAGAACAAATCCACATATATATGGTCCACATCTTCGACAGGGCTCCTAACACAGAGTAAAGGAGAGTCTCTTCAACAAACGGTTCTGGGAAAACTGGATATCCACACGCAAAAGAATAAAATTGGGCCCTTATCTAATTATACTCAAAAGTCAACTCAAAATGGATTAAACATAAGACCTGAAAATTCAAAACTCCTAGGAGAAAAGATAGAGAAAATTTTTATTACATTAGTCTTGGGAATGATTGCTTGAAGATGATACCAAAAGTACAGACAGCAAAATAAAAACAAAATTGACAAGTTGGAATTTATCAAACTAAAAAACTTCTGCATAGTTAAGGAAACAATCAACACAGTGTATATACAGTATACAAAATGGGAGAAAATATTTGCAAACCATATATCTGATAAGGGTTTAACTTCTAAAATATATTAAAAACTCCTACAACTCTATATCGACAAACAAACAAACAAAAAATCCTAATGACCCAATTGAAAACAGGCTAAAGACATGAATTGACATTTCTTCAAAGAAGAGATACAAATGACCAACAGATATATGAAAAGATACTCAAGATCACCACTCAGGAGGAAAATGCAAATCAACACCACAATGAAATATCACCTTATACCTGTGAGGATGTGTGAGGATGATAATTATTAAAAAGAAAATAAAAGACAGCAATTATTGAAAAAAATATGAAGAAGTTAGGACCCTTGAAATTTTTCAATGAAAAGCAAAATGGTGCAGACACTATGGAAACTGCTAAAAAAATATAGAACTACCATATCATCCAATAATCTCTCCAAATTTGGGGTATTTATCCAAAAGAGTTTATATTACAATATCAAAAAGATATTAGAACACCCATGTTCATGCAGCATTATTCAAAATAGCCAAGAGGTGGAAACAATCTCAGAGTCCATTGATGGATGAATGGGTAAAGGAAATGTGGCATATACATGCAATGGCATATTATTCAGCCTTAAAATATGGGCATCTTGCAATATAGGAGAACATGGATTAACCTGGAGGACATTATACTAAATGAAACAAACCAGTAACAAAATAATAAATACTGCATGATTCCATTTATAGGAAGAATCTATAAAATACTCAAACTTATAGAACCAGAAAGTAGAATGGCAGTTTCAACGGACTAGGAGCTGGGAGAAATGGGGAGTTTTTAATCAACAGGTATAAAGTCTCAATATGCAAGATAAATAAGTTCTAAGGATCTACTTCCAACATTGTGCCTATAATTAAAAGTAATGTAAACTTACAAATGTTAGAGGGTATATTTCATGTAAAGCACAATAAAACACAATTTAAAAAATAAAAGAGGCCGGGCGCGGTGGCTCAAGCCTGTAATCCCAGCACTTTGGGGAGCCGAGGCGGGCAGATCACAAGGTCAGGAGATCGAGACTATCCTGGCTAACACGGTGAAACCCCGTCTCTACTAAAAATACAAAAAATTAGCCGGGCATGGTGGTGGTGGGCGCCTGTACTCCCAGCTACTCGGGAGGCTGAGGCAGGAGAATGGCGTGAACTCGGGAGACGGAGCTTGCAGTGAGCCGAGATCGTGCCACTGCACTCCAGCCTGGGCGACAGAGCAAGACTCCGTCTCAAAAAATAAATAAATAAATAAATAAATAAATAAATAAATAAATAAATAAAATAAAATAAAATAAATGATAAAACAACCCATGCTACAACAGACATGGAATGTTTTCAAATAATGTTTGAAAACATTATGCTAAGTGAAAGCAGAACAGGAAGCAAAGGTCACTTTTCTATGGTTCCTTTATAAGAAATATCCAGAATAGGAAAATACAGACATGGAGCACAGATTTTGGGGGGCTGGAGTAAGTGAGAACTGGGGAGAAACTACTTATTGTGTACTTCTTACTGATGGACGTGTTCTGGAGCTAGACAGAGGTGGTGATTGCACAATATTGTGAATGTAGTAATTGCCACTGAATTAATTATTCCCATAAATAGTTAATTTTATCACATGGGAATTTTACCTTAATATATTATTTTTAAATGAGTTTAGATATAATTTTACATGTTGTGTGCCTTTTTAAATTAAGTCCCAACTTTTATTTTGCCCATGTAACTGATGTGTATTCTTGATAACAAATTGTGTCTGATACATGAAAAGAAATTGTTTATTTTATGAAAGCTTTTAGTTTATAAAGTTTCAAATTTAGTGTACTCACCTTAGTTTGTATTTGCTAGCAAATTACCCAAAAGTGTTTGAGTGTTTTCTATCATTTCACATTTACATTTTCTAGATTATTATTAAAGTATATCCATTGTCCATAAGAGGTTTCACCTTTTATGAATTTTATCCATGTATATTTTATGCATTGTGCTATAAATTTTATTATGAATTAACTCAACAAATGAATGATTGTATCTATTTTCCCAAGTCTGTAGTTTGGTTTTTTATTATATTTTTGGTACTTTTTGTCATGCAGACTTTACAATTTTTAAAGAATGAAAACAATCTTTCTGATTTTAAGTGGTGTTTAAAGATCTCTTCTATTCTAAAACATACACACAAGCACACACACGCCACACATATGCACACAGGGGCTGTCCTCATTTGCATGATTTTGCACACACATATGATGAATATCAATGACCATAACTTAATTTTGACTTTTGAAGTAAGGAATCACATAATATCAGAGGACAGAGCCTCCAAACAGGAGAAAATAAATGCAGATGTATTATGTAGAAATATTCTGTGGGAGGATATGCTCTATATTTATACTTTTGAAGTGTGATTTAGATGTATTAATCATATTTTAGCAAAATATTCAAAATATTCATTATATGGAGATGAAAGAAAACAATACACATTTTTAAGTAAAGGTTACAAACATAAATGCCTGTGAATGTGCATTTTTGTGTATATCAATGACTATCAGCATGTATGTACATGTATACGTGAACATATGTATATGTATACATACATAAAGAAAATAGATGACACAGATTTTTCTACATGTAAGAACAGCATAGGTACAGGGTCACTTATGATCTTTATTTTAAAACGTCCAAGAAAAAAAACAGGATTACACTAATAAATTAAACATTTTTATTATCGTCTAGGGAAAACTCTTGCTAACCAGGTTTTTCCTCTACTGTCATACCACAACAATCATCAACACAGAAGACTTCTGTGATCAAATGGGTAGGGATTTCTTCCTCCCACACCACGTGGTAATCACCAACTGGGTATCCTCTAATTCAGTTGCAACACTATCTACCCAGAGATAGTGTCAGATCCCATAGGTTGAGGGTTCAGTCCCCAAAACTGCCCCCTGACAACACCAGTCACAAATTCGGGTCTCTGAAACTTTGACCAACCTGCTTCAAGTTGGATCTCCCATGACCCCCTCTTTGGGTTTCATTAAATTACTGAAGCAGCTCACAAAACTCAGGGAAACATATTACTGGCTTATTGAAAAGGATATTGCAAAGGACACTGGTGAAGGGATGTGTAGGGCAAAGTATAAGGAAAGGGGTGCAGAGTTTCCATGCCCTCCCTGACCATGCCACCCTCTAGGAACTTCCATTTGTTCTGCTCCCCAGAAGCTCACTGAACCCTATCCTCCTAGGTTCTATGGAAGCTTCAAGGCATCAGCATTCCCTCCCCGAAGGTATAGGGTGGGACTCTCTCATGGGAGAGTCTTAAGATTCACAATCAGTAAGGCAGACATTGGAACCCAGCCTTGGTGCAAGTGAAAGGAGGGCAGGAGAAGGTAAAAGGCCTGCCCCTGAGGTATAACACCCAACATTATAACAAAAGACTGTAACAAAGGCTATGGGAATTATGAGCCAGGAACCCTGGATGGAAACCAACATATATCATAACACCACAATGACACATTCTTGGTATTGAGGTGCAGAGTATCACCCTCACCTTTTATAATTTATTTTTTAGTATGAAAATATACTTTATTGATAACCTGATTTTTCCCAAACATTTTTTTCATTGAGTCTTTTACATCTTTGTTCCTCAAACTGTAGATGACGGGATTCAGCAAGGGAATCACAATGGTGTAAAATATTGACACTATCATGTCATGGTCCGAAGCATAGCTGGAACTTGGTCTCACATACATGAAGAGGATTGTCCCATAATAAATTGACACTCCAGTTAGGTGAGCTCCACATGTGGAGAAGACTTTTCTCCTCCCTTCAGCAGAATACATCTTCAGAATGGCCAACAGAATCAAACCATAGGAGATCAGAACAATCAGGATAGTGACCAGCTCGATAGAGCCCACAAAGTAGAAGAGTAGAAGCTGGTTTGTGTGAGTGTCAGAATAAGAAATAGCAAGGAGAGGAGGGATATCACAAAAGACACGCCTAATTTCATTGGCTCCACAGAAGGATAGGCTAAATGTAGCCACTGTATGTATAGTAGCATGTAAAATGCCAGCAACATAGGAAGCATTGATGAGTGGCATGTAGACTCTGGGTGACATGCTCACTGAATACAGGAGAGGGTTGTAGATGGCTACATAGCGATCATAAGCCATTGCAGCCAAGAGAAAGCATTCTGTGGTTCCAAAACTACAAGCAAGAAACACCTGTGCTACACATCCAAGGAATGAAATGACTTTATTCTTTGTCGTAAAATCTACTAACATATTTGGGGTAATAACTGAGGAATAGCAGGCATCCACAGAAGACAACATACTCAGAAAATAGTACATGGGTTTGTGGAGCTGGGAATCCCTAATGACCACTAAAATCAGTCCTAAATTTCCCATGAGAGTGAAGAGGTAGATTGCTAGAAACAGGAAGAAGAAGATAGTCTGCAGTTCAAGATTGTCTGTGAAGCCCTTCAGTACAAATAAGGTAACTTCAGTGACATTCTTCATGTTGAAATCTAGAACAAACTTGAAGATATGCATAAAGTTACAGTTCATATTATGACAAAAAGAATGAACAACACCATGACTCAAGGGGATGTTAACTGTGCTCTTGTATATACTGTACGACATATATTCAGCAGTGCATAATTCTCTAGTAGTGAATCAGAAGACAGTGACAAACTGGTCAGCCATGTGTTCATGCCACTCACTGCAGAATCAAATGGAAGAAATGGACGTTCATTAGTTGGCTGGACTTATTCTGTTTCTAAAATCATCAGGTCTACTGGTTAATTTACCACTGAATTGTATTAAGCTGTTTATATATTAAATAATATTAAAACACACAAAAATGAGTGGCTTAAACAATCTTTGGGCATCCAAATACACAAGAGACTGTATCAGGGGACAGAGCATTGGAATACAATACCAGAATTTTAGAACTTGTAGCAATTGTGCAAAATGATTTGCTATATCTACTTGTCTATAGAATGAGAACATTAATAGTTTGTTCACAAGATTGGAGTAAATATTGAAGGAAAATTGCATTAATAAAATATAATATGTAAAATAATTTTGATTATAGAATATGCTGAATTAAGTTGGTTCTACATTCTATCAAGATTAAATCCAATGAACAGTTATGATTTTTTTCATCTGCTCATTCAAATGTCTCTGAATTATTCTTTGGAGAATGAAGAAGTTTTGTGAATTACTTGATCATTTTATGCCAAAAATAAACATGCAAATTACCATGATTCCATTTTCTACATTACAATTGTCTTAATTTTGCTTTGTGCAAATAAGATACTTCAACCAAATTTCTTGTGAGACAGGCATTTCTACTAGATGCCAAAATAAGTTATATTGGGTAAAAATTAAGTTAATATTAGCACATAGTCAAAGATTCAGAGTTATAAAGAGAAAATCACTATGATTCTTGAAGATTTAATAATATAGAATCAACTTTTTAAATTAATGCAAATCTATTTTTATGAAACAAATTTTAATGGAAGGGAGAAAACTTTAAATATCGTGAATGTAATAACGAAACACTAAGTTTGCTAAATAACAGGCATTTATTTAGCACTTGCTGCAAGAACAGACATTTCTTGTACATTACCTTATTTCACCTTTATAGCAACTTTCATAGCTAACAATTTCCAGAGCCAAGATTCAATCCCAGGTTTCTCTCATTGTACATGAAATTTTTGCATTTTTTCATGGCCTCATAAATGGCTTCATTCTGCAACTGGAACACTCTTCCTCTTACCCCTCTGCTGACCTCAGGGAAATAAAGGTAAAGCAAAACATGATTCTCGATGTATTTGTATTTTTTAAGCCATTAAATCTAGAGAAACATAAAATAAGTAGCAATCTGAAGTGACTTCTAGATTATAAAGCCAGAAAATAAATTTAAAATAAGTATTGATTGTTTTCCTTATTACTTCAAAATACAAGACCCCAGATAAATGAATAAGTCAAATGTTTTTTTGCCCTTTGTTGATATTTATTGGTAAATTCATGACCTTTGAACTATCTTTATCTATAAGAAAAATACAAGCATATACTCTATTAGGAGCACTCTTATTTATCTCTATAAGTACAAATACAATATTTTCTATTTTTTATTGTTTTCTAGTAAGTGTTGGATTTTAATTCTTAGGCATAACTCTAAATAAATCATATTTTGATGAATACACTTGATTCACATATGTAATAGTCCAGAACTGAAGTGTTTAGTTCTTGGTGTTTAGCAGCTAAAAAGTTTAGTAAAAAAAAACATAGTTATTCTTGATATTGTAGGTTCTAGCTGCCGAAATATTCTTCAAATTATCTGAAATTTTCTCTTACCTGTGGAACAGCAAATGCAGATTTAGGTATTCTATGAATATGGCTAACTTAGATTGTTTATATCTTTGTAATTGACTGTTGATGAAATCCAAGGAGATGTCCCAAGGGGAATATGCCCCAATTATCTTCTGTTTCAAAATAGCACCATGATGATTTACTTAATAATAAAAAGTAAATGATTCCGGAATAAGGCACTGCATGCTCCTACTTATTGAATCAATAGAGTTCTTTGGCTTCTGTTTAAAATGTGTCAGATTTGAATTTCCCTGATGACTACTGATGTTGAACATCTTTTCATACATCTGAAGGCCATTTGTATGTCTTCTTTGGAAAAAAAATGTATTCAAGTCCTTTGCCAGTTTTAAAATAAGATTATTGTTATTGTGGCTATTGAATTTATATATTTTGATATTAATCCCCTATTAGATATATCATTTACAAATATTTTTTGTTTGGCTGATGGTTTTCTTCATTGTGCAGAAGATTTTGACTTTGACGTAGCCCTACTTGTCTAATTTTGGTTTTGTTACTTGGCTTTTTATGTCATTGCTTGTATTTTTATGTTACATCCAACAAGTTACTGCCAAGCTGAAGGTCCTAAAGTTTTTCCTTATGTTTTCTTCTAGAAATTGTAGTTTCAGGTTTTATGTTTAAATTTTTAATCCATTTTGGGTTGGTTATTTTATATGGTATAAGACAAGGGTCCAATTTAATTTCCCATTGTGTATTCTTGGCACACTTGTGAAAGATCATTTGACTATATACATGTGGGATTGTTTCCAGGCTCCCTATTCTGTTCCGTTGGTCTATATATCTGTCCTTATTCCAGTCCCATGCTATTTAATTACTGTAGTTTTGTAATATCATTGAAATAAAAAAGTATAATACCTCTAGCTTTGTTTTTCTTTCTCAAGATTCCTTTGGCTATTTGAAGTCTTTTGTAATTGCACATAATTTTTACGATGTTTTTTCTATTTCTGTAAAACCCAGCACTAGGATTTTGCAGGAAATGCATTAAATCTGAAGACCCCTTTGGGTAATATGGAGATTTTAATTATTGCAGATCAAAACCACAATGAGATATCATCACACACCTGTTATGGCCATTATTTAAAAAAAAAAAGTATTGATAAGAATGTGGAGAAATTGGAACCCTGGTGTACTGTTGACAAGAATATAAAACAGTGCAGCCATGATTGAAAATAGTATGGAAGTTCCTTGAAACATTAAAAACAGGATTACTATACAATCCTGAAATTCTGAAACCACCTTCGCAAAATTATGACAGTAAGAGAAATCTGCCATGACTGACTTCTTCTTGCTTCTATCATCACAGGCTGTCTGTCTTTGCTCATCTCTGGGCATGGACCAAATAACTTCGGGAGAAATTTAGTTTATAGTTTAAATGATAATAGTCCTTTGCAAAAACTAAACCACCTTTGTAAAACTAATCAAAGGCACCAAGTTAAGAGGATGAGAGGAGTCTGTGTTCTGCTAAGATATAGGCCTAGTAAAATGATTACCAGCCATTTTTTCCTGGAAGTCACAAGATTTGCAGCTTCCCCAATTATTCCTGCAGATAACATAGCTATTGTAGAACCTAAGATTGGCATTTTGAGATTCTTTTCAAATATTTGTATATCTGATAGCTGGATGGCCCCACCTGGACCTCTGACTCAAACAGTCATGTGGCCCCCACCCAGAAACACACTCAACACATGAGGATCATTTTCCACATCCCTATGATTCATCCTAAACTGATCAGCAACACCCATACCCTAGCCCTCTGCCCATCAAACTATCTTTGAAAAGCACCTAACTTTCAAGCCTTCAAGGAGATTGAATTGAGTAATAACTCCCTCTCCCATATGGTGTGGCAAGCCTCATCTCTTTTGCTTATTCTCATGCATTTTCATCCTCATAGCTTAGCTCCAGCTTATGAATGAGATGACATGATATTTATTTTTCCATTCTTTTCTTTACTGCAATGCCGTGGTCTCAGTAAATTGATTTTGTCTGTGGAGCAGTCAGCAAAAAATCCATTTGGCAGTTACAATTCGATATCTGGGTATTTATCCAAAATACTTGAAATCAGGATTTTGAAGATATATGTAGTCCATGTTTAATGCAGTATTATTCACAATGGCCAAAATGTGGAAGCAACCTAAATGTGCATTAATAGATTAATGGCAAACGAATAAGAGGTATATACACAGCTTTAAAAAGAGTAGACCCTGTCATATGTGTTATCATGGTAGAACCAGGAGGACTTTACTGACAAACACTGTGTGATTCCACTTACGTGCGATATCTATAATACTCTCAATGATTAGAGAGTAGAATGGTGGGCTGCCAGGGGCTGAGGAGAGGGGTAATGGGAGTTTATATTCAATGGATACTAAATTGCCATCATGTATGACATAAGAATTCTAGAGATCTATTGTACAACATTGTGCCTATAGTTAATACTGCATCACACACATAAATTTTGTTGAGAAGGTAGTTCTCATGTTAAATTTCTTATCATAAAATTTTTGAAAAAACAAAAACACAGAAAATGATGCTTTAGAAAAAACTATGATTCAAGACTAGGTAAGAGCTCTTAAATCCTAAAGTTTAAGCTTCAATCATAGTGGTGACCATGGGTTAGAACTTAATTTCTCTGAGGTTCAGTTTCCTCATCCTGAAAATATATGCAATTTTGTCTTATTTTTATTTTATTTTTTGGTTTTGAAGGCTTTCCATTTTCATAAATTTTATTTTTATTTCAACAGTTTATGGAATACAGGTGGTTTTTGGTTACATGGGTAAATTCTTTAGCGGTGATTCCTGAGATTTTGGTGCACCAGTCATCCAAGCAGTGTACACTGTACCCAATATATAGTCTTCTGTTCATCACCCCTCTCTCACCCTCCACCTTGAGTCCTCAAAGTCCATTATATCGTTTTTAAGCCTTTTCATCCTCTTAGCTTAGCTCCCACTTATAAGTGAGAACATACAATATTTGGTTTTCCATTCTTGAGTTACTTCACCTAGAATAACATCTCCAGCTCCATCCAGGTTGCTGCAAAAGACATCATTTCATTCCTTTTTAAGGCTGAGTAGTATTCCATGGTGTGTATATACCACATTTGCTTTTTCTACTCGTTGGTTGATGAGCACATAGATTGGTTCAATATCTTTGCGATTGCAATTTGTGCTGCTATACGTGTGAATGTGTGCTGCTATACATGTGAATGTGTCTTTTTCATATGACTTATTTTCCTTTGGGTAGATACCCAGTAGTGGAACTGCTGGATCAAATGGTAGTTCTATATTTTGTTCTTTAAGAAATCTCCATACTGTTTTCCATAGTGGTTGTACTAGTTTACATTCCCACCAGCAGTGTAAAAGTGTTCCCTTTTCACCACAAGCATACCAACATCTATTGTTTTTGACTTTTTAATTATGCCCATTTTTGCAGGAGTAAAGTGGTATCTCATTGTAGTTTTAATTTGTATTTCCCAGATAATTAGCAATGTTGAGCATTTATTCATGTGTTTGTTGGCTGTTTGTATATCTTCATTTTAGAATTGTCTATTTTTGTTCTTTGCCTATTTTTGATGGGATTATTTGTTTTTCTCTTAATGATTTGTTTGAATTCCCTTTAGGTGCTGAATATTAGTCCTTTGCCAGATGCATAGTTTGTGAATATTTTCTCCCAGTCTGTAGGTTGTCTGTTTACTCCACTGAACATTTCTTTTGCTGTGCAGAAGATTTTACTTTAAGTAAGTTCCATTTATTTATTTTTGTTTTTGTTACATTTGTTTTTTGAGTCTTAGCTGTGAATTATTTTCCTAAGCCAATGTCTAAAAGAGTTTTTATGGTGTTCTAGAATTTTTATAGTTTTAGGTTTTAGATTTAAGTCTTTTAACAGTCTTGAATTGATTTTTTTATAAGGTGAGAGATGAGGATACAGTTTCATTCTTCTACATTGGCTTGCCAGGTTTCCCAGCACCATTTATTGAAAAGGATATCCTTTCCCCATTTTATGTTTTTGTTTGCTTTGTTCAGGATAAGTTGGCTGTTAGTATTTGGCTTTATTCATGGGTTCTCTATTTTATTCCATTGGTCTACATGCCTATTTTTATACAAGTACCATGCTCCATGCTGTTTTGGCAACAATAGCCTTATAAGATAGTTTGAAGTCAGGTAATGTGATGCCTCCAGATTTGTTCTTTTTGTTCAGTATTGTTTTGGCTATGTGGGCTCTTTTTTGTTCCCATATGAATTTTAGGATTTTTTTTTTCTAGTTCTGTGAAGAATGATGATGGTAGTTTATTGGGAATTGCATGGAATCTGTAGATTGCTTTGGGCAGTATGGTCATTTTCACAGTATTGATCATACCCATCCATGAGCATGAGATGTGTAAGCTATTTTGTATTGCAGTCAGCCAGTAAAAAGGATAAACTATAATAATGTAAAAGTACAATATATTTCTGTTAGAATATAGCAAATGGATTTAAAATTATCCAAACTCATTATACTGACACTCTTTTCAAATTATAAAGTGATTATTCACAATAGCAAAGACATAGAATCAATCTAAATGTCCACCAGTGGTAGACTAGATGAAGAAAATGTGGTATGTATACACCACGGAACACTATGCAACTATTAAAAAAAAGAGAGAGATTATGTCCTTTGCAAGAACATAGATGGAATTGGAGGCCATTATCCCTAGCAAACTAACACAGGAACAGAAAACCATATACCACATGTTCTCACTTGTAAGTGGGAGAAAAATGATGATGACACATGGACACATAGAGGGGAACAACAGTCACTGGGCTCATCAGAGCATGGGGGGTTAAGGAGGGAGAGGATCAAGGAAAAACAAATGAAAACTAGGCTTAATACCTGGGTAATGAAATAATCCGTACAACCAACCTGCAAGACACAAGTTTACCTATATAACAAACCTGCACATGTACCCCTAAATTTAAAAAGAAAGTTAAGAAAGTTATAAAGTGTTGTGTTAGAAGTAAAAAAAGTATAAATTTTAAACGTATTGAAAAGATTATTATCCAAAGTGGCAAGAGAAATATAAAAGCATAAGTAAAAAGCCATTAACATGCAGAGGAAACATAAAATATTTAAAACTATACAGCTTCATAAGTCAAGAGGTTTTATAATTCCAGAATACTTATTTCTTTCTCAGATGAAATGATAATATAGATATACCTGTATCTGTATATTTATGTATATGTATATACAATACAGCACTCCCTCCCTTATCCATGGTTTTAATTTCTACAGTTTCAGCTAACCACAGTCAACCACAATCTGAAAATATTAAACAAAAACTTTCAGAAAATAATCATAAGTGATAGATTGTGGCAATTCTGAGTAGTGCGATGAAATCTGTGCCATTAGTCACTTGGTAGCCATCTTGGTTATCAGATTCACTGTTCCAGTATCATGGTGCTTATGTTCAAGAAACCCTTATTTTACTTAATAATGGCCCTAAAGTACAAGAATAGTAATGATGGAATATTGTTACAATTAGTTTATTTTATTACTACTTATTTTCGTTAATCTCTTACAGTGCCTAATTAGTAACTTTTACTTTATAGTAGGTAGGCATGTATAGGAAAATCAGTATATACAGGCATACTTTAGAGCTATTACAGATTCAGTTCCAGATCACGGTAATAAAGTCAATATCACCATAAAGTGAGTCACACACATTGTTTTGGTTTCCCAGTGAGTAAAAAAGTTATTTTTACACTATACTTCTGTCTATTAAATATGAAGTAGCATTACCTCTTTAAAGAGACAATGTACATACCTTGATGAAAAACTATGTTACTGAATAATGCAAGTCAGCAAGATGGCTGACTAGAGACTCCTGGTACTCATCACTCCCACAAGAAAGAACCAAGGCAAATAGTAAACAACTAAGATTTGACTGGTGTGTCAAAGAGAGAGTGCTGAAATACAGCAGGGGTATAAAGATGTACCTGTAGTGATTAGAAGCCAGGAAGACAGCACTGAGGCACCAAACCTCTGCAGCCCTTTCTCTTCCACAGGGATTGGATGGATCATCCCAGAGACAGGAGGGACTTTTGTGTTCATTTGTTTTTGAAGACATGGTCTTTCTCTTTTGCCTAGGCTGGAGTGCAGTGGTGTGATCATGGTTCACAGCAACCTCAAATTCTGGGGCTCAAGTAATCTTCCCACTTCGGTCTCCCCAGTAGCAGGGACTAGAGACATGAACCACAATGCCTGGCTTTTTTTTTTTTTTTTTTAACATTTTATGTAGAGATAGAGTCTCCTTATGTTCCTCAGGCTGGTCTGGAACTCCTGGGCTCAAGCAATTCTCCTACCTCAGCTTCCCAAAGTGCTGGGTATATACCAAGTGCTGGGCATTATATACCATGCCCAACCAAGTTGGAAATTTTGGAGGTAATCAGAAGATCTCCAACAGCCCCCGTTGCCACTGTAAACACCTACGGGCCTTACTACAGGGAAGTTTTAGTCTTCCCAAGCCCCAAATCCACTTTGGAGATCTATTGGAAATTCACACAGCTGTATTGCCCCAGATTAGGAGAACGAGATGTGCACCACACCATAACTCCAACCCATGCCTTGTGAGCCAACCCCAAACCCAGTTTGGACATCTACTGAGAATTCACACAGCTGTATTGTCCCAGATTAGGAGAAGAAGATATGCACCACACCATACTCCCAACCCATGCCCTGTGAGCCAACCTGCTGCAACACAACACCATTTTGAGATCAAAGCCTGCTCTGGAAAGAAGCCTTCTCTGAGGTGCAGTAGTCACTGCACCTCTCCAGCTCTGAAGTTCCATCTTCATTATGTCAAACCCACACGGAGTTTGGGTCCAGGATTGACTCTGTGACTCTAGTCCTATACAGCAAGAAAACCAACCCCCATCACTGTACTTCCAGCTAGAGAAAAATGTGCTAGTCCCAGCCAGGGCAAATCCACTCTTGAGCCAGCCAAACTGTTCACATGCCATTCCCCAAGCTGGAGAGGCCCCTGAAACCCCCAAACAGTTAATATATCCCTGGGCCAGTGGAATAGCTACCAGCACCCCTGCTCAGGACCTGAGAAACAGCCATGCAGCACTCCTGCCCCCCACATACATGCCCTTGCTTGGCCAAAGGCCCTGCACCCCCAATAAGGCCCTGGAAAACTGTCTTATAGTCTGCCTCTGTGGGGTATGCCCCCCAGTCCAGCCAAGCAACTGTGCTGCCCTAACACAGGCCTGTGAAACACTTCTGTGCCCAGATTTACGGCACACCATAAAGTGAACAAATATTTGTATTATGGATATTCCAGAAGATGAACAGAAGGAAAAAGGTGAAGAAAACATAGCTAATAAGATAATAGCAGACAAATTCCCAAATCTTGGATGTGAGATGAATATGCAGGTCCAGGAAGGTCAAATAAACCTGAATAGATTCTATTCAAATAGGTCTTTTCTGAGGCACATTATAGTGTCAAATTAATTGTCAAAAATTAAAAACAAAGAAAGAATTTTGACAGCATCAGGAGAAAAGCCTCAAGTCACATGAAAGAAAACCCCCATTAGACTAACAGGGGATTACTCAAGCAGAAACCTTACAGACCAGGAAATATGGGATGGTATCTTCAAAGTACTAAAAGAAAAAAAAAAAAGCTATCACCCCAAGAATATTATCCACAGCAAAGCTAGTCTTCAGAAATGATGGATAAATAAAACCTTCCACAAACAAGCAAAAACTAAAGGAATTTATCGGCATTAGACCAGCTTTAAAAACAATGCTCTGCCAGGCGCGGTGGCTCACGCCTGTAATCCCAGCACTTTGGGAGGTCCAGGCGGGCAGATCACGAGGTCAAGAGATCAAGACCATCTGGCCAACATGGTGAAACCCCGTCTCTACTAAATATACAAAAATTAGCTGGGCATGGTGGTGCATGCCTGTAGTCCCAGCTACTCGGGAGGCTGAGGCAGGAGAATCGCTTGAACCTGGGAGGCAGAGGTTGCAGTGAGCCCAGATTGTGCCACTGCACTCCAGCCTGGCAACAGAGCAAGACTCCAAAAAAAAAAAAAAAGATGCCCAAGAAAGTCTTACATATGGAAATGAAAAGAAGATTGCCACCATCATGACAACATGTGATATTACAAAACTTACTGGTAGAGCCAATACACAAAGAAAGAGAAAATAATCAAATCAAATCACTACACAACCACCCAACCACAAAAATAAGCAATAAGATTGAAAGTGAGGAATAAAGGATATACATAACAAATAGAAAACAATCAGTAAAATCCCTGATGACTCACAAGGTGGTGGTTGCTGAAAGTTGGGGAGGCTGTGGCAATTACTTAAAATGAGAAATCAATAAAGTTTGCCACATTGGTTGACTCTTTGTTTCACAAAATATTTATCTGTATCATGCAAAATGTGGTCTGACAGCATTTTATTCATAGTAGAGCTTCTTTCAAAATTGGAACCAATCAGCCAGGCATGGTGGCTCATGCCTGTAATCCCAGCACTTTGGGAGGCTGAAGTGAGTGCATCATGAGATCAGGAGATTGGGACCATTCTGGCTAACACGATGAAAACCGTCTCTACTAAAAACACAAAAAACTAGACGGGCATGGTGGTGGGTGCCTGTAGTCCCAGCTACTTGGGAGGCTGAGGCAGGGGAATGGCATGAACCTGGGAGGTGGAGCTTGCAGTGAGCTGAGATTGCACCACTGCACCCCAGCCTGGGTGACAGAGCAAGACACAGTCTCAAAAAAAAAAAAAAAAAAGTTGTAACACCAATCCTCTTAAACCCTGCCACTGCTTTATTACTTACTAATATGCTTTGGTTGTGTCCCCACCCAAATCTCATCTTGAATTGTGCCACCCATAATCCCCACACGTCATGGGAGGGACATGGTGGGAGGTAATTGAATCATGGGGGTGGGTTTTTCCCTTGCTGTTCTGGTAATAGTGAATAAGTCTCATGAAATCTGATGGTTTTATAAAGGGCAGTTCCCCTGCACACTCTCTTGCCTGCAGTCATATAAGATGTGGCTTTGCTTCTCCTTCAACTTCCACTACAATTGTGAGGCCTCCGCAACAAGTCCATTGAACCTCCTTTTTTTATTAATTACCCAGTCTCAGGTATTTCTTCATAGCGGTATAAAAATGGGCTAATACACTAACTTCATTTAATATTCTAAATTATTTGTCATTCTAATGATGTTAACAGCATCCTCACCAGCAGTAGATGTCATCTTGGAAAATTCTTTATTTGCTCGTCCATAAGAAGCAATTTCTCATCTGTTCAAGGTTGGTTACGAAATTGCAGCAATTCAGTCACCCTCAGGCTCTACTTCCAGTTTTAGTTCTCTGCCTTTTTCCAGCATATCTGCAGTTACTTCCTCCACTAGAGTTGTGAACCCCTCAAAGTCATTCACGAGGATTAGGATCAACTTCTTCCAAACTCCAATTAATATTTATAATTCGACCTCCTCCCATGAATCAAAAATATTCTTAATAGCATCTAGAATGTTGAATATTTTCCAGAAGGCTTTCAATTTATTGTAACAAGATCCATCAAAGGAATCACTATCTAAGGTAGCTATAACATTACAAAATGTATTTCTTAAAAAATAAGACTTAAGGCCAGGAGTGATGGCTGATGCCTGTAATCCTAGCACTTTGGGAGTCTGAGTCAGGTGGATCACAAGGTCAGGAGTTCAAGACCAGCCTGGTCAATATGATGAAACCCCATCTCTACCAAAAATACAAAAATTAGCCGGGCATGGTGGTGCATGCCTGTAATCCCAGCTACTTGGGAGGCTGAGGCAGGAGAACTACTTGAACCCAGAAGGCGGAGGTTGCAGTGGGCCAAGATTGTGCCATTGCACTCCAGCCTGAGAGACACAGCGTGACTCCATCCCAAAATAAATGAATAAGTAGGTAAGACTTGAAGGCCAGGTGCAGTGGCTAACACTTGTAATCCCAGCACTTTGGGAGGCCTAAGTCGGGGGATCACCTGAGGTTGGGAGTTTGAGACCAGCCTGGTGAACAGGGTGAAACCTCATCTCTACTAAAAATACAAAAAAAAAAAAAAATTAACAGGAAATGGTGTCTGGTGCCTGTAATCCCAGCTACTCAGGAGGCTGAGGCAGAAGAATCACCTGAACCCAGGAGGTGGAGGTTGCAGTAAGCCAAGAGAGCATGTCACTTCACTCCTGCCTGAGCAACAGAGCTAGACTGTCTCAAAAAAAAAATAAATAAAAAATAAGACTTGAAATTTGAAATCACTCCTTGGTCCATGGGCTGTAAAATGGATGTCGTATTAGCAGTCATGAAAGCAACATTAATCTCCTTGTACATCTCCATCAGAACTTTAGGTGACAAGATGCATTGTCAATGAGTAGTAGTATTTTGAAAGGAATCATTTTACCTGAGTAGTAGGTCTCAACAGTGGACTTAAAATATTTAGTAAACCATGCTGTCAACAGATATTCTATCATCCAGGCTTTGTTATTCTACTTATAGAGCACAGGCAGAGTACACCGTATCTGTACACTTATTAAGGGCCCTGGGATATTTGGAATGGTAAATGATCACTGGCTTCACCTTAAAGTCACCAGCTACATTAGCCCCTAACAAAACCATCACTCTGTTCTTTCAACGAAGCTCTGAAGCCAGGCATTAACTCCTCTTGTATAGCCATGAAAGTCCCAGATGGCATCTTCTTTCATTAGAATGTTGTTTTGTCTACACTAAAAATCTGTTGTTTAATATAGCCACCTTCATCAATGATCTTAGCTAGATCTTCTGTATAATATATTGCAGCTTCTACATTAAAACTTGCTGGTTCACCTTGCACTTTTTTTTTTTTTTTTTTTTTTTTTTTGACAGAGTCTCACTCTGTTGTCAGGCTGGAGTGCAATGGTGAGATCTTGGCTCACTGCAACCCCCACCTGCTGGGTTCAAGGGATTCATTCTCCTGCATCAGCCTCAAGTAGCTGGGACTACAGGCGTGTGCCACCACACCCACCTAATTTTTGTATTTTTAGTAGAGATGGGGTTTCACCATGTTGGCCAGGGTGGTCTGGATGTCTTGACCTCATGATCTGCCTGCCTCAGCCTCCCAAAGTGCTGGGATTACAGGTGTGAGCCACCACGCCTGGCCCACCTTGTACTCTTTATGGTGATAACTTCTGCCCTTAAACCTCATGAACCCTCATCAACCCTTTCTGATTGAAACCTCATCAACCCTGCTAGCTTTCAACTTTTCTTCTGCAGCTTCCCTACCCTCTCAGTTTTCACAGAGTTGAAGACAGTTAGGACCGTGGTCTAGATTAGGCTTTGGTTTAAGCTAATGTTGCAGCTGGTTTCATCTTCTATCCAGACAACTAATATTTCCTCCATATCAGTAGTTAGGCTATTTCACTTTATCATTTATATGTTCACTGGAGTAGCACTTTTAATATTCTTCAAGAACTTTTCCTTTGTATTCACCACTTGACTAATTACTTATCACAAGAAGCCTAGCTGTTGGCCCATCTTGGTTTTTGACATGCCTTCCTCACTAAGCTCAATTATTTCTAGTTTGATTTAAAATTAAACACATGTGACTCTTACTTTCACTTGAACACTTGGCCGTTATTGTAGCATTATTAATTGGCTTAATTGCAATATTGTTGTGGCTCAGGAAACAGTGAGGCCCAAAGTCAGGGAGAGAAGCTGAGGAACAGCAGGTCTGTGGAGCAGTCAGAAAACACACAACATTTATCAATTAAGCTTGCCATCCTATATGGGCACAGTTCATGGTGCCCCAAAACATCTAAAATATTAATCGAAGGTTACTGATCACAAATTACCATACATAAATAAAGTTTTAACTATCACGAGAATTATCAAAATGTGACATGGAGACACAAAGCAGGTATACATTGTTGGAAAAATGGTGCCAATAAACCTTCAATTGCCAAAAAAGAATAAAACCCCACAATATCTGCAAAGATCAATAAAACAAATGAAATAAGCTATGCTTGTATAAGGCTTGTATCTGAAGTTTTTTTTGTTTTGTTTTGTTTTTTTTTTGAGACAGAGTCTCGCTCTTTCACTCAGGCCAGACTGCAGTGGCTCTATCTCGGCTCACTGCAAGCTCCGCCTCCAGGGTTCACGCCATTCTCCTGCCTCAGCCTCCTGAGTAGCTGGGACTACAGGCGCCAGCCAGCGCGCCCGGCTAATTTATTATATTTTTAGTAGAGACGGGGTTTCACCGTGTTAGCCAAGATGGTCTCGATCTCCTGACCTCATGATCCGCCCGCCTCGGCCTCCCAAAGTGCTGAGATTACAGGCGTGAGCCACCGCGCCCGGCCTGGTACTATCTATCTGAAGTTTTAGGCATCCATTGGAGGTCTTGGAATACATCCCCCATGGATCAAGGGGTACTACTATATCATATGTTTATATATATGTGTATTTATGTATATACACAGCCCTACACATATGAGGTATGTATATACATAAATGTGTGCATATACATATATACACACATATATATGCATGTGTGTAGAGATATATATATACACATACATAGTTACATACACATAAATATATACAAAACACACATACACATGCCTAGAATCTACATAGAGAAATTTAGTAGAAAAAGGAGGTATAATAAAGTTATTACATTTCTTTAATTCTCCAGATGTTCTTGAAGAGCAACTGGATTAGAAACCGTAGATCTAGTGAATGGTTTATTTTTTAGGTAAGCATATTGAGTCCGGAATAGGGAAATAATTTTCATAATTATTCATGCATTTATATATTTAAAATTTATTTTTGGCCTATTTTGGGGAGAAACAGAAAACTTCTATCAGGGACTGTAAACACCATGAAGACAAGCAAAGACACAGAAAGGGATGAAATATGACATTGTTGCAAGCTTTGGATATATTTTAGAGAGGGTCTAGACTGTAACTTTATGATGTGGGGATATCAGAAACAATATCTGATGAAGTGATGTAAAATGACACTGAGAATTATTTTCAGCGAGCCACTTTTAAAGATGAGCAGACAACGAAGATTGTCTTTATTATGTCAGAAATCAATTGACCATATATATGTGAATCTGGTTCTCAACACTTTATTCCATTTTATTAATTGAAGTGTATTTTTTTACCCAATATTTCACTATCTTGGTTATTTTAGCTTTGTGGTAAGTCCTAAACTCAGTCCCATTCACAGATTGTGTAAACATTCCAAATTTATTCTTCGTTTTCAAAACTGTTTCGACTCCGTTTTTTTTTAATTTTGCATATAAATTGTGGAATCAATTTCTCAATTTGTACAAAAAATTCTTAATTTTAACTAGAATTGCATCGAATCTATAAATCAGTTTGGGATTTTAATTAATAGATAGTTCACAGTTAGGCTGCCTTCCAGTATCAACTTTCTTTTCTTTATATTTTACATACAGATTTCAGAAACCAATATTTCCTATCTACCAATATACAATCTCTGGGTATGGAACCTAGCTAGACATTTATGTATTTTCCATAATTTCCCCAAGACTTACTTATGTACATAGCTGGGTAGTAGCTTATACATTAGTATGTAGAATCCCCAAGACAAGACTAAATTCAACGCAAAAAGTTTGACCTTTATCTCTGCCAGAGGTCTTATATTCTAAGGTCCTATTATATAGAACATTATTATCTGTACACTATTCCATCTCTCCTGTCAATATTTCCTATTCATGTATTCATCTTTATCTCTTCTCAAGGGATAGAACACTCAAGGTGTCTAAATCTGCTTCTCATACAACTTAGAATTATAGCACTTTAAAGTCAAAAAAGTAAACTTTATTAAAGACTGTAAATCCTGTCATGAGTTGCGCTTCCATATTATTTTATTACATGTCTCCAGGATTTCCAGAGAATGTGCATGGTATATTCCCAGAAAAAGGAAACTGGAAATCAGAGAATTTCTCATCTTACTGGCATCAGAGCTGGGACTATGTCTTGTATCATTAGGATTCTTTTCCACCGAGGGATCACTTTTTTTTTTTTTTTTTTTTAGCCAGAAGCCAAGGTTCTTTCAGGTAATCATTTTCATCATGTAGTTCATTACTCCAGAAACATTCACTTGCTTACTATTTTAAAAGTATTCTTGATACATTTCTGTCCCAGAAAAGAATTAGTGTGTGTTTTCAATGGGCCATCCCTGAGGACTTGAAGAGCTTGAGAAGCCGGTATAAGAATCCACATGTATAATATTTATCATGTATCTAATTTAGCGAGCAGCTTATTTCCACAGGTAGGAGGAAAACCTCTTTATTACATATAACACATTATAGAAGCTATATTATATTTGAAAATATATGCTTTAATATTTAAATATAAAAGGATTCTATTAATCTCAAAAATTTTACCACAAATTAAATCATATGCCTTCTAGGATATATACCACAGAAAATATAAAGGACTTCCTACATATTTTCATGAATAGAGCCATAAATTAGAAATTTGTTTTATTTTTTTTCTGATGAATAGTCAAAATAGGGGCAGCAGGATTAAGGGACAATGTTTCATATTTAGAAAAATTATTAGATACAGAGAAAATTAACTTTCAACTAGCTTTTGGGTATATTTCATTTTGGGTTCAATTTATTTTATTTTCTGATATAGGAATACCAGAAAAGTTAAGTTTATTGTAAAAGTTAGGTAATTGACTAAGAAGCAAGTTTAGTTATTATTTTAAATTTTCATATTCTATTTAAGCTTAATATCTTTAAATAATTTAATAACACAAAAATTCTATTTTACATAGTTTCTAGGACATAACATTTCTAAAACTATGGCAGGTTACATCAGGGTTGCACTGTGGTTCTATTAAAATATTGATTTTGTAAATTCCTGTTTATATTATTATATAAATAAAAATTTTAAGTCATATATGTATGCATTATTCACATGTAATTAAAAAATTATTTATTAAAATTGATCTTAATGCATCTCATAAAAAAGAACTGTGCAATCACCTCATGTTTATGCAGTTGAATGAGGTATATGTGAAAGTTTCATCCAATCTTACTTATCCTTTAGTTTGGAAGGAGAAGTAATTTTTCCAAGCTTATGCTGCTAAACATGACATTTAAACATAGAGTTTTAGAGTCCAAATATAATTCCCAGTATTCTACAGTTGCCTTATTTCAGATATCTTAGGAAAATAAAGTCTGGAATTGTAATGTAGCTGACCTTTCTCCTCTATGTGGTGGTAAACATGTATTTTGTAATGGACTCCTTTGGTAGATTATTAGCACATTTTTCAAAATTCACTGGCATTTTTTTTTTGAATCGTGCTTCTTCTTATCTGGCTAATTCCTGTTTGTTCCTGACTCTTGTCAGTAAACGTTTGTATATATCCCATTGATTCTTCTAACACAGAAAGAAAGAGAGAGAAAGAGAGAGAAAGGAGAAAATATAGGAGAAAGAGAGGATAGGAATTTGTATAAGAGAACTATATTTTTTATGACTCAAAAATACATTAATTCATATTTAAAATATTTATTGATAACTTTATAAGCTATTTTATTCACATAACACAAACAAAATTACTTAATATATTTGTGTATGTGTGTGTTGTCATGAGTAATATGTAAGTAGTCTGGATTTACACAGAAAGTGGAATTTAACTGAATTATATCTTTTGCTGTAGAATTTTCTAAGAATCAAATGAGAATTTTTGTTTCGTTCTGTAGTCCCTCATTTATGAGGGTATTTATTTTGTATATTAAAAAAATCTTCCACATGGATCTGTTAGGACATTTCTATAATAATATATATAAACACTTGGCCTTTTTTTTTCTTTCTAAAAGTGGTTTTAGTCTTATTTGTTCATTCTCTTCTTAATGTGTGGTCATCTTAACATGACAAAATTTTGGTATGTCTCACATCATGAATATAAATCATTTGTAAGTCACTGAATTCAGAATGGACCTGCATATGACAGAGTTGTCACCCCTTTTAAAACTTTCATAATCTATGACATGATAAAAGAAAAACAAAGTCACCTTGCTTAAATCTCCCCTCTAATTTTACCTCTAAATTTAGTGTATGTAGTACTAAACCGTTTCAATAACAGGTTTTCAGTCTAGATACAGAAGTCCCTGTAACCTTGTTACCTTTTTTCTTTTAATTATTTATTTATTTTTGGTTGTGTAATTGTCTTTCTTCATACTTGTCAATGTGAAACAGAATGATACCATCAGGAAAGAAGTCCAGAGGACAAACACTACTTTCTTGCAAATATAGTAATGTTATTTTTTAGCCAGATATTCTATAATTTTTATTAGTTATTATTGGTGATTTTTATTTCATAGTAATTTTAGAAACTCTAAAAGCAACTATAATATACTAAAAGAATGGCCATGATTTATTTTTAACAGAAATATAAAATAAAATAAAATAAAATACATCCAAGGACTTTGCAAAAATAACAAACATATGAATTATTAGTAAGATATATCTCACATTGTTATTAAGTTGAAATTTAAAAACAGTTATGATAAACAAGGTACAGAGGCCAAAATTTGCCAACTAGGTGATATATATTTCAGGAAGAAAAAATCCTGAAAATAAAACACATTGTAATGTTTGTAAAGGTACGTCTATCTCCAGAATACAGTCTGCTCTTCTATGTAATGGAACAAGATAATTGCCAGAACAGAGGACATGAAATGGTTTTATTTAAAAAGGCTGCTGCATGCGACAAGTTGAAATGTATGTCTGACTTATCCCCATTTTCTAGTCATTTGGAAGCCTTTTAAATTAAATAGTTTTGATATTTTTAAACATTTAAATTCAACTGTGCTGTGAGTGTGGTTTCTCTTATTTTAAAATTGTGAACATTTACAAAAGACATTTCATGTACTTCATCACAAATCTAAAAGTGTACTCAAGTGTGTGCTTTCCACTATAACATATTTAGTTTTAAATATTTCTACATTCAGCAATCTTTGTGAGCTTTAGGACATAATATGAGAGGAAGCAGTAAAAATTTCAACTGAAAATTAACTGGAAAATAAAATCACTTTAATTAGCAGGGTTTTTTAAAAACATGATAAATTTAGCCAAGAAATTAATTACATATTTTTTTTCCTTTTACTTATACAGTGAAATTCATCTATTTGGCTCCAATTACTTCATCATTGTCTATTCCATTACTATCAGGGAAATTATTATGCCCCAAGAAAAAAACAAGGATACAATTGAATGGACTCCACTTTCACAGGCTATAACCTTTATAACCTGCAAGTAAAAACTGAAATGGACAAGTTGTCATCAGGTTTGGATATATACAGGAATCCACTGAAGAACAAGACTGAAGTCACCATGTTTATATTGACAGGCTTCACAGATGATTTTGAGCTGCAAGTCTTCCTATTTTTACTATTTTTTGCAATCTATCTCTTTACCTTGATAGGCAATTTAGGGCTGGTTGTGTTGGTCATTGAGGATTCCTGGCTCCACAACCCCATGTATTATTTTCTTAGTGTTTTATCATTCTTGGATGCTTGCTATTCTACAGTTGTCACTCCAAAAATGTTGGTCAATTTCCTGGCAAAAAATAAATCCATTTCATTTATCGGATGTGCAACACAGATGCTTCTTTTTGTTACTTTTGGAACTACAGAATGTTTTCTCTTGGCTGCAATGGCTTATGATCACTATGTAGCCATCTACAACCCTCTCCTGTATTCAGTGAGCATGTCACCCAGAGTCTATGTGCCACTCATCACTGCTTCCTACGTTGCTGGCATTTTACATGCTACTATACATATAGTGGCTACATTTAGCCTGTCCTTCTGTGGATCCAATGAAATTAGGCATGTCTTTTGTGATATGCCTCCTCTCCTTGCTATTTCTTGTTCTGACACTCACACAAACCAGCTTCTACTCTTCTACTTTGTGGGTTCTATTGAGATAGTCACTATCCTGATTGTCCTCATTTCCTGTGATTTCATTCTGTTGTCCATTCTGAAGATGCATTCTGCTAAGGGAAGGCAAAAGGCCTTCTCTACATGTGGCTCTCACCTAACTGGAGTGACAATTTATCATGGAACAATTCTCGTCAGTTATATGAGACCAAGTTCCAGCTATGCTTCAGACCATGACATCATAGTGTCAATATTTTACACAATTGTGATTCCCAAGTTGAATCCCATCATCTATAGTTTGAGGAACAAAGAAGTAAAAAAGGCAGTGAAGAAAATGTTGAAATTGGTTTACAAATGAAGAATATATTTAAAATTGAGTAAACCTGAAAAAAATGTTGAGTGTCAGAGTTCACATCTCTATATTTTAGTTAAAGTATTTGCATATCAAAGAATAGTTTCAAAAAAGCATTAAGCAGCCTGCCAATGCAGCATTTTTCAAATGTAAACAAATTGCATCACATATTTGCCAATTAATTTGTTCAGAGATCTATATTAAATATTATTTGATATAAATATATTGTTATTGTTACCAACCACACACTACTAACAACAGCTTTCACAGTAAGTAAAAATCAGTTACACACTTATAACTAGTAAGTGAATCCTACAGAATCCTGGGAATTGATAAATGCTTACATGGCTGATAAAAAGTTTTTGCATTCATTGTGGAGTTACTTCCTCAATCTATAAGCCCTAAGAAGAAATATCCAAATTTTACTTTACTTTCCCTAAATGTGCCTTCATAAACTGAGATCTACTCAAGCTTCCAAACATGCCTTTTGCTGTGTTTATATCTACATCATAAATTCTTTCCACAATTAAATGCTTTCCTTGCCCCTTTTCAACCACAGAAGCTGATTGTAGTCATTGTGAAACTATATTGGTTGTGAATGCTAATATTTATTGAGAGTGTTCTGAAGGCTCAGGAAACACTATACCCCAGGAATGAAACTATGACATATGTATAAATGACTGCTCTAAGGTCTGACAAACTAGCATATCCTTGCTCACTTCGTAGTCCTGCCATTATCTTCTATCTACTTTACCTGTAAGAAATGACTGCAATGTCATCCTTCCACAAAATTTACACCTAGTGAGCAAGCCCACAGAATGGAAATTATTTTGCTTTACCTCTACTCACATCTGGCTTTACTTTACGTATTCTGCTTTAGTAAGTTTTGTTAAAACATTTATTTGAAGATTCATTAAAAGTGGAAATTAATTGTTTTTTCAAAAAACACACACTTGTCCCTCCAAGGATATTTTTATGTGAATTAACCAGAATGATCCAATCATAACATAGTAGCCACACTGAAAATTTCAGACATCAGTTTCTAATCTTTACTAATCAATTATGCAAAGAGAACCCAACCCTCTTTTTTTGAATAAGCAAATGCTTGCAGTCAAAATCTGTACTAAATTTCCTCTTAAAAAAATAAATCTATTTTTAGATACAAAACCCTGATTACACTGTAGACAAAATTTTCTTAAAAAAATAAGCTATTTGAATTACAGAATCTTAAAATGTAGTTTCCTGTGTATGATCTTTTGGGGAGAATGTTCTGGAAGAAAATTTAATATGCTTCAAAAATGTGTCTAAATAAATAGCTGTCTCACAAAATTTAAAATTTCTGCAGAATTCCAGAATCATTTATTTTTTTGAGGGTTTTTCAAATTATGGTGTCAAAATTGTTAGGTAACGTTTTAGTCAAGGTTGCTATCTCTTTTTTTGTTTTGTTTCTCTTTCAAATTAGCAAAAATAGTCATTCTTTGAGAAAGGAATAGGCGAGCATTAGGTAAAATGATGCACTGACATATGCCTAAAAATATCTGGTTAACAATGCATTCAACAAACTCATTCAGAACTTGTCAAGTTAACCATCATGAAAAGTTCACTATCTCTCTTTTTATCCTAATCGATTAGAAAACAAATGGTGTGAATAAGCAGTCTCGAATGACCTGCTATTTGTTCAGGTCAAGGTGAGAAAAATGGTATATTTAACTCTCAAGTCAATAGAACATTTTGTTACATATCTCAGCTCAATTACCTTTCCCCCCAAAAGAATGATTTGACTCACTATGACCCCATGGAGCCTCTCTCACTTATCACAGTTGCCATTTAGCATGTGATGTTGTGATTTTATAATATATTATCCAGATCTACCATGATGCTGACATTGTAACTTGCATAAAAACATGCATTGGGCATATTTGTCCTCAAAATTGTATCCCTGAGTCCTAAAAGAGTACCTAGAACTTATGGTTTGCTGACAAAATATTTATTAAATAAATAGTGAGTACATGAATGAATTATATTTAATACTAATAATTAACATATGCTTATCAGGTACTGGACAATCATGTAAAAGTTTTTACTATATTAACTTATGTAATTCTCATAACTTCAGGAAGTGGTTGTAGTAATATCTTTTAACAAAGTTGAGGAAACAGCAGCACATAAATTTTAAGGAATTTGCTCAATGCCACATAGCTCTAAAGGGTGATGTCAGGATTCACATCTAAGCTGTCTGGTTACAGAGTTCCTGTTTTTAAGCTTGTTATACATGGAGTGAAAGAACAGATTTATCTTTTCACTTTACCAACTTTATTAGTTATCCTCCAGAGAGCATTATTGAGAATACTGAAGCTCCTCATTAAGTCTGTGGCAGAAATAAGAAGAAAAAGGAATGCATTTTAAAAGTACTGAAAATGTGGTTTCCACTGATTTGGCCATTCATTCCATTCATTGAGATGTAGAAGTTTCAAGAAATCAGTATGTCAAAGAGATATCCGTACTCTTATGTTTATGGCAGCATTATTTGCAGTAGCCAAGATATGGAATGAACCTAAATGCCCATCTACAAATGAATGCATAAAGAAAATGTCACACAAACACACACACACACACACACACACACAATGGAATACTACTGAGAAATAAAATAGAATGAAATCCTGCCATTAATGACAACATGGATGAATAAGTGAGTGAAATAAGCCAAGCACAGAAATACAAATACTGCACAATCTCACTTATATGTAGAATAATAATAATAATAATAATAATAAACAACTTGATTTTATAGAAGTAAAAAGTAAGTGAAAAGTGGTTATCAGAAGCTAAACAGGGTAGTGGAGACAAATTAAATGAGGTTGGTTGATTGATATAAAATAACAATTAAACAGGAAAAGTAAGTCCTGATGTTTTATTACACAGTAGGGTGACTGTGGCAGTAACAGTGTAGTATGTATTTTAAGATAGCTGGCAAAGAATATTTTAAATGTTATTCCACAAATAAATGATAAATGTTTAAAGTGATGGATATCCTAATTACCTTGATTTGACCATTTTACAATGTATACATGCATTGGAACATCACAGTGTACGCCATAAATAAATATATACCATTCTTTTCTGTCAATTATAAATTTTAAAATTAATTAAAAATAAAAGTTATTGGAAGTGAAATTTCATCTGGATTTGACAATTCATTTTATTTATTGAGACCTTTTGAATTTGCAAGTTTTGAGCCTATATGATAAAACAAGACAAATATAAAAAGTAAAAGTGAGAGAGAAAAAAAAGACAGAGAGAGACGAGACAGACAGAAAAAGGAGAAGGAAGGAAATAGGAAGGGGACACACTGGAGAGATGAATATTGTAGAAGTTGAGTGGTTAAGATCAGTTATATGTATACTGATTCTGAGGTTCCATTACATTTTTAATGCACAGAACTAAAACTCCAGAAGAATATTACAGTGGTGAGTGGAGAGTTATCCAGAAAAGAAACATTTGAAATCGCAGTATTGGGTGGGATTTTAAATGATATACAGAACCTCTACTTCCACACAGAATTTGGAAAGCAGCAAAGTAAATTCTTCTCATTCTAACAACTTAAAAAGCCAAGTAATCTTCAAAATTATAGCTTTTCATGAGTCTATCAGAGAACCAAGGTTCAAAACATCCAAGAAATCTGAATTCCAAAGAAGACCAAGTTACTTCAAATGTAGATGAGATGCCTGAGCATCTCTTTCTTTCACTGTGGGCACAGAGTATGAGATATATTTGTTCACCATACAGATAGGAAGAAATTACTGGCTATATACCCAAAAGATTATAAACCATTCTAGTATAAAGAGACATGCACACTTATGTTTATTGCAGCACTATTCACAATAGCAAAGACTTGGAACCAACCCAAATGCCCATCAATGATAGACTGGATAAAGAAAATGTAGCACATATACACCATGGAATACTATGCAGCCATAAAAAAAGGATGAGTTCATGTCCTTTGCAGGAACATGGATGAAGCCGGAAACCGTCATTCTCAGCAAATTAACACAGGAACAGAAAACCAAACACTGCATGTTCTCACTCGTAAGTGGGAGTTGAACAATGAGAACACATGGATACAGGGAGGGGAATATCACACACCAGGGCCTGTTGGGGGATGGGGTGCCAGGGGAGGGATAGCACTAGGAGAAATACCTAACGTAGATGATGGGTTGATGGGTGCAGCAAACCATCATGGCACGTGTATAACTATGTAATAAACCTCGTGTTCTGTGCATGTATCCCAGAAGTTAAAGTATAGTTTAAAAACAGAGGAAATCAGCTTAAAATTAAGTAATTTTAAAGGCCAAGTGAGAGTTATTGGGAAAAGCAGGAAGTCCTAGAATAAAGTTTGCATTCACTCCCAAGGTTTTCTCTGCAGGCCCCCAACAAGCATTTACAAAAAAAAAAAAAAAAAAAACAAATAAAATTAACGTCTTCAAATATCGTTATTCCTCGTTGTCTTTGAGTAAAGAGCATGAAAATTACTAGAATAAATGCTTTAGTGGAGAGGGTAAACACCATGCATGAATATGTGAGAAATATCAGAGATGGAAAATATATGGAAGTATTCAATAAAATTCTATAAATAAAAACTCATGCTCACAGTCACAATATCTGAGACAAAGAATTTCTTTCACAAGTTTATCAGTAGATTCAGTAACTTGAGAAAAGTATTAGTGAACTTAAAGATAAAGCAACATAAATTAACCAGAGAGAAAAGTTAAAGAAAAAATATGGAATTAAAAGTTATCAAAGAACTGTAGGGCAACATCAAACAGTCCAATATACATACAGTTAGTGTTTCAGAACAAGAATCAAGGGAGAATGGGTCAGAATAAACATTTGAAGACAAAATGGTCAAGAATTTTCTAAAAATAAGAGAACATAAAATCACAGGTACAAAATACTCAGGAGACCCAAGGAAGGATGTGTTAATCAGGGTTCTCCAGAGAAACAGAACCAACAGGATGTATGGGGGAGGAGGGGGATGAAGGATTCATTACAAGGAATTGGCTCATCTGATTTTGGGAGGCTGGCAATTTCAAATTCTACGGGGTGGGTCATTAGGCTGGAGATCCAGGATTATTGATAATCTACTCGGAACCCATGGGCAAAGTGCTGTAGAACCAGGAAGAGCTGGTGACGTAGACAAGATCTGAAGGCAGTCTGCTGGAGAATTAGCTCTTGCTCTGGAGAGGCTAGTTTTTTGCTCCATGCAAACCTTCATCTAATTGAGTAAGGCCAACCCACATTATGGAGGTCAATAGGCATTCCTCAAATGCCACCAATTTCAATGTTAATCTCTCCCAAAACATCCTTAGAGTAACAAACACATTAATGTCTGACCAAATGTAAGCACATCATAGCCCATTTAAGTTGACACATTAAAATTAATCAATATAAGTGTACCCCTTGTCAACCTGGCAGTCATATATATCCCCTTAAAACATACTTGATCTCCAAATGAAAACAAAAATAAGGTCAAACTTCTACCTAACATGATATTTCCATTCTTAATAAAATCAAAACTGTTCTCACCCTTTCCCCTAGAAGAGGATGAAAAGTCCTTAGATGATGTTTACTTTTTTTCCTTGATATTCCATACCTCAAGCACTATGCTGTAAAGTGGACTATATTTAAACAATGTGATGGAAAGCCAATGCACTCTATGCAGTAGTCCATTTTTTGCCTCTAAAACAGAATACCTGAGACTGGGTCATTTATAAAGGATAAAAATTTGTTTTCCCACATTTCTGGAGACTGAGAAGTCCAAGATTAAGGTGGCAGCATTTACTGTCTGGTGAGACCCTTCTTGCTGCATCCTCACATGGCAGAAGGTGGACAGGAAAGGGAGCAAGCTAGCCAACTGCTGAACGAAGCCTTTCATATAAGCCTTAATTTCATTAACAAAGAATGAGTTGTAAGGACAGCCTAATCACCTCTTAAAGGTCTCACTTCTTGATGCTACCAAATTGGCAACACCTGAATTTTGGAGGAGACACATTTAAAATATAATATTTTGCCCCAGGACTCCAAAATTTATGTCCTTCTCACATAAAAAATACATTTGTTCCATCTGAATAGCACCCCAAAATCCTAACTCATTCCAAAAGCAATTCAAAATTTAAAAATCTAGAGTTTTATTTAAATCTGCTCATGTATGGGAAGAGTCAATATTGTAAAACTGACCATACTGTCACAGGTTACTTGGGGTGTTGGTTTGCCAGCTTGAAACCTCTGTGGCCTTATGCCTGAGTATTGCTCACACCCGCTGGACTCATTTTATTAACTCTGCCTGGCAGTCCGCCCTTGGCCTGAGCTCCTGGCCCAGGACCCACATCTGCCAAGGGCAAGCCAGGTGCAGAGTGGCAAGGAGTATAGGAGCAAGTGGGAATAAGGTCCAGCCACTCCACACAGCCAGGCACACTGGCTGCTGCAGCTGAGCAGGCAGCTCCAGGTGCAAGCACAGGTCCTGGCTCTGTGCGAGGCTGTGGCTGGATCAGATGTATCACAAGCAGCTTCCACTGTGGGTACCTGCATCTGAACAGGGGGAGTGTGGTGGTGTCTGAAAGCTTGGAAATGTCAGAAACCATAGAGCCCCAAAGAGGACGTTATAGCCCTGGCCTGGGGAGACACTAGGTCTGGGCTCCCCAAAGGGCTGCAGCTCCTCCTCTAAATCATTGCCTGCAATGTGGTGGTTGGGGGGATGGGGGGTAGCAGGGGGCATGTTTCTGCCCTGTTTGTGTTACAGCTCTTTCAGTCCCATCATTTGGTGGTCCCAAGTTCTTGTCCCACATCCAGGAAGAATGAGGCACATTGACAACTGGAGGGTGAACAAGGCAGAGAAGAGCTTCATTGAGCAACAGAATAGCTCTAAGGAGACCTGCAGTGGGTAGCTTCTTTCCAAAGGCAGGTCATCCTGACAAGTGTCCAGCTCTCAGTGGAGACGAGACCCATAGTTGTTAGCTCCTTTCCATAGGCAAGTCGTCCTAGTGAGTCAAGGAGACCCAAAGTTGGTAGCTCCTTCCTGCAGCTGGTAGTTGGATTTCTGTCCAAGTCTGGCTGAGTCCAGGGTTTTCATGGGCTCAGAAAGAAGAAAGTGCATGCTGATTGGCCCATGGGTGGCCATGGAAGGACCCAGAAAAAGCAATATAAGTTCTCACTCCAGGCCATAGACTCCACCCAGAACTGGCAGCCCAGGCCCCTAGGCTTCAGGCCATCCCTGGCTTGAAGGTGGGTGGAGACATGCCTCTTTCTGCCCAGGAATTTGTCTGTCTCTCACCATCCAAGGCACCCAGGCTGTTTGTGCCAAGGAGTTCCTGCAGGCCAATGGCAACCCACCCTCAGCACCCCCCACAGCCTCCCTCCCATGCTCATTGGTGCCCAAAGTCCACAGGATGCCAAGGCAGCAGGGGGCTGGTGTGCTAGTTTGCACACACCTACCTGGGTTGCAATAGTGCCCAGGCTTGACCACAACGTTGCTATTCCTTGGAGTGGGAGCCAGGAGTTAGGAGAGGTGGGTAGCAAGAGCAGGCACTTTAAAGCCTGTAGGGGCAGGGGGTCTCCTGGGCACCCAAGCACAGGAATGCCCAGGTCTGGAGCCACAGCTGGGTGGCTGCAGCTGTGCCTGGGAATACAGGGTTCCCACCCTGCCAACTTGTTACGGGGCAGGGCTCCTGCCTGTTCCTGGCCCACTCTGGCTCTGTGGAGCACAAAGCCCCAGCTGCCTCCCCTGCTGCAGCCGTTGTCTTTGCAGCGGCTACTCCATATGGACTGCCGTTGCCATCAATACTGCCCAAAGCAATATACAGATTCAATGCAATTTCTGTCAAAATGTCAACTTTTTCACAGAATTAGGAAAAACAATCCCAAAATTCATATGGAACCTAAAAACAACCCAGCTAGCCAAAGCAATCCTGAGCAGAAAGAACTAATCTGAAGGCAACACATTACTGAACTTAATATTATACTATAAGGCTATAATAACAAAAACAGTGTGTACTGGTACATACAAAAAAAGTATGTATCCATTCTTATGAATGGATATGTAGACAGATGGAACACAGAGAACCCAGAAATAAAGGCAAATACTTACAACCAAGGCTATAGTAACAAAAAAAGCATGTACTGGTATAAGAATAGATACATAGACAGATGGAACACAGAGAACCCAGAAATAAAGGCAAATATTTACAAGCAAAACTATAGTTAACAAAAAAAGCATGTACTGGTATAAAAATAGATACATAGACATATGGAACACAGAAACCCCAGAAATAAAGGCAAGTACTTAAAACCAACTGATCTTTAAGAACGCATACAAAAATGTAAACTGAGCACAAGACACCCTATTTAATAAATGGTGCTGGGAAAACTGGATATCCACATGTAAAAGAATGAAACTGGATTCCTATATCTCACCATATACAAAAATCAACCTAAGATGGATTAAAGATTTAAATCTAAGACCTGAAACCATAAAACTTTTAGAAGAAAACCTAGAAAAATCTCTTTCGGGCATTGGCCTAGGCAAATAATTTATGATTGGGATCCCAAAATCAAATGCAACAAAAACAAAAATAAATAAATGGGACCTAATTAAGCTGAAACGCTTCTGCACAGCAAAAGAAATAATCAACAGAGTAAACAGACAACCCACAGAATGGGAGAAAATATTTGCAAACTATGCATCCAACAAAGGACTAATATCCAAAATCTACAAGGGATACAAATCAGTAAGAATAAAAACAAATAATACTACCAAAAAGTAGGCAAATGACATGAATAGACATTTCTCAAAAGAAGATATGCAAATGGCCAACAAACATATGAAAAACTGCTTAACATCAATAATTATCTGCTAAATGCAAATCGAAACCCCCATGAGAGATCACCTTACCCCAGCCAGAATGGCCATTATTAAAAAGTCAAAAAACAATAGGTGTTGGTGTGGATGTGGTGAAAGGGAATGCTTATACACCACTGGTGAGAATGTAAATTAGTTCTATGTCTATGGAAATCAGTATGGAGATTACTCAAAGAACCAAAGTTTATTTTGGTGAGCAATGTATCTTTTGGACTTTTCCAGTTTGGGTTGGTAGATGTTAACAGGCAAATTCACTTCAACTTTTCAATATCTTTAACCCTTTAAATCCATGTTTCTACAGAAAAATAAAAGCAGGGACTTCACATTTAACTCACTGTGGGCTACCTTTTGGTCCATGTTTTAGCCAAACAAAAAATGTGTTAGAGTCTTTTCTCACTCTTTGAGCTGCAACATTAAATGCACTATCTCTGCTTACTGGATTTGTATCAAAAAATTTGGTCTCATCCAGTATTATATTCCTTTCATCATTATCTTACATCCTTAATATCCATTTCCAAACATATTCTCTGAATTTCAGCCTGTATATGTTAGGAAACTCAAATACTTCTTTTAGAGTATAGCACACCTCTACATAGTTTACACTTTGTCCCTCACCTATAGGACCCTGTTGGCATGATCATTGCTCTCTGCAGCCTCAACCTCCCAGGCTCAAGTGATCCTCCCATCTCAGACCTCTTAAGTAGGTGGGAACATAGGCATTTGCCACCACGCTATTTTTATTTCTTTGTATATATATATGGGTTCTCACTATATTGCATAGGTTAGTCTTGAACTCCTGGACTCAAGTGATCCTCCCACCTTGGCCTCCCAAAGTGATGAGATTACGGGTGTGAGCCACCACATCCAGCCTCATTAGTGTCTTTAAAACTAATCATATTAGACAGCCAATTCCAGAAATACCAGAGCTACTAATTGTAAAGGTTAGCAAGTCCAACATTTGTAGGGTGAGTTGGCAGGCAGGAGACCCAGAAGGGCTACTGTTTCAGTCTGAGTCCATAAGCAGTCTTCCATAGAACCAGGAAGAGTCAATGTGGTTGATGATGTCTGAGACAGTCTTTTGAAGAATACTCTTTTCTTCGTGAGAGGGTGGTCATTTTATGCCAATCGACCAATTAGATGAAGCTCACCGAAATGATGGAGGGCAATCTGCTTTATTCCAATTCCACAGATTGGAGCCATGTATGATGTTAGGCCTTCTCTACAAAGGTTTTTCCTCTTTAAAATATAAATGTATTTGAATAACCACGCAGCACAATGATGTGCAGACAGGCAGACTAAACAATTGTTCAAAACATAAATATATGAAGGAACTTCCTTTAATATATCAATTTGTTATATTTAATATTACAACATTATTGAATTTTTGTCATCATATATATACATTTTAAATACTGGTAAAAATTAGGTCGCAAAATTAATATTATAACTAAATCATTGAAAAATATGTGACAAGAGCCTTGAACCAGATCCTTTATTTTTTGTTATATTTAATAAATTTGTTTTTTAAATTATTAATACATACTCAAATATTCTATCAGGATTAAATTTAAATATTCTAAATTTAGTATCTTGATTGTGATTTTCTTCTGTCTACTCTTTATGACTTTGAAGTATTTTTTAGTCAAGTAAAAGATGTTTCAGAAATTATGTGATCTGTTAATACCCAAAATTACCACAATTATATTACCACAATACTATTTGTTACATCATAGTGGGCTTAATATTACTTTAAATAAATGATATAGAGAAAAGCTATGATGTTAAGCACTTCAGCTAAATTTGTCTTTAAACCAGCATTTTTACTAGATGCCAAAAGATGAGTTTTCCTGGTTTAGCCTAAGTCAATATTAGCATATATAGAAAAGATTGAGAGTTATAAAGAGTAAATGACTATGATTCTGGAAGAAATTAATAATATACGATCAGCTTTGAAAATTAATATAAAGCCACATCTATAAATACAAATTTAGTAGAAGACATAACTCTCCAAATATCTTGAGTTTGACATTGAAACACTAAATTTGCAAAGGAGGAGAGAAATAATAGCCATTTATTGAGCACTTGCTATAGAAATAGACTTTTGTGCACATTGTTTTATTGCAACTTTGTAGTAAATCTCACAGCTATCAAGTGCCAGAGGCAAGATTAAACTTCCTGTCACCCAAATAATGCATGGACTTTTCAATGATTTACTGCCTTCTATTAGACCTTGTCTACATTCTGAAAGTTACATTCCAACCCCACCCACTATCCCCAGTGAAATAAAACAAAACATGATTCTCGAGGTATTTGGATTTTTTTAACCATTGAAGCTAGAGAAACAATAGAAGTAAGTAGCAGTCCTAAGTGACTTCTAGATACCATGGCTAGCAAAAATAAACTTAAAATAATTTTTTATTGTTTTTCTTGTTATATCAAAATATAAATGCTCATTAGTTGAATAAGATAAATATGTTCTTGCCCTTTATTGGTAAATTCCTGATTGTTCATACTTCAAACTGATCTGTTTTCAACTGGTTTTCAATTATTGGCCAGAACTTTGCACAAATCAGGTGTGTATGAATACAAATTATTCACCTATACAATGGTCAAGAATTAATGTGTTTTCTACAGTCTTTTTAGTAGCTAAAGTGTTTAGTACAAAATAACATATTTGATCTTGTTTTCTTAGGTTCTAGCTACTAAAATAATCTCCAAATGATCTGAAAATTTCTCCTACCTGTGGAACAGCAAATGTAGGTTTGATTTCCTAATGAATATGGTTCATATAGATTGTTTATATCCACTTACTTGAATGTTGATGAAACTCACAGGAGATATGCCCAAGAGAATATGCTTTCATTATCTTCCAGTTTAAGAACAGCAATATGATTTATTCAATAGTGAAAAAGTAAATGGCTTAGAAAAAGGTACCGTATGTTGACATTTATTGAATGGTTTTTTGTCCTCTGGTTAAAATGATGGCATTTAAAAATGTTTTAAAGTGTTTTAATATTAAATAAAAACCTTAAGATATGAGACATATATAATTTAATTTATTTGTTTATTTTTGAGACAAGGTCTTGCTCTGTGGCCCAGGCTATAGTGCAATGCTGTGATCTCAGCTCATTGCAACCTCCACATCCCAGGCTCACCTCCACCTCAGCCTCCTGAGTAGCTGGGACTATAGTTGTGCACCACCATGTCTGTCAAGTTTTTCTAATTTCAGTAGAGATGGGGTTTCTCTATGTTGTCCAGGCTGGTCTCCAACTTCTAGGCTCAAGCTGTTGGCCTGTTTTGGTTCCCAAAGTTCTGGGATTACAGTCATGAGCATCTGTGCCTGGCCATGACACACAATTTTATAACATAACTTTGACACTGGCTTAAAACTTAACTTCTCTGAGGCCTAGTGTCCTCATGCTGGCAATATAAGCCATTTTATATTGCAATGAGTCAGTAAATATAGTGAACTATAATAACATTGAATCACCATATGTCTTCCACACAATCTAGCAGATAGATTTACAGTCATTCAAATGCATTACACTTTCATTCTGTTAAAATTATAAACTGCTATGTTTGCAGTGAATAAAGTATAATACTTGAAATCATTGGAGTATTAATAGCAAATTAATAAGAAAGCTACAAAAATGCCATAGACTTAAAGAAGGCAAAAAATTTACATCTCTGTAAAACATCATAAGTCATCTCATGTTCCAATATTGGGTGCACAGATATTTAGAATTGATATATACTCTTGTTGAATTGATCCTTTTATTTTTATATTATGACTCTTTTTGTCTGTCTTTTTACTCTTTTTTTATTATTTATTTAAAGTCAGTTTTATCTGAGATACAGTGTAGTTTTTCTGCTCACTTTCGGTTTCTATTTGCATGGAATATCCTTTTCGACTACTCCTTTACTTTTAGTCTATATGTGTTTTTATCACCAAGGATACAGTTTGATCATTCTTTAAATTCATTCCACAAATGTATATCTTTTAACAGGAACATTAATCCATTTACAGTCAAGGTTAATACTGATATGTGAGGTTTTATTCCTGTCACATTGTACATTTTTAGCTAGTTGTTTTACACATTCTTATTTTTTTTCTTTTTTTTTTTGTAGTTTAGTGTAGTTCTGTTGTATTGCTATTTAATTCCAGTCTCTTCCTTCTTTGTGTAATTGTCTTATACAATGGCTGAATTTTATAATCCCATGTGATATTTTGGTAGTGAATATCAGCCTTTTGTTTTTATGTTTAGGACTTTTTCTAGTATTTCTTATGAGGCTGATCAAGTAGTGATGCATTCCATCACCGTTTGCTTGTCTGGAAAAGACTTTATTTATCCTTCATTTATAGAGCTTATTGTAGCTGGATATAAAATTCACAGCTCTTTTTTTTTTTTTCCTCTCCTTTAGCACTTTCAAAATAGCCTCTCATTCTCTTCTGGCTTGCAAGACTATTGCTGAAAAGTTTGTTTTTTGTCTGATGGGGCTTCCTTTTCAGCAGACTAGACACTTTTCTCTTGCTGACATTGGAATTTTTTGTTCACATTGAATTTAGACAGTCTGATGACTATACAGCATGGCAAAGTCCGATTTGCAATGTATTTTTCTAATGATGACTGAGACTCTTGTATCTGAATGTATAAATCCCTTGTTAGCATTCTTCTTATCAGCACATAGAGCAATGGAACAGAATAGAGAACCAAGAAATAAGACCACATACCTACTACCATCTGAACTTTGACAAACCTGACAAAAAAAAGCAATGGGGAAAGGATTCCATATTCAATACATGGTGCTGGGAGAACTGGCTAGCCATATGCAGAAGATTGAAACTGGACTTCTTCCTTACACCATATACAAAAATCAACTCAAGATGGATTAAAGACTTAGATGTAAAACACAGAAGAAAGCCTAGCAATACCATTTTGGACATAGGCATGGGCAAAGATTTCATGATGAAGATGCCAAAAGCAATTGCAACAAATGCAAAAATTGACAAATGGGATGTAATTAAACTAAAGAGCTTCTTCACAGCAAAAGAAACTATCAACAGAGTAAACAGCAACCTACAGAATGGGAGAAAAATTTTGCAATCTATTCTCTGACAATGGTCTAATATCCAGAATGTACAAATAACTTAAGCAATTTCACAAGAAAAAAACAAACAACTCCATTAAAAAGTGGGCAAAGGGGCTAGGTGCAGTGGCTCATGCCTGTAATCCCAACAGTTTGGGAGGCTGAGGTGGGTGGATTGCCTGAGCTCAGGAGTTTGAGACCAGCCTGGCCAATATGGTGAAACCCCGTCTCTACTAAAATACAAAAAACTAGCCGGCATGGCAGCGTGCACCTGTAATCCCAGCTACTTCAGAAGCTGAGACAGGAGAATAGCTGGAACCCAGGAAGTGGAGGTTGCAATGAGCTGAGATCCCACCACTGCACTCCAGCCTGGGTGACAGAGAGAGACTCTGAAAAAAGGAAAGAAAGAAAAAGTAAGAAAGAAAGAAAGAAAGAAAGAAAGAAAGAAAGAAAGAAAGAAAGAAAGAAAGAAAGAAAGAAAGAGAAGAAAGAAAGAAAGAAAGAAAGAGAGAGAGAGAGAGAGAAAGAAGAAAGAAAGAAAGAAAGAAAGAAAGAAAGAAAGAAAGAAAGAAAGAGAGAAAGAAAGAAAGAAAGGGAGAGAGAGAGAGAGAGAGGGAGAGAGGGAGGGAGGGAGGGAGGGAGGGAAGGAGGGGAAGGAAATATGGTACACAAACGTGACAGAGCAAGACTCTGAATAAAAAGAGAGAAAGAAGAACAAAAGAAAGAAAGAAAGAAAGAAAGAAAGAAAGAAAGAAAGAAAGAAAGAAAGAAAAAGAATGAAAGAAAGAAAGAAAGAAAGAAAGAGAAGAAAGAAAGAAAGAAAGAGAGAGAGAGAGAAAGAAGAAAGAAAGAAAGAAAGAAAGAAAGAGAGAAAGAAAGAAAGGGAGAGAGAGAGAGAGAGAGGGAGAGAGGGAGGGAGGGAGGGAGGGAGGGAAGGAGGGGAAGGAAATATGGTACACAAACGTGACAGAGCAAGACTCTGAATAAAAAGAGAGAAAGAAGAACAAAAGAAAGAAAGAAAGAAAGAAAGAGAGAAAGAAAGAAAGAAAGGGAGAGAGAGAGAGAGAGAGGGAGAGAGGGAGGGAGGGAGGGAGGGAGGGAAGGAGGGGAAGGAAATATGGTACACAAACGTGACAGAGCAAGACTCTGAATAAAAAGAGAGAAAGAAGAACAAAAGAAAGAAAGAAAGAAAGAAAGAAAGAAAGAAAGAAAGAAAGAAAGAAAGAAAAAGAAAGAAAGAAAGAAAGAAAGAAAGAAAGAAAGAAAGAAAGAAAGAAAGAAAGAAAATGTGGTACATATACGCAAGAAATGTGGAATACTATGCAACCATAAAAAAGAACAAGATCATGTTCTTTGCAGGGGCATGGCTGGAGCTGAAGGCCATTGTGCTTAGCAAACTAATGCAGGAACAAAAGTCCAAATACACATGTTCTCACTTAGAAGTGGGAGCTGAACAATGAGAACACATAGACACATGGTGGGGAGAGTAACACACACTGAGGCCTGTTGGAGCATGAGGGGCAGGGTGGAAGGAGAAAGAGGTTCAGGAAGAATACCTAGTGGATGCTGTGCTTAATACCTGGGTGATGGGATGATCCGTGCAGCAAACCACCATGACACAGGTTTACCTATGTAACAAACCTGCACATCCTGAACATGTACCCCTGAACTTAAAATTAAAGTTGACAATTTAAAAAAAAGAATTAATATCTTAAAATGAATATACCACCTAAAGCAATCTATAGATTTAATGCAATTTCTATCAAAAGACCAACGTGATTTTTCATAAAATTGGAACAAATAATCCTAATATGCATATGGAACAACAAAAAAAGAGTGAATAGCCAAATCAATCCCAAGTGAAAAATAAGGCTCAAGGCTTCACATTACCAGGCCTTAAGTTACACTATAAGGCTGTAATAATCAGAACAGTATGGTAGGATATAAGGCAGACACAGATCAATGGAAAAGAATAGACAACTCATAAATAAAGCCATATATATACATCCAACAGATTTTTAACAAATTTAACAAAAACACACACTGGACAAAGAATCCTATTTGCAATAAATGGTGTAGGAAAATTGGATTACCATTTACATATACAAAAATCAACCCGAGTTGGATGGAGGACTTAAATATATGACTTGAAAATAGAAAAATACAAGAAGAAAAACTAGGAAAAAATCTTCTGGACATTGGTCTATGCAATATTTCATGACTAATACCACCAAAACACAGTCAACGTAAACAAAAATAAACTCATGAGATGTAATTAAACTATAAAGCTCCCATACAGCAAAATAAATCATCAACAGGGCACAGAGAATCCACATAATGAGAGAAAATATTTGCAAATTATGCATCTGATGGGAGACTAATATCTACAATTTAGAAAGAATTCAAGCAATTCAACGAAGAAAAATAACCTTATTTAAAAGTGACCAAAAGATATCAATAAACATTTTACAAATGAAGACATGCAATGAACATGGCCAATAAGCATATGAAAAAATGCTCAACATCACTTATTAGAGAAATGAAAATTAAAACCTTAATTAGATATCGTCTCACACCAGTTAGAATGACCAATCTTAAAATGTCAAAAAAAAAAAAAAAACAGATGTTGGCAAAGAAAAGGGGATGCTTATGCACTGCTGTTGGGAATGTAAGCTAGTACTACCTATATGGAAGACAGTATGGAGATTTCTCAAATAACTGAAAATGGAACGACTATTTGATCTAGCAATCCCACTACTGGGTATCTGCCAAAAGATAAATCAGTATCTTACTTTGGGTAGATACCCAGTAGTTGAATTGCTGGATCAAATGGTGGTTCTATGATACTTGCACTTTTATGTTTATCACCACACTATTCACAGTAAGAAAAATACAGAATCACTCTAAGTGTTCAACCATGGATGACTAGATGCAGAAAATATGTTATATATAAGCAGTTGAATACTATTCACCAACAAAAGAATGAAAGCATGTCTTTTGCAGCAACATGGATGAAACTGGAGGCCATTATCTTAAATGAAACAATTTTAAAAAAGAAAGTCAAATATGATATGTTCTCACTTATAAGCAGGAGCTAAATAATGTATACATATGACATAGAGTGTGGAATGAATTACAGTGGAAAGTTGGAAGGGTGAGAGAGTCAGAGGTATGTGGAGTATAAGAAATTACTTAATGGGTACAATGCACATTATTCAGGAGATGGATACACTAAAAGTCAAGATATTCAATATATTCAATATATCCATACAACAAAATTGCACCTCTACTCAATGCATTCAGAAAGAAAGAAAGAAAGAGAGAGAGAAAGGGAAAAAAAGAGAAAGAGAGGAAAGAAGGAAGGAAGGAAGGAAGGAAGGAAAAGGTAGAAAGAGAAAAAAGGAAGGAGAGAAAGAAGCTGATGCAAGGCAGGCATAAACTTTCACTAATAAACTCAGAATCTCCATCAACATATTTAAAAAATCAATAAACAAGCAAACATGAAATGAGTGAAAGTGAAAAATACATAAATGGATAATTTTTATTTGTTTTTTCAAAATTATATCAAAGACTACCACCACAAAACCTGAAAATAAAAAGAATATTGAGTCAAAGCACCCTGTTGCAACAGAATCTTGTTAAATCAGCAACTTTTTTTTTTTTTTTTACCAGACACAGAATTAACTGGGAAAAGGAAGGATTAACAGTACCTATAACACATGGAATTCGTGAATTTTCAAACTCCACCAGTAAAAAGAAAAGACAATTTATTGAGTGAAAATTCCAGCAAAGTCAAGCTGGAAGAGTAGATAAGCTTTTATATGTTCCAAGTTTCAGGTGAATTACCACCCCAACCCCTGTGCAGTCTCAATACAGGTGTCGCCAAAGGATCGTGAATGATTGAAACTGTGCTCAAGGTAATTAAGGATGTCACAAATGTGCAGCATATACACCCTTTCAGTAGGACAAGTAAAGACTTGTCCTTGTTTCCCTAAGGAAAACAAAACGCTGAAAAAAAAAAAAGCTAACTGAGTCAAGTAGAATCATTGGGAAGAAAAGCTTCACTAAGAAAGGAGAATTCTGGGAGATGTAGTTCTCAGAACACTTAGGGCAACATAAAATGTCTAAGGTGTGGAGAACCACTTTGAAAGGCAAGAACTGACTGTCTATAGGACTCAAGGAAGAGCAGGGAGAATTTGCTCATAAATTAGGCTTAGGTCTGAGAGCTAAAGTAGCTTTACAGTAATATTTTAAGGCCACAATGAAAGCTAGAGAGTGATTCCTTCAGCATGAACCTGGAAAAGTTACTTTGATATATCACCAACTTCCTATGTACCTTCTTCTGAGAGTCAAGATGCCCAGCACATTTAAACATGGATGGAGCAAGAAGATGGCAATTGAACTCCATATGATGAGAGTTAAAGTATACAAGGATGAAAATAACAAAATAATGTTTTAGAAGGTTGCCAGCAGCCCGTTACCATTGTCAGCAGCCTCAGCTACCTTATTCTGTCCTCTAGTCATTATCTATTCTGAAGCAATGATAAATTTATGTAATAGCTAGTTTTCTAAAGTTTTAATATAAACAGAAAAATTTACCATTTATAAGTGTCAGTTATATGAATTTTGATAAACACAAGTAGGTAAGCAAATCAAGTTATAGTATATTTTCATTACCCTATAAAGTCCTCTCATCACTTTGTAGCCAATTACTTTCCTTTACTCCCAAGTTCTGGCAACCACAGATGTGCTTTCTGTTGTGATTTTGCCTGGTCCAGGATATTATATCAATGGAATCACAATGTATGTAACTTTTTGAGTTTGGCTTTTTCAACTTAGCAAGAAGTATTTGAGATTCATTCCTGTACTAGATAATTATATTTTATACCTACTTATCACTGAGTAGTATTCCATATTATGGATGTACTACAATTGTTTTATTCATTCACTAGGTGTTGGAAATGTGTTTATTTTTCTGAGTAATGTGCCTTTGAATTTCATCCATGTCTTTTTATGACTTGATAGTTCATTTCTTTTTAGAGCTGAATAATATTTCATTATCTGGATAAACCACAGTTTATTAATACATTTATTTACTGAAGAGCATTTTAGTTGCTTGTAAGTTTTGGCAATTATAAATAAAGCTTCTGTAAACATCCATGTGCAAAACTTTGTGTGGATATTGTTTCCTTTGGGTAAGCACCAAGGAGCATGATTACTGGATTATAAGTAAATTTAGCTTTGTAAGAAGCTTCCAAACTGTCTTGCAAAGTAGTTGGACCATTTTGCATTCCCACCAGTAATGAATGAGAATTCCTGTTTTCCTGTTGCTGCACATCACCGCCAGCTTTTGCTGTTTTCTGTGTTCTGGGATTTTGGTCACTCTAGTTATGAAGAGATATATCATTGTTTTTTTTGCATTTCCTTGATGACCTATGATGTGGAGCATCAATTTCATATGGTTACATGCCATATGTATATCTTTTATGGGGTATCTTTGACTCATTTTTAAAATCATTTTTTTTTTTTTTTGAGACGGAATCTTGCTCTGTCGCCCACGCTGGCGTGCGGAGGCACAATCTCAGCTCACTACAACCTCTGCCTTTCAGGCTGGAAGCTGGAACTACAGGCGAGCCACTGCACCCGGCCTTTTTGACCATTTTAGGTGGTTTTTAAGGTCTTTGACTCATTTTTAAATCAGGTTGTTTGTGTTCCTATTGAGTTTTAAACAGTTCTTTGTAAATTTTAGATAACAGTCTTTTATCAGATGTGTCCTTGCAAGTATTTTCTCCTAGTCTGTTGTCATTTCATTCTTTTGATCATCCATGTATTTTTCATCACATTTTGGATAATTTCTTATGTGCATATCAAAGAACAAGTATATAGATTAGTATATCAATTCTTGAAGATAGAAAAGATCTCGCAGAACTTAAAAAATTGACCTTTAACTCTGCCATATATCTGAGTCTAATGTTCTAGTTCACAGAAAATTATTACATAGAACATCTGCATATTGCCCTAACTCTTCTGTTAATATTCTCTATTCATAGATTTACCTTATAATTATGTGCATTAATATCTCCTCTATTAATTTTTTTTTTTGAGATGGAATCTCACTCTTTCACCCAGGCTAGAGTGTGCAGTGGCATGGTCTCGGCTCACTGCCAACCTCTACCACCTGGGTTCAAGCAATTCTCATGCCTCAGCCTCCCCAGTAGCTGGGATTACAGGCGTCCACCACCAAGCCCGGCTAATTTTTTGTATTTTTAGTAGAGATGGGGTTTTTCCATGTTGGCCAGGCTGTTCTCGAACTCCTGACCTCAGGTGATCTGCCTGTCTCGGCCTCCCAAAGTGCTGGGATTACAGGCATGAGCCACCGCACCTGGCCTATTAAATTTTCAATGAAGTTAAATCTCTCTCATACCATTTAGAATTAGAGGACTGTCAAATTTAAATAAATATAGTAACCTTTATTAAATGATTATATGTCTTGTCATAGGTTATGTTTTCATATTATTTCATTATGTATGTGACAATAGGACTTCCAGATAATTCATAGGTTATAATTTCAAGAAGAAACTGAATTTTAGAGAATTTAAGTTATTAATTTGATAGCATGTAGATAATTAGAATCAGAGCTAGCACTATGGCCTGTATTATTAGCTTTCTTTTTCAGTAATATGCATATTTTTTTCCACTGGGGGATTATTTTGGACCTAGGTAGAAAGTACACTTATGTGATCATTGGAATCATGTAATGCATGTTCCAGATCAGTTACTTGTTCACTACAGAAAAAAAAAAAAATCATAATTTGTTTTATCCCAGAAGAGAATTAGTGTGTTTTCTTCTTTGGGCATCCCTGTGGAATTCTAGAGCTCAAGGGCCTGGTATAAGAATTCAAATGCACAATATTCATAGCATACCTGAATTGAGTGAGCAGTTCATTTCCAAAGGTAAGAGAAAAGGAATCTGATCACTTGTAAAATATTAAGAAGCTCTCACCTTGAATTTAAGACTAAAACATATTTCTTACTATTTAAATATAAGAAAGAGGGTTCTGTTTAATGTGAAGCTGTATTACAAATTGAATCACATACTTTCCAAGGATCATAGGAGAGAATACGTGTGTTGTTTTAGCAACAGTTTATAAAAATAATTGTATTACTTGTTATTGGATGGTATTTATTTTATAGAAATTTCAGAAGTTACGTAAGAATCATAGTAAAAGGATAGCCATAATTCATTTTTGATATAAATATGTCACAAAAATACACCCAAGGACTTCACAGGCATAATGACCAAATGATCATATAAATTGACACGTCTGATATTGGTTTTAAGTTAAAATCTGAAAAATAATAATGCTTAAAAAAACTGCACAGGCCAAAATGAACAAATTGGTGATATTTTTTTCAGGAAAGAAAAGTGAAACACAAAAGGAAAAATAAATGAAAAATGAACACCAAATTCTTTTGGTTTGCAAACAAGGTGCATCTATCTCCAGAATCAAATCTCTTGTATCCACCACCATTCTGTAAGTACTAATGCAACAGCAGGATAATTGCCAAAAAAAAAAAAAGGATTTGAAATGGTTTGGTCAGAAAGACTGTCTCAAATGATAAATTTTAATATAAGCCTGACATTGCATTTTCTAGTTATCTGGGCATATTTAAATATTAAATAACTTACATACTGTTTTTCCCATTTAAATACAACCCACTCTTATAATGTAGATATGATTGTTTCCATATTTAAAATGAGAAAAATAAAGTAATTCAATGGACTTTTTAGAAAACCTAGGAATAGCACTCAGTCTTTATGAGTTTTGAAACAATTTAATATTAAGAATAGATGGTAGTACATTTGATGGAAAATGAACAGGAAATTAAACTGATTAAATAGACTTTTTTTACACTTTAAGTTCTGGGGTACATGTGCAGAATGTGCAGTTTTGTTACATAGGTATACACGTGCCACGGTGGTTTGCTGCACGCATCAACCCGACACCTACCTTAGGTATTTCTCGTAACGTTATCCCTCCCCTAGCCTCCCACCCTCCGACCGGCCCTGGCGTGTGATGTTCCCCTTCCTATGTCCATGTGTTCTCATTGTTCAACTCCCACTTACGTGTGAGAACATGCGGTGTTTGGTTTTCGGTTCTTGAGATAGTTTGCTGAGAATGATGGCTTCCAGCTTCATCCATGTTAAAAAGATAAATTTAGTGCATGATTGAATAAAATAATTTATTTAATTTATTTAATTACAGTAATGTATCCACTTGGACCCAATTTTATCACCACCTGTGCATTTGCTGACAAGGATTTCATCTTGCTTTTCCAAGAAACGAACATGAGGATATAATTGGATAAACTTAATTTTCACAGGCTGTTGCATTTAGTACATATAAACAATAGCTAAAATGTCAGGGTTGCCTTCAGATATGGATCTATACAAGCTTCAATTAAACAATTTTACTGAAGTCACCATGTTTATATTAATAAGCTTCACAGAAGAATTTGATGTGCAAGTCTTCCTATTTTTATTATTTTTAGCAATCTATCTATTCACTCTAATAGGCAATTTAGGGCTGGTTGTACCGATCATTGGGGATTTCTGGCTTCACAGCCCAATGTACTATTTTCTTGGTGTTTTATCATTCTTGGATGTCTGCTATTCTACAGTTGTCACTCCAAAAATGTTGGTCAATTTCCTGGCAAAAAATAAATCTATTTCATTTCTTGGATGTGCAACACAGATGTTTCTTGCTTGTACTTTTGGAACCACAGAATGCTTTCTCTTGGCTGCAATGGCTTATGATCGCTATGTAGCCATCTACAACCCTCTCCTGTATTCAGTGAGCATGTCACCCAGAGTCTATGTGCCACTCATCACTGCTTCCTATGTTGCTAGCATTTTACATGCTACTATACATACAGTGGCTACATTTAGCCTGTCCTTCTGTGGATCCAATGAAATTAGGCATGTCTTTTGTAATATGCCTCCTCTGCTTGCTATTTCTTGTTCTGACACTCACGTAATCCAGCTTCTATTCTTCTACTTTGTGGGCTCTATTGAGATAGTCACTATCCTGATTGTCCTGATCTCCTATGGTTTTATTCTGTTGGCCATTCTGAAGATGCAGTCTGCTGAAGGGAGGAGAAAAGTCTTCTCTACATGTGGAGCTCACCTAACTGGAGTGACAATTTATCATGGGACAATCCTCTTCATGTATGTGAGACCAAGTTCCAGCTACACTTCGGACAATGACATGATAGTGTCAATATTTTATACCATTGTGATTCCCATGCTGAATCCCATCATCTACAGTTTGCGGAACAAAGATGTAAAGGAGGCAATCAAAAGATTGCTTGTGAGAAATTGGTTCATAAATAAGTTATAGTTTTAAAATTGAGTAAAGTTGCAAATAATATTGGGTGTCAGTCCACATCTCTATGGTCAGAAAGTAGAGAAGAAAATGTGTTTCTTTTAGTTAACAGTGCTTGTAACTTCTAGAATATTTTCAAATAAAGCATCAATCAGCCTACTAATTCACCATTTTAGAAATATCAATATATTGTATCATGTATAAAATATGGCTTGTATTCATAGCCTATGACAATGTTTAAACTAATCTGCATTAAATATTCATTGATGTGCAAACATTGCTGTTTTTAGTTTTTGTATAACTTGATTTTCACTGGCTATGTTAATAATGATGTCCTCTGGATTCTATGGCTTCATGTGTTCCTACATAACTCTATAATGGGTGCTAAAGTAAGTTTTCCCAGCACCATTTATTGAAGAGGCTCTCCTTTCCCCAATGTATTTTCTTGGCACCTTTGTTGAAAATGAGTTCCATAGTATAATCTGAAGTCAGATAATGTTATGTGGGTGGCAAGCCATCCAGGTGCTGAGACAAGAGACCGAGGGCACGAGCTGTTCCAGTATAATAAAATATATAAAACAATAAGAGTTATACTAGATCTAGATCATAGACATGATTATATATGAATATCATTAATCATTAGTTTGTAGCAATTACTCTTTATTCCAATGTTATAATAATCCTCGCTCTATAATCATAACCTAGGAAAAACCAGGCCATACAGAGGTAGGAGCTGAGGGGACATAGTGAGAAGTGACCAGAAGGCAAGAGTGCGAGCCTTCTGTTTTGCCTGGACAGGGTCACCAGAGGTCTCCTTGGTCTAGCGGTAATGCCAGCGTCTGGGAAGACGCCCGTTGCCAAGCTGACCATGGTCTAGCGGTAGCCTCAGTGTCAAGGAAAAACACCCGCTACTTAGCTGACCAGGAAAGGGATTCTCCCTTTCCCTGGGGGAGTTTAGAGAAGACTCTACTCCTCCACCTCTTGTGGAGGGCCTGACATGAGTCAGGCCCGCCCACAGTTATCCTGAGGCCTAACCGTCTCCCTGTGATACTGTGCTTCAGTGGTCACGCTCCTAGTCCGCCTTCATGTTCCACCCTGTACACCTGGCTCTGCCTTTTAGATAACAGTAGCAAAATTAGTGAAAGTACTAAAAGTCTCTGATATGCAGAAATAATGGCGCAAGCTGTCTCTCTCTCTCCCTCTCTCTCTCTGCCTTGGCTGCCAGGCAGGGAAGGGCCCCCTGTCCAGTGGACACGTAACCCACATGACCTTACCTACCATTAGAGATGACTCACACTCTTTACCCTGCCCCTTTTACTTTGTATCCAATAAATAACAGCACAGCCAGACATTCAGAGCCACTACCAGTCTCCGTGTCTTGGTGGTAGTGGTCCCCCAGGCCCAGCTGTCTTTTCTTTTATCTCTTTGTCTTGTGTCTTTATTTCTATGCTCTCTCATCTCTGCACACAAGGAGAAAACCCACCAACCCTGTGGGGCTGGACCCTACAATGTTATTTCTCCATTTTTTTTTTCTCTTTGCTTATGATAGCTTTGGCTATTCTGGGTCTTTTGTGTTTTCATATAAATTTTAAGGTTCTTATTTATTTTTGTAAAGAATGTATTTGTATTTTGATAGGAATTGCATTGAATCTATAGATTGCTTTTGGTAGCCCAGGCATTTTAACAATATTGATTTTTCCAGTTCATGAACATGGAATATCTTTCCATTTTATGTGTCCTACTCAATTTATTTCATCAACATTTTATAGTTTTTATGGTACAGATCTTTCACTTCTTTGGTTATTCGTAGGTATTTAACTTTATTTATGGATATTGTAGATTTTTAAATTTCTTTTTCAGATTGATTGCTATTGGCATCGTAAACCAAAGATAAAATTCAAACCCCCGCACCCCACCCTTCCCCACAACCATCTGAATGGACTCCCTCCTCGGGCAGGGGACTCTAAAATTTAATGTGAAAGACCAGATTAGGCCATGACTGGAAGTAGGATCTGATGTGCCTCATTATAATCCTCCAGTGCTAGCATCAACACAGACTGTAAGTCTCATGAGAAACATTTACAATCTATTCTAAGCTTGCTACTTGGAGGCTTCAACTGCATGATAAAACCTTGGTCTGCACAATCCCTTATCTTAATCCAGACATTTCTTTCTACAGAAAACAACTCTTTCAACCAATTGCCAATCAGAATCTACTCAAATCTACCAATGACCTGGAAGTCCCACCCCTCCCCACCTCCTGCTTCAAGTTGTCCCACCCTTCCACATCAAACCAATGGAATTTTACATGCATTGATGGATGAAATTTCTAAAATTTGAATATGTCTTAGTGTAGGCTATCAGTCATAATTATGGTCATTATTTAAGCTATTTTAGAACACAGAAGTAACCAAATTTTTTTGTCAGTTGTCTGTTACTATGACTATTTAAAGTCATTTCCATGATTAATTGTTTAATTCTGATGCAGTTTCTGAAAACCTCACAAGCACACAAAATCCTAGAATATGGTATCTTTTAGGAGGTTCATGAAAGGATAGAAAGGACCCTGAAAAGCACTCATTCTTGAATAAATACAGCTTTCTGATAACTTTAGAATCATATCATTTGGACTGGGTGAGAATTTCCTCAACTTTAATGAAAGGACTAACTGGTTTATAAAACTGCAAACCCAAGTAGAACAAAGAATAATTGAATAGCAAGAAAATACTTTGCCAGATTTTTATGCTACATCAGCCATTACTACAATTGTTTAGATATACAGTTTGAATGAACTCCATGGTCTGAGTCAATTTACTTACGATAACCCATCAGTTATCAGTGCTATGCACCTAAATTGGAGAAACAACTGATATTCAAGAGGACACAAGTTTAATGTTAAGCCTGGACTTGTGGAGAACCAGGAAAGCCACCTTGTCCTTCCTGAGTCCCTAAAGCTTTGTTGTTAAGAGTTCTGCATTCTGTGACTCATCATGCAAAAGATAAAATGATCCAAATTAAATATATATTGGTGTGGTGACTTCTAAATTGCTGAAATAGTTTATGACCAATGTTTGGTTTGTCAAACCCATATTCCTAGGAAAACAATCAAAGCTTCAGGTACATTTCACTACCTGATGGATCACTCAAACATTTATAGAGGGACTTCATACAATTGTCATTTTCAATGCATGGGTTTTGGTTGTATAAAAGTTTTCTCATACAAGAGGGCTGATGTTATAACAGTAGATTATTATGCTACAGTATATGTTCACCAGGTAAAGAAAGCTTTTTTATAGTTTGCTGACTGAGGACAATAAACCCCTTTACAATCTAGAACCCAAAGACTGGATCTTTTGAGAACATCAGAGAAATACTGCCCTTGTCATCCACACTGTAGCAAAACTTCAATACCTTGAATCTTGGGTTCAAAATCTCACAACTCAGAAGGGTCCGTCCACACAAGTGAAATTGTACACTTCCCTTTGGAACCCTTAAGGTAAAGGTAACCAGGGATGTTTCTCCACAGAAGAAGATAGCATCTTTGATGTGAACAGCTTTTTCCCAAGATCACAGATGAAGATTTCTCTACTATCATGAGACTCTTATCTTTGAATCTTTTTTTCCCTTGCTTAAGTCTCTATGAACAATAGAAGTGAAATGGGAGTATGTTGTGTGCACTCATGGGGTATACTTTTATTTGTAAAGGATTTTGAAGCCAGCCTTATACATGGATAACCTAATACCTTGATAGATGGAAAACGAAGGCCCAAGGTAGATGAGAAATTTTAATGGTACATATGTTGCCTCAAAATCAGTCAGAAACAGAACATTGGTTCACTCCTTTTAACCTACCTCACAGGTTAAAGAGAACATTAAAAGTAGGCCCTTTACTAGAATGGCATCATTTGTTAGGTCCTCTTTTTCCATGGTTTTAAGTAAAAGACGCAATGATTAGGAATGTATCCCTCATGATAGGCTCTATAGCAGATTCTATTGTATAGGTGATGATTATACAACAGACTTTAAATTCTCTTGTAAAAGTTATGCTAAATAATAGAATTGCTCTACATTACTTACTGGCTAAACAGAGAAGTATCTGTGTAGCTGCTGGCACTTGTGGCCTATGGAGAAATATATCACATCAGGTCTTATAGAGGGGATTAACAAAGAGACTGCTTAGTAAAGTGAGTAGACTTTTTAGCTCATTCTTTTATCTTTTTGATTTTAGGTGGTTTGGTTTAGGGGGAACCTGGGTAAGGAGCATACTCCAAACTCTTGGTATTATCCTCCTGATAATAGTAGTTTCCCTGGTGCACTGTATTATCTTAAAAATTTTAAATGTTTGCATGGAGCCATCCTTAGAATGTCAAATGGTGTCTCTTCAACTGGAATGACAAGACCTGAAAGAAATGTGTGACCATATGGGCACCGTAACTTATGAGAGACATGATGAGACTGGAAACCCAAAATGGTGGTAACTGAGAGTGGTGCTTAGGCCCTAAGTGTTTGTCGCAATCTCACCTGAGAACATGAACAAAAGTGGAAAATTTTTAAACAAAATTATGAGCGGTCATTGTTTTGGACTGAGCTTATGCACTAGGCCCCAACAGACCAGACTAAACCAAAATGGAGTCATTCATGCTAAATGTGACATAATTAAGCTAAGACTTTAAGGATACGCTTAGATCCTAGAACACACCAGGTTTTGTTTTCTCTCCTGTAAAAAGGATGTTCCAGCATAAGGAGGTACCCTCTATTCTAACCCTTTCAAAAAAATGAATAAATAACCTGAAGTCCCTGTTCCCATCTTACAAAACCTACTGTTTTGCTATTTCCCAGTGGCTTTCAAGCCCAAATAAGTACATTTATACTGGTGAAACTGACATCAATTACTAAACTTTTTGTCCACCTTTAAAAATTGAGATGACCAAAGAGAGAAATTATTAAATCGAGTTTAACCTGAAGCTGCCTCATTACGTATTTTAACTTTGGCCAAAAGGTTTCTTTGTACATCACAAACTAGAACAAGTGGAGGTGTAAACAGACTGAAGCCTACATCTGTGCCAATCACCAAGTTTTGGCCAATCAAATGGAGCCAACTGTTTGAACCATGTTCAAACATGGCAAACACCAACCTATAACCAATTCAGCTATTTCTATACCTCACTTTTGTTTTCTGTATGTCATTTTCTTTTTCTATCCATAAATCTTCCACCATGTGGCTGCACTGGAATCTCAGAGCCTACTCTGGCTTCAGTGACTGCCCAATTTGCTAATCATTCTTTGCTTAACAAAATTCCTTTAAATTTAATTTGGCTGAAGTTTTTCTTTTATCATGTGTCCTCCTCAATTTCTTTCATTTATGTTTTATAGTTTGCATGGTACAGCTCTTTCACTTCTTTGGTTAAGTTAATTCCTAAGTATTTAACTTTATTTGTAAATATTGCAGACTTTTTATTTTTACTTTTGAATTGATTGCTACTGACATTGTAATCCAAAAATAAAATTCAAATCCCCTTCCTCATCCCACAACCATCTGAATGGACTCCCTCCTAGGCCAGGGCACTCTAAAATTAACCTCAAAGACTGGATCAGGCCATGACTGTAAGTGAGGGTCCTATGTGCCTCACTATACTCCTCCAGTATTAACATCAACACAGACTGTAGGTCTGATAAGTAACATTTACAATCTGTTCTAAACCTGCTACCTGGAGGCTTCATCTGCATGATAAAACCTTGGTCTCCACAACTCCTTATCTTAACCCAGAAATTCCTTTCTATTGATAATAACTGTTTTAGACAATTACCAATCAGAATATCTTTAAATCTATCTATGACCTTCCCCTTCTTCAAGTTGTTCCACTTTTCCACATTGAACCAATGTAAAAATATGATTGATGCATTGTATCCATAAAATGTGTAAAACCAAGTTTTACCCTGACCACGTTGGGCATATGTCATCAGTACCTCCTGAGTCTGTGTCACAGGGGTGTCCTGAACCTTGGCAAAATAAACTTTCTAAATTGACTGAGACCTGTCATCAATATTTTCAGTTTGCAGTGTATAGAAATGGTCAAAAGAAAGAGTCAAACTCTGTAAAATATTTGAAGAGATTTATTCAGGGCCAAATATGGGTGGCCATTGCCCATTACACAGCCCCCATGAGGTCCTGACAACATGTGCCCAAGGTGGTCAAGGCAGAGTTTGGTTTTTATACAGTTTAGGGAGGCATGAAACATCAATCAAATACTTTTAAGAAATACATTGGTTTGGTCCAAAATGGTGGGACAAGTCAAACAGTGGGAGGCAGCAGGTTTCAGGCTATAGGTAAATTTAAACATTTTCTGGTTGATAATTGGTTGAGTTTGTCTAAAGATCTGGAATCCATAGAAAGGAAATGTTCAGATTAAGATAAAAGATTGTGGAGACCAAGGTTCTTTTGAAGTCTTATAGTGTCTGCCCTTAGAGACAATAGATGACAAATGTTTCCTATTTAGATCTTTAAAAGGTGCTAGACTTTTAATTTATCTCATTAGGATTGGGAGGGCCTGGAAGAAAAAACATATATCTATGTTAATAGAGATTCTTTACAGATGGAAATATTCCTTTAAGGACAGCTTTACAGGGCCTTTCAAGATATGGCAAAGACATATGTTTTGGGGTAAAATATTTTGATTTTCTTCCTTGTTTCATAATGTTATGCCAGAGTCAGTTTGGAAAGTAAGTTATGATACATAGGGTTAAATAAAACCCATCTGCTGAAAAATCTATGGTTTCTAGGACATGACTACCCAGATCATTTAGATAAGAATGTGGGCAAGATAAAACAATTAGAGCTTAGTCCTCAAAATGCTACTAATTTTTTATGTTGATTTTTTATCCTGCAACTTTATTGAATTTGTTATCAGCTTTTTAATTAGTTTTCTGGTGGAGTCTCTAGGTTTTTTCAAATATAAGGTCATATCGTCTGCAAATAAGAATAATTTGACTCCTTTCTTTTCAATTTAAATCCTCTTTATTTCTTTCTATTGTCTGATTTCTCCAGTTAGGACTTCCGGTACTATTTCAAATAATAATGTTGAACATGGGCATTCTTGTCGTGTTCTAGATCTTAGAGGAAAAACATTCAGTTTTTTTTGCCATTCAGTATGTTACTAGTTGTGGGTCTGACATACATGGCTTTTATTATATAGAGTTATGTTCCTCTTATACTCAGTTTTTGGAGGGTTTTTGTCATGAAGGGATGTTGAATTTTATCAAATCCTTTTTCAGTATCAATTGAAATGTTCATGTTTTTGGTCCTTCATTCTGTCAATATCATGTATCACTTTGATTGATTTGTGTATATCAAAAAATACTTGCATGCCTGGGATAATTCCCACTTCAACATAATCAATGATATTTTTAAACCGTTGTTGAAATTGGTCTGCTAGTAGTTTGTTGAGAATTTTTGTATTGATGTTCATCAGGGATTTGACCTATAGCTTCTTTTTTGTTTGTTTGTTTGTTTGTTTCAATGGGTCTGTCTGGTTTTGGTATACTGGACTTGTAGAATGAGTTTGGAAGTACCCATCCTCTAGTTTTTGGAATAGTTAAGTAGGATTGGTATTAGTTCTTCTTTAAACATTTTGGTAAATGTAAAATTTATGACAAATATAGCAAAAGGAATGGGAGAGATCTGACTTTACTCTAAAGGTCTTATGTGAAAAGTTGAGATATAGATTATTTTAGGTAAACTATAATACATAAAACATGTTTTTATAATCCAGGGTCAACACTAAGAAGACAGAAGAGAAATATAACCAATATCAGGAATGAAATAAGGTATTTTACTCTGGTCCCTACAAATATGACAAGGAAAATAAGAACATTATAAACAACATTTTGCTAATAAAATTGACAATTAAATGAAAAATACAAATGAAAAATGTAAAGAAGCTTACATCAGAAGAAAGGGGTAACCAGGGTAGTCCTATGTCTACTTAAAAAATTGAATATGTTCTAAAAACCATCCATATGAACACAACGTTTGGAATTGTCTTCCTTACTGTCAAAAAATCTCACCTTTCTCTCAGACTAGAATGTGGGCAAAGTACTAGATTAACTCTCTTCAACAACATAGAAGAAGACATCAGGGAGATAATAGAGCAATAACATAGAAGAACCTGTGTCCTAAGATTGCCTTGTGAAAAACAGCTCCCCACAAAGTCTAGTCAGGTCAAGAGTAATAAGAATAAAACAAAGAACACTCTGCAGGTTATATTTAAGGATACTTTGTTGTTGTTGGGTCACTCTGTTTCTGAATCCTTTTTTTTTTCTTTAACATCAGAAAAGCCTGTATCCTGATTAAATACAAATTCTCTCCCCAGCACCATCCCATCATCTGATAAACTGTTCTTTCCTTTATTGAGTGCTTTTTCTGTAAATAGGACTGTACCTATACATCTGAGATTTAGCTAGTACTGCCAAAATCATACTCTCCTCTATCAACAGCCCTAGAGAATGTTTATCAGCAGCATATCCCCTTTAATAACCTCTATTATTTTGTTAATGCCTTTAATAGGGTGTAAGGGATTTTTTTTTGTTAAGAAAAGAATCCTAAATGCCCATCAATCAATGAGTGGAGAAAATATTGCTCTATGTGTATATATTCCATATATATGGATATATGATGGAATACTACTCAGCCATAAAAAGGAATGAATTAATGGCTTTAACAGCAATCTGGATGGAACTGGAGACTATTATTCTAAGTGAAGTAACTCAGGAATGGAAAACCAAACATTGTATGTTCTCACTTATAAGTGGGAGCTAAGCTATGCAGATGCAAAGGCATAAGAATTACACAATGGACTTTGGGGACTTGAGGGAGAGGGTAAGAGGGGGGTAAGGGATAAAAGACTACAACTGGGTTCAGTGTATACTGTTCTGGAGATGGGTGCACCAAAATCTCACAAATCACCACTAAAAAGCTTGCTCATGTAACCAAATACCACCTGTTCCCCAAAAAATGTATGGAAATAAAAATTTTTTAAAAAATCATGCAGTTATCTGTGGGAAGGAAGCTTCAGGAAGAAGAGAAAATGGAAAACTTCAGGCAGTGTTAGTAATACTATTTACAGCGAAGAGCTGGGAGATAATGGAATAGAGACAAAGTAAGTGTGACAGGTGGAATAATAAGAAATAAGTTCATAGACTTAAGAATTGAGGACATCATTTTCAACCAATGAACACTTATAAAGTTCTTGGTTTTTATTTTTAGTGTGAGGAAATACTGTATAGGGTTTGTGAAGAGAAATGATATAATCCAACCTACTATTTAACAGTATAACTCTGGCTCCTATATAGAGATTCAACTCAAGAGGAATAAGAATAAAATTACATGCATGCTACCACACTACAGCAATAATTCTGACACTAAAAAGACAGTTATCTGGGCCAGGATGGTAGCAAAAAATGTGTTCAGACACCAAATGTATTCCATATTTAGAAGAACTTTAATATATTAATTGAATGGAAGTAAAGTGTGTTTAATAAAAATAAAATTCCAAGATAATTCTTTTTTTTTCGGTGGGGAGAGAGCATGTTTTCTTAGTATTGCATTAAATGTCTATGAGCTGATGATACAAAAGAAAAGCAAACACAAGGACATGGGTATAGATTCTTACTAATTGATGAAAACCATTCAAACTGCAAACACAGTTTGCAGATATTAATTGCAAAAGTCTGAGACAAACACTTTCCGAGATGTGAGTGTATCAATAGGATTCTGATGTTACCAGGACTACTTTGATATTCCTTTGCATTTGTTTTCTGCATTAGCCTGAAATTCCCCCATTGAAGTTGCTGGAACCACTGACTATCCCGTCCTCTCTAGAACTTCAGTTTAAATAATCAGAAGTACATTTGCTTCCCAGGCTGCACTTCTGCTTATTGTTCAACTTTCAAAGGGCAAAGTGTCCTTTTCTGAATATTTGATCGAATGCCCAGAATTTAAAATGATTTCTCCACCTCTCTGACTTGTGGCTGAGAAAGCTGTCACTCGCAGACAGTTCTCCCTAAGATGTGTGTCTATATCTGAAACAGTTACAGAAAGCCTCTCCTGGCCACATAGAGTTGAAAGAAATAGTTAGGCTTGTAAGAAAAGTTATTGAAAGGTGACAAGAATTACATAATAATATGAGCTGAGTGTACAAATGAGTCCTCAGGAGAGGAGGGCAGTGTCCTCACTTCAAGCCAAGTAAAGGCCCCAGGCCCACCCATTGCTGGCTTGAATGCTCTGTTTCAGCTTAAGCTAAAGCCTATATTTACCCAGTTCTGGAGCTCCTCTGTGTTTTATTTACTTTTTAAAAATTCTTAATTTGACTTTTTTTGTGGGTACATAATAGATACATATTTAGAGTATATGAGATAATTTGATGCAGGAAGACAATGCATAATAATCACATTACTTCAACATAATTCTTAAATCTTTGCTTGACCAAGTAAAGGGTGGTTTTCCATTAATGTGTGATTAAAATTTAGATATTGCTAGTACTGACCTGGCAGTTAAATTATAATGATAAAGTATGTTAATTATATATCTAAAGCCCATTGAATATTGTCTGAACAGTGCTCAGAAAAAAAAATTATTATTATTTTCATCTAGCCATCATTATTTGAAAGAAAAAATAGCTGTTCATATTTTGCTATGCTGAATTACAGGGTTTTTTTGTATTTATGTTATATGGCACTTTGGCATGACACTATGAATCAGAGGACTATGCCTTAAATTAGACAATATCTTACATAAAATATAGTTTACATCACTATAATAGCGAAAGTATAAGTCAAATGTGAACAGTCTAAATCTTTCATATTGCACATAGATTATTGTATACTTTTCTATAATATTATGTGAATACATTTTAGCTTATACAATGAAGAGGATAAGGTAGTCCTAATTAAAATAGAATTTAAGCAATTTCTCAGCATAAGTGTTGTCTACAAAGTGATAGATTCTGTTGGCCATCTTTGTAACTCAAATTGACAGGATCCATTTTCTAAATCATAGAAATAGACATAAATGAAAGCAAGATAAAACCATAGCTTATAAAAATGACTAGAAAAATGGAAAGAGCCTATAAATACATGAAATTATATCATGCATTTATAAGATGAGAATGAGCCAAAAAACATATTATTAAACAATAAATTCCTACTACATACTTGTTTCTAATTGCAAACGAAAACAAATAGGGGAACCTATAAATATATATTCTGGACGACATGGATATCAAAGCAAAAATTAGATCATAATAATTTTATATAGCATTAGTATTTGATAAGGCAAAGTTTTGAAATAAATTAAGAAAGTAGAGGAAATAATATATATTTAAAAGATCTGAATAAGTTAGTTGACAGTTTGAATTACTGAAAAAACATTAAAATATTAACTCAAAATGGAGGTTACATTCTATTTTAAACATCCATAAAGCACTTAAAAAACAAAGAGGACAATTTTACAAAGAAAACAAATTTCAAAAGGTAAAAAAAAATTGCTTGAATGAAAACAATCTAGTAACTGTTACAAAAATTTAAATAAAAAATCAAATACTTGGAAAATGGAAAATAGCTTCTAAAATAACCTTTAAATAGCACAGAAAAACAATACTGTGATTCCAGAATACGTAAAAGAAAAATTTAAAAATAAAAGACCTTTTATCACTCTGCCTGACTAAAGTTTATGAGATGTCACAACATCTGAATTCATCGTCAATTCTTTGCTTTACAACTTTTCTGTATTAAGAAATGTAAAAATCAATGAATAAAGCATTTAATTCAAGGATTTATTTTTAAAACTAAAACTTGTACACATCAGGAGCAAGGCAATGATTTTTAAAAACACACAGAATTTTAACAAAGAAACAGTTTGACTCTTTACAGAAGTCAAGTTTTCAAATGTTTAACACACAAAAGAGATATCACTGCATGTAGATTTTTAATGTGGTGAGTTAATATTTCAAGTCCAAAACATTGTGAAATGAGTCTTGATTTTGCCTATGTACCAAGAAAAAATTTATATTAGCGTTGTCAATGACAAAGAGATTATCCAATGTTAAACTTGTAAATGGATACAGAAAGCTGAAAATCAGTACACAGAAAGTGATATTTAGTTTACATATGTTATACACATGCACATATTCAAAACTATTGATCTCGAAGAACATGCACAAAACTCGATATTTGTTTTTCTTAAACTGAAAACAAGTTTATTAGAAAAATAAAGAAACAAAAGAATGGCTATGCCATAAGCAAAACAGCCAAAACTCAATATTTTGAGGGTTTCTATTTTCCTTAATATTTTATAATATTTTTCAAATTTTCTCTAACAATATATGCTATTTTATTATAACTTAATTTTATCAAAATATTTTATTTCCTAAAGTCCAAATTGTGAACTACTGATATTATCTTTTTTTTTCCTTTTTAGTTGCTTGTGTGCCTGTAAATTAAATTAACCAAAAGTAATTTGTAAAACACAAGTGAATATCCTTCACAAAAGGCATTGTGCTGGAATGCAAGTCTTCTAATGAGAATAGGCAGCATTGATTATTGTCACCTTAAATACTTTACAGCTACTCTCTGATCAAATTTGGAGTTATTATTTATCTTGTGCACTTAAGGAAAGAGAGTTTTAAATTTTAGGTAACATATTCTGGGTTGTATAGCTGAAAATGTAGCATATTTAGAATCTAACTCTTGGAAAACTTTATTTCAAAACAGTACTCCTAAAGACTCTGTTATAATTCTTCCCCATATAATAAATGAAATAACTTCTGAGACTGTTATCACTGTGCCCCAAATCGTTGTTTTCCATAATAAATTTACCTACAACTGAAGTATGCATAGGAATTTGTGTAATATAATTTTAAAGGACAACCATATTTTCTTATTTTCCACATCAGTTGCTTCTAAAAACATATATTTAGACTGTAAATATGACACACATATTATTATTTTTTGTTTTGTTTTGTTTTGTTCTGTTTTGTTTTGAGACGGAGTTTCGCTCTTGTTGCCCAGGCTGGAGTCCAATGGCACGATCTCGGCTCACTGCAACCTCTGCCTCCCAGATTGAAGCGATTCTCCTACCTCAGCCCCGCAAGTAGCTGGGATTACAGGCATGCACCACCACACCCAGCTAATTTTTTGTATTTTTACTACAGACCACATTTCATCATGGCTAGGCTGGTCTTGAACTTCTGACCTCATGTGATCCACCCACCTCGGCCTCCCAGAGTGCTGGGATTATAGGCATGAGCCACCGTGCCCGGCCAACACATATTATGATTTCTAATTACAATCTGGATTTCTGAAAACATACACCTTGAAATGTTCAAGATCACGTTTAGTCAAGCAAAGGTTAGCACAACAGAAATGCAAACATGAAGGATTCAATTGTTTTTATAGGGAGACCAAGGACATACCAAATAGAAAAGAAAGAAAAGATGAGTTTAAATGTTCAGCATTCCTGCTATTTTAATTACCTGGAGTCCTGTCTTCTCTGCATGACTCTAATGAGAGCATTTTTAACTTCTTTGTTTCTAAGACTATAAATGAGTGGATTCAGCATGGGAATCACAATAGTATAAAAAACAGAAGCCACTTGATCCCTTCCCAAAGAATAAGACTTTCTTGGTTTTAAATAAGTAAAAATCATAGTTCCATAAAAGATGGTGACTCCCAAGAGATGAGAGGCACAAGTAGACAAAGCTTTCTGCTTTCCTGAAGTGGAATTAATTTTCAGGATGGTAGAGAGAATGGACACATAGGATGCAGATATTGTGATAAGGGACACCATCAGGGTGGAACCAGCTAAAATGTGTATCATGATTTCAATGTCGTATGTGTCCATGCAGGACAGAGCTAAAATTGGAGACGTGTCGCAGAAAAAGTGACGAACTACATTTGAGTCGCAGAAATGCAGTCTGCTCATCCAAACCACATTGACAAAGGAGTTGATAAAGCTAATCACATAGGGCCCAGTGACAAGAGCGCAACACAGCCTTTTGGACATAATAACTGGGTAACGTAGAGGACTGCAGATAGCTACGTAGCGATCATAGGCCATTGATGAGAGAAGAAAACATTCAGCAGCTCCCAAGAAGACAAAAAAGAACATCTGGGCAAAGCAGCCCATGAAGGAAATATAGTTGGAAGTCAGTAAGTTCGCTAAGGTTTTAGGTGTGATGACAGTTGAGTAACTGAGGTCAATAAATGACAAGTGAGTAAGGAAAAAATACATGGGAGTGTGAAGCTGGAGGTCCAGGCGGATTATCAATATCATCCCCACATTGCCCAGCATAGTAATTAGGTATATCAGGAGAAATAGTATAAAGAGGGCCATCTGGACCTCTTCAGAATCTGACAGTCCCGTAAGGATGAAGTCAGGCACATTTGTGTTATTTCTTCTACCCATGATGTTCAATTGCTTTAAACTGCTGAGAAATCAAAGTTGATACTTAACATGAATGACTTCAAAAGGTTTCTGATTATACAATAACCTAGCATTTAATTCATTTAGTGTTTCTATAAATTGCTAATACATTTATAGAATGTGACCTTAAAACGGAATTATATTGCCAATGTAGATAAAAGTGTAAATTAACATTTAGATGTGATATAATAAAATGTAACATATTGCATAATTAGAATGAACCTGACCTTGTTCTGAATGCCTTCCTTTATTAATACATTTAATCCACAAGAAAATACTATGCCATAGATACTACTATTATCGACATATTTTAGCCGAGAAAAAAAGAGTATGGAAGGTTTGAGTAACTTATCCAAAGTCAGAACAATTAAATGTTGACGCTGATTCTGCCAACATATGTTGACTTCAGAGAGAAGGCTTATAATACTATACTCCTGTTTATAAATAATTTCAGAAAACCTGAGAAAGAGCTAAACATGTAATAAACAATGAGAGGAAACAGTTTTTAATAGATTATTTACTGCCCCTTTGTTTCTAATATTATTTAATGGTAATTTTAAATAAATTTCACACTTAAGGATTTTAGCAGGATACATTAAAATTATAGACCATATATAAGTATTAATTTATACAAATATGATGTTTTAGTAACTTAACCAATCAAAATCAAATTTCTTCCAAAAATTATATGATCAAAATATGTACTTTGCTTGTAGACTCTGATTCCATCAACTCTACATATCTCTTTTCACAAACCCGGACATTACTCAGGGTAAGGACTAGATGACATGTATATGTATATTCTTATGATAAAGTCCTGAATTAATTTCATCTGAAATAAAATCTTCCAATTTTGAGAATAATACTTACCGTGTCTGAGCCAAAGTTGGTGAAAAAGCTTTCTTCTCATATTATCTGTCTAGAAATTTGTCAACCTCAATTTTTCTTATAAATAAAATATGAAAACCATTTAAGGAGATAAAATTTTCTCCGATATAATATTTGTTTTCCTTGAGATAAGTTGTTTTTACATTTTTGTGCATTCATTTTGTTTTATTCTGTGTCAAAAAACCAACCTAGAAATTTCGTTTAGGTCCTGGTCAAATGGAAAGATTACCAGGAAGTTGTGTGTCAAAAGAACACTGGGAATCTCTGTGACTATAGGTAGATTATTCTTTACCTCTCACTCTGATAATTCCAGAGTACCTAATATATGAGGGGCTGATGATAATGCACCTTTTGGTAGTCCCTGTGGACCAATTTCCAATGAAGAATTGCTTGGTATGTTTCCAAGGATAAAGGTGCAAGGAATAAAACAGCCACGATAGATTTTGAGCAAAGGTTTTCCTTTTTACCTTACAAGCCACACAAATGAAGGAAATTATGGATTGGTCTTTTCTTGTGATGTTTTCAATATTTTACTGGGATGGTGGAGAAGCCATTTCCAGAAAAATAATTATTCTCTGACACCATCAAAGATGGAATAACACATTTTTTTCAATTAAAATTTTGTATATTTAAATGTATGATACTATCATAGAAGTAAACATGTTAATTAGAAAAGAATCGGCCGGGCGCGGTGGCTCACGCCTGTAATCCCAGCACTTTGGGAGGCGAAGGCGGGCGGATCACGAGGTCAGTAGATCGAGACCATACTGGCTAACACGGTGAAACCCCGTCTCTACTAAAAATACAAAAAATTAGCTGGGCACCGTGGCGGGCGCCTGTAGTCCCAGCTACTCAGGAGGCTGAGGCAGGAGAATGGCGTGAACCCTGGAGGCGGAGCTTGCAGTGAGCCGAGACAGTGCCACTGCAGTCCGGCCTGGGCAAAAGAGCGAGACTCTGTCTCAAAAAAAAAAAAAAAAAAAAAAAAAAGAATCAGAATATAACAAAATTCAAAAAAGAAAATGAAAATAATTCTAAACTGTTAACATTTTGTAAACAGTATAATTTTTACTAATTATTTTCTTTTGTGCACTTAATTCCTATATGTACATGTATGTATAGGTTGCATAATAATACTATATATTCAGTGTATTTTCATCATCTGATAACCAAAATTTTTTGCTATGCCATGAACTGTGTTATATTAACCTTTTATAAACCCTACAATTCTATGGTTCAGGTTTTGGCTAGTGCCCCGGGGATAACTTACTAAGTTAACTAACTGTTTACCAGCTGATAAGTAGACATTTTGAAGCATTACCAAAAAAGTGATGCAGGTGATTTATTCTGGTTTGGCAGTGTCACCTAATTCATCTACATGAAATATTTGTGCAATATGTTTTGCTATTTTCATGTACTTTTTAAATTTTTATGAAATAAAAGTGAGAGCAAAAGGACACAATCAGCCCTGAGACCAATAAACATTTTATAATGAATTTAGTTGCTTAAAACTTACTTCCTCCATATATAATCAGGTCAAATTTTTTCTTAAATATGGGTTAAAAGTATATAGAAATTGAGCTGAACTATTGTACAGAGAACTATTTGCCCAAGATGGGGAAGCAAAGGAAGAGTCTGGAAGAAAACACAGTGTGAATCAGGGTAAAATATTAATGTGGTTTTGTGTTAAGTAATGATAATAAAATCAATTTTCATGTAAATTTAAAAGTGAGTCTAGAAGGAAGCATGACCATAATCTAGAATTTCAGGAGATAATTTGTTGGTATGTATAAAGCGGCTACTTTTGTATGTATTTATTGTACATTTGATGAGTTTTTGGAAGAGCAATTCTGTTCATCAGAAATTTAGTGATCCTGAGACAGGCTAATGTGGAGATTAAAAAGCCAGAATCACACCCTTTGACAATAGGTATCATTAGGTTTTAAGCCAAATAAGAGGCAAAAAGTGACTTTTTACGTCAAGGCCACCTCAATAGACTTGGTGATTGCAAAGTTGCCATGAACAAGGGGTTTTCTTGCTCATGTTTTTTCTAACGTTAAAAACTATTTTGTTCAGGTTCAGAGTTGTTTATAATGGCAAGAAAATTATTTTACCATTTACTATGTCATGGCAAAAGCCTAATTCTGATCAGAGATTTTAAATCTCTCAATTTAAATGATATATAGTGTAATGCTCTAGGTAATTATATTTTATTTTTGTTATTATTTATTTATTTAGAGACAGAGTCTCGCTTTGTTGCCCAGGCTGGAGTGCAGTTGTGCTGTCTTGACTCATTGCAACGTCCACCTCCTGGGTTCAAGCGATCCTCCTGCCTCAGCCTCCCAAGTATCTGGGACTACAGGTGCTTGCTACCAGGCTGGGCTTATTTTTTGTAGAGACAGGGTCTCACTAAGTTGCAAAGGCTTGTCCCGAACTCCTGGGCTCAAGCGATGTTGCTGCCTTGGCCTCTCAAAGTTCTGGGATTACAGGTGTGAACCACTGTGCCTGGCCTTAAGTCATTATGTTTTAAACCATGTTACTTATGCCCCTTCTATTCTCTCTCTCTCAATCTCTCTCTCTCTTCTGGATTATGTTTACTATTGTTTTCTTTGTCTTTCATCTTTGACTCAATAAAAAAAATGAACTTTTTTTGATAAATTTTGTTCAAATACTTACTAACTTGCTTATTCGTTAGTTATTTTAGTTATTTGTGTTTTATTATTTTATTTCCCCTACTTTATCAGGTTGCATACTTTGACTAGGTAATGAAAATACCTAGTAAAAGTATTTTCTTATGGTTACCTGTTTAATAATACCAGAATTTAATATTTGCATTATTCATCTGGGTGTCACTTTTCACTTATATAGATGATCTGAATTATTCCTATTGTGGCATATTATGAAAATAGTGTAAAGTTAATTTTTTATTTCTTATTTGACTAAGATTAACCTCAGTTATGCTTAGTCATTAAGTTATTAAAATCTTAATAAAATTATAATTCTAATTTTTTAAAATTTTGAGTTAAAATTATTTTTATCTTACAAATATTGATTGATTGATTTTTATTTATTTATTTTTAGAGATGGAGTGTCACTCTATTGCCCAGGCTGAAGTGCAGTGGTATGATCTTGGCTCACTGCAGCGTCTGCCTCTGGGTTCAAGCGATTCTTCTGCTTCAGCCTCCCTAATAGCTAGGACTACAGGTGTGTGCCACCACATCTGGGTACTTTTTATATATTTTTGGTAGAGACTGGTTTTCACAATGTTGGCCAGACCGGTACTGATAAAACTTTTTCAATGGTTATCTTCTAAAAACACCTGGGAGAGTTCATTAAATCAGGTTTAAGTCTCTTTTCAAGGAAAGCACCACCTCTCCCACCCCACACACATGAACAATACACACACATTTTCTTCCTTTAATGCTATAGAATTAACAAAGTTTTTCCGTTTGATTTGGAGATGCAAGAGTCTCTGTATATATCCAAAATATTCTAGGAATTATGCTACCACCAATGAGACATCTATAGTTAATGATAAATTAAACTCTCCTTTTTTTATAGAAAATATATGCCATAAACAGAGCACTTTTCTATGTAATCTAAAATTGTGTTCATACATATATGATGAAGAACTCATCTGTTAGGGGCAAATGACTCCATAGTATCAAGAGATTTCTCTATACTGCCTGGTATCTGTTGTTCCATTAGTGATGGCACTGAAATTATTTCAATCTTTCATTTTTCATTGTGGCTAATATTTGCTTTGTTATTTTTATTTTTTGTTTGTTTGTTTAGTTCTGTACTCTTTGCTTTCAGGTGATCAGCTGTCATTTAATATTTTTAGTAAAATGTAACTGTTCTTATTCCTTCATCTTCCATTTTTCTACTCTCAAGTTGCCAATAGCTGAGAAAACAGAATGTCAAATTATATTGTCAATTTAATTTTTTTTTTTAGTTTTTAAAACATTTTTTAGTTTTTTATGGGTCCATAGTAAATGTGTATATTTATGGGGTACATGCGATGTTCTGATACAGGCATGCAATGTGAAATAAGCACATCTTGGAAAATGGTTTATCCGTCTTCCAAGCCTTTATCCATTGAGTTATTATGTTGGTGCAAAAGTAATGGCGGCTTTTGCCGTTTGTTTTATGTTTGTTTTGTTTTGTTTTAATAACAAAAACTGCCATTACTTTTGCACCAGTCTAATACAAACAATGCAGTTACGTGATATAAGCCAGGCACAGAATGACAAAAATTGCATGTTCTCAATGTAATAATTTTGAACCTGTTTCAGTGTGATGGCATACTCACATATGAATGTTCGGATGCCTCTTATTTCCTTGTACATGTCTATGTCTGAATAATTTATATTCTGAATTGACCTCCAAATACAGGGTGTTAGTGGTCCATATAATGAAATAATAATTAAACTTACAAACTGCAAGTCTCTAAGTTCTCATTTAGTTTGTGTTATGCTTTTTGATGTTACTCTGCTATTTTCCTAGTTGTTGGCATAATTGAATTACTGAAGCCATCCACGTTTGTTTTAATTATAACATACATAAATTTGTCATGGAAAAAGTTTTCTATGTATGACTCTCAAAGAGCATTTTTTACATCTTTGTTCCTCAGACTCTAGATGAGTGGATTCAGCATGGGAATGACAGTCATATAGAATACAAATGCCAACTGTGCGTGGATCAGGGATGATGTTTTATCCAGTTGCAAATAGGTGAAAATCAGGGACCCATAGAAGATAGTTAACCCATGAGGTGGAATGCGCAGGTGGAGAAGGCCTTCTGCCATCCTGCTGCCCACTGGTTCTTCAGGATGGCTGAGGTGATGGCGATATAAGTGACTGTGATGATAAGGATAGAGCCAAGAAGAGTGAATCCAGCTAAGGCAAAGCTCACCATTTCTGTGCTGAATGCATCTACACAGGACAGTGCTAAAAGAGCTGTGGTGTCACAGAAAAAAAAGATTGATGCTGGAATCACAGAACAAAACCACTTATCACACAGACAGATACCAGAGAATTTGTGAAACCTATCGTGTATGACATTACTCCCAGCCAGTTGCACGCTTTCTAAGAAATGACTACTGAATGAGGGATTCCAGATTGCTACATAGCAATCATAGGCCATTGATCCCAGCAGGAAACACTCAGTACACACCAATCCAACAGAAAAGTACATTTGAACAAAGCAGCCAACAAAGGAGATGGATCTCTGATTGGATTGGAAATTCGCCAATGTCTTAGGTGTTACGGAAGAGGAGTAAAATATGTCAATGAATGCTAAATTGCTGAGGAAAAAGTACATAGGGGTGTGAAGCTGAGAATCCATTCTGATTAACATGATCAGTCCCAGGTTTCCCAAAATAGTGAATAGATAAATGAAGAGAAACATCAAGAAAAAACTGACTTGTAATTCAGGGTGATTTGCATATCCAGAGAGGATGAAGACAGTCACCTCAGTGAAATTGCTGCCAGCTGTTTATATCAACTCAGGCCTTTGACTTACCTGCTCAATAACAATAAGGAAAGTTAGAGAAGGATTCAAATCTAAAGGCCCTATAATCAAATTTGACTCAGACTTCAACAATGAAAGAGTTACAAATGGAAAGGAAAATTTAGTGATTTCAAGTTAGGGATTTATGCATAATTTTTATTTTTTACAAATTGACAGACATTAATTAAAACAAAGTTCACAATTTTGTGGACTAAAAAACATGTGTCTGGAAGGATGTCTAGGACGAAAGATTCCTCCTGAGATGTACCATTCTCTGCCCCAGTCTAACATCGGGTCTTGCAATTTAATGAAAATAACTGTATCTAATGAATATTCTAATTTATCTAATGAAATTAATTTTATCTAATGAATACAGTAATTTATCTAATGAAATTAATTTTAGCTAACAAATATAGCAATTTAATGAAATTAATTGGTGATTTATCTAATGAAATTAATTGTATGATACTCAGCAATTTATCTAATGAAATTAATTATATGATACTCTTAGAAAAAATAAAAAACCCATTTAGAAAAGGAAGTTCTACAATTTGTGAACTTAGTAATTCCTTTTTGTTGCAGTCTTATTTTCTTAACATCTAACTACTTCACAGGATTATTTTAGGAGCTTAATAAAATCTTAGGCGGACATAGCTAATATTTCCTTGGACTCTGTAAAGCTTTTTAGATTTTGTTAAGAAAAAAATAGAAAAGACAAAACTAGACACATCCCGCTCACTTGACATGTTAATGCTAAAACTTCTTATACCTTTTTCTCCTATCATGTATTCTTTCTGTCTTTGGGTGAGGTGAGACCAAATGTCTTGCTCGTCATGAAGGGCATTTTTCTTAAAGCCTCATGGAAGACGCAGACATTAAAAAATAAAAAGTTTCTCAATGTGAGAAACATGCAAATAATACTCACAGGCTGGCAGACATGCAAATTTTAGGGGAAAAAAAGGTAATAAAATTAGATATGCCTGGGATTCAATAATCCAAACGAAACATCCTTTTTTTCAGTTATCTTCCATTTATTTTCAGGTTTGTTATATTTGCCTCATCTATAATTCTGAATCCCATGAATTGTCAACATAATGACTTGGATCTGTTGTTGTTGTTACTGTAGTTATTTAGCACAGAGCTCTATTTCCTATATAATGGACCCTAAATATTATGATGTTGATGAAAAATATTGGTGGTTTTGATGATAATGCTGGGTATTATATATATTATCTTCCATTGATAAGATAGAAATAAGAGCCAAATTAACTTGTTAACTTGTTTTTGTGTGCATTCTTGAGAATTGAAAGTTTATATTTTTTGTTCACGTCTAGATTCTTATTTAGAATTAGTTTTGATCTTAGCGTATTTCTAAAGCAATCCCATGACAAAATATTTTCTTCTGAAATCTCATACGTTAAGCAGTATTCTTATACCTGCAACTCTTCCTCAAACACTTAAACTCACCTAATAAAGAGGTTAGACAATTATCATCTTTAATCTCTTGAGATTCCTATCTTAATTGTACTCGAGGATCTCTTCTTAATTTGTCTGGGGTATGTCTCCAATAGAAGTCTTTGGAAATGTATAATATTTATTTTTGTGTATTCAGTTAAATAACAGCAGATATTATTTAAAAATTCAATTGATGTAGCTTTAAAAATCATGCTATTTACATGTTATTGGTAGATGTATACATGAAACATTTATGAAAAATTAAATCATTATGAAAATAAAGGTGACATATGATGTTAGGGTATCTCAGATAACCACTGTTTCCCAGATAACCCTCTTATGCAACAGAAGTAAGCTTTCCTACTCATTGACTTAATACTGTTAATATGTGTTGAAATTACATTACCATCCATGTCAACAATCATAGATGTGTTTACTTTTAACTCAGGCAGTTATTTTTAATTGTGCTTAATGGTATATACATAATATCATTGGCTGATAATAAGTATGCCATCTAAGAAAATGAACAAGAAACCTACGGTACAAATCAAACTCATGCTTTCCATTTAATGATCAATTTATGAGTAAATACAATATTTCTCACAATTGTATTCACATTATTATCATTTATTTTTGTTTGTTTGTTTCAGAGCAGCTTCCTAGCCTATGCTACTATACAGATTCTGGTTTATTAGGTTTGGTATTGACCCATAAAATTAAATTTTTTAAAATGCCCCACGTTACATGGATTATACTTGGGCAAACACTAGCTTGGAAGGATCTCTCAGACTTGTCTAATTAAATTATTTTCTGCTGTGATTGTTACATTCTCCTTATTTCTTGTTTTTAAAGGGGGGCTTACTTTTAATTGACAAGTAATAACTGTTTATATTTATGGAGTACATAGTGGTGTTCCAAAACATAATGTGTAGTGACCAGGTTATACATATCTATCATCTCAAACATTCATCATTTCTTTGTGTTGGGAATATTCAGTATCCTCCATCTAGCTGTTTGAACCTACATAATATGATATTGTTAACTGTAGTCATTGTACGGTAGTACAGAACAATAGAACACATTCCTCTTCTCAAGCTGTAATTTTGCATCCTTTAACAAATCTCTTCTTACTGTTACATAATGAAACAAGACAGATATTTTCATGGGGAAAAGAAAATACATTTTTCCTAGCAACAGAAACCATCTCTAATGTTACCTGTCACATTAGAGGTTTTAAAAAAGTAATAAAATCTATTATAGATGTGCCTTATCACTCACTGATAATATTATCAGATATTAGGACAAAATAAATGGTATACAGTAGTCCCCCATTTTTTGTGGTTTTACTTTCTGTTGTTTCAGTTACCCTTGGTCAACGAGTCTAAAAATGTTAAATGGAAAATTCCAGGAATAGACAAATTAGAGGTTTTTAAATTGTGCATTTCTGAGTATTGTTATAATGGTTCCATTTTATTAGTGGTTATTGTTAATCTTTTACTGTGTCTAATTTACAAATTAATCTTTATCACAAGTATGTATGTATAGAAAAAAGTATATATCAAGTTTGGTAGTATCTGAAATTTCAGGTATCCACTGGGGTTGTAGATTCTTTGAGGATAAGGAGAGACTGCAGTAATTTTTCCCCCAATAAGTGTGCAATTTGATAAAATTATACTTTGAAAGAATTGGGCTGTACCCCTTCAATATTAACTTTTCATCTACTCTTACTTATTTGTTCAACACAAATTGATTAAACAGCTATTAGACAGCAGGCACTATGCTTTTTGTGGGACTTCAACTATGAAAATGATATCATTTCTCCTTTCACACTACCTAGAGTTAATTGTCTCTTTCAAGATTCAAATTTTGTCTCAGCTATTTAATATTCCGATATTTGGTGAACTAATATGTATAGTGTTCACAAATACACAATTGCTATAGGGGCTATTGTTGACCATGTTACAGGACAAATAGACATTTAATAACTACTTGATTAACTGAATTTACATCTTCCTGCACATCTATTTTGATTTCTGTCAATCAAATCTTTTTAACTTTTCATTAACTATTTTAGCTTTACTAATGTTAACTTAATCATAGGGTGAATATTAATACTTAAGAAATGTATGGTGATAAAACAGTATTAGCTAAACTACAGACTTACTAAATTTCACCAAGTTTTCCACTGAAGTCCTATTTTCTCTTCCAGGATCCAATCCAGGATGCCAGGTTGTGGTTAGTGTCATGTCTCCTTAGTCTATCGGAGTCTGTTCCTGTTCAATATTCTTTTCTTTTCTTCATGACTGTGATACTTTTTTAGTACCTGTCAAGTATTTTATAGGTTATCCTTCAATTAAAACTTGCCTGATGTTTTCTACTGATTAAATTGAGGTTTTTCATAATTGGGAATAGTTCCAGAGAGGCAATCTGTATACCATTTTCCATTTTATCACAGGGTATATGTGTTGATAGGTGATATTATTAGTGATATTAAACTTGATCATTTAAAGTAGTGTGTGCTGGACTTTTTTTACTGTAGAAGTATAATTCTATCTTTGTATTTATTAAATATTTATTGGGGGAAAGCTAATTTAGACTATGTAAATATTTCATGACTACTTTTTACTATTCATCAATGTTTGTTGCTTGTAACAATTATTACTGTATAATTTTGGTAAAATTTACTATTTTCCTTACTCTTTCTATATATTGGAATTATTCTGTAAGGAAGAGTTGTTATTTCTCCCCTATATGTTTATTTATTCAGCCTTCTATTTAAATCAATATGCACTCATAATTATTTTACTCTTTATGTTATTATCTCATACTGACATCATTTATTCTGTTGTTCAAATCGTTCTAGCTTTGCTAATAGAATCACCATCAAATTGGCTCCTGGGCTCTTTGCTCTTTGAACATGTCCCTGTCTTTTAAAATTCTTTTTGTCACTGTTGTTTTGTTTTTACTTCTTACACTCTAGCAGCACAAAGTGCTCCAGGTCATCTTGTATTTTCCTGGACTCAGCTCTAAAATTAACCACTGCTCCAAGGAGTCTTGCTTTTATGAGACTACGGCATTTAGAAAACAGGATCTGAACAATATTATACTATTATATGTGTACTTATATATTTTCCCTTTAATTAGGATTCACACATATTTTGAATACTTTTACATTCTCAACATTTTGCAATTATAACTTTTCAAGTAAAGACTTTATGCTATGGTAAAAAATCTTTGTATTTGGAAACCATAATTCTGAATTTGTATCTAGAAACATCATATAATTACTTTGTGACCATGTGAAAGTTTCTTAAGCTCTCATATCGTCAGTGTCCATGTTTGCAAAGTGACAATACTAGAACCTGCCTCATGTGTTTGTGAATATTCAATTAAATATTATATATGAAGCACTTAAAATTATGTTGAGGATATGATAGGTATTTAATAAATATCTATCCTATGTTGGTAATACGAGTGACTTTATAATAATCTATTCTATTTATACAACCCCATTTATTAAACTATTTTCTCTACCGTTGGGTATCTCCATTAATCATAGTTTTAACATGTTTTTTGTTTTTTGAGATGGAGTCTTGCTATGTCACCCAGGCTGGAGTACAGTGGCGCGATCTCGGCTCACTGCACCCTCTGCCTCCCAGGTTCCAGCAATTCTCCTGCCTCAGCCTCCTGGGTAGCTGGGATTACTGGCGCCAGCCATCACGACTGGCTAATTTTTGTATTTTTAGTAGAGACGGGGTTTCACCAGGTTGGCCAGGATGGTGTCGCTCTCTTGACCTGGTGATCCGCCAGCCTCGGCCTCCCAAAGTGCTGGGATTACAGGCATGAGCCACTACACCCGGCCTATTTTTACAGTTTTTAACTTTTATTTTAGGTTAAGAGGTGTATGTGCAGGTTTGCTGTATAGATAAATTGCATGCCACTGGGGTTGTGTACAGACTGTTTTGTCACCCAGGTAATAAGTATAGCACCTGATTGCTACATTTTCATTCCTCACCCTTCTTCCACCCTCCTAATCTCAAGTATTCCTGTGTCTGTTTTTCCCTTCTTTGTGTCCACATGTACTCAGTGTTTAGCTTCCACTTATAAGTGAGACCATGCAGTATTTGGTTTTCTATTCCTGTAATAATTTACTTTGGATAACGCCCTCTAGCTCCATCCATATTGCTGCAAAGGACATAATATCATTCTTTTTAATGGCTGTGTAGTATTTCATGGTGTGTATGTACCAGATTTTCTTTATGCAGTCTAGCATTGATGGGCATTTAGGTTGATTCCATGTCTTTGCTATTGTACATAGTGGTGCAGTGAATATATATATGCACACATATGCCTTTATGGTAGAAAGATTTATATCCCTTTGGGCATATACTCAATAGTGGGATTGCTGAGTTGAATGGGGAGTATTTAAAGTTTTTTTCAGAAATCGCCAAACTCCTTTCAACAATGGCTGCACTAATTCACTTTGCTACAAGCAGTATATAAGCATTCCTTTTCCTCCACAATCTCACTGAAATTTGTTAATTATTGACTTTTAAATAATAGCCATGCTAACTGGTGTGAGATGGTATCTTCTTGTGGTTTTGATTTGCATTTCTCTAATGATGAGTGATGTTGAGCGTTTTTTATATGTTTGTTAGCCATGTGTATGTCTTCTTTGAAAAGTGCCTGGTCATGTCTTTTGACCACTTTATAATTGGGTTATTTGGTTTTTGCTTCAAAATGTATTTAAGTTCCTTATAGACTCTGGATATTGACCTTTGTTGGTTGCATAGTTTGTAAATATTTTCTCCCATTCTGTTGCAGGTTGTCTGGTTACTCTGCTGAAAGTTTCCTTTGCTGTGCAGAGCTCTTCAGTTTAATTAGGCCACATTTGTCAATTTTTGTTTTTGTTGCTCTTGGCATCTTCATCATAAAATCTCAGTTTGGACGTTGTTGATGTATAGAAATACCACAATTATTATAAATTTGTTTTGTACCCTGAAACTTTGCTGAAGTTGTTTATCAAATCTAGGAGTTTTGGGGTGGAGACTATGGAATATTCTAGGTATAAAATTATATCATCTGCAAACATAGATACTTTGACTTCCTTTCTTCCCATTTGGATCTCTGTCATTTCTTTCTCTGCCCTGATTTCTCTGGCTAGGACTTCCAGTACTAGTTGAATAGGAGTAACGAGAGTGGGCATCCTTGTCCACTTCCAGTTCTCAGGGTGAATGCTTCCAGTTTTTATCCATTCAGTATGATGCTGGTGTGAGATTTTCATCGATGGCTTATTATTCTGAGGTGTGTTCCTTCAATGCTTAGTTTGTTGAGGATTTTTTAACATGAAGCGATGCGAATTTATCAAAAGTCTTTTCTGGATCTATTGAGATGATTATGTTTTTTAAAAAATTTTTGCCTATGTGATGAATCACATTTACTTATTTGCATATGTTGAACCACGTTGCTTTTTAGGGATAAAACCTACTCAATCATGGGAATTAGCACTTTGATGTGCTGCTGGATCCAGTTTGCCAGTATTGAGAATTTTTCGTCTACTTTCATCAAAGCTATTGGCCTAAAATTTGTGTGTGTGTGTATCTCTGCCAGGTTTTGAGATCAGAATAATGCTGATCTCATAAAATAAGCTAGAAAGAAGTTTCTCCTATTTATTTATTTACTTATTTATGGAATGATTTCAGTAGAAATGGTACCAGTTCTTCTTTATATGTCTGGTAGAATTTAGCTGTGAGTTTGTCTGTTCCTGGGCTTTTCCAGATTTTTTATTACTGATTCAATTCCTGAACTCATTACTGGTCTCTTCTGGATTTCAATTTCTTCCTGTGTCAATCTTGAGAGGTTGTATGTTTCCAGGAATTTATCAATTTTTTCTAGGTTTTCTAGTTTGTGTGCATATTAGATGACTTTAATAGTCTCTGAAAGTTTTTTGTATTTCCGTGGGGTCATTGCCAATGTCCACTTTGTCATTTCGATTGTGTTTATTTAAATCTTCTCTCTTTTTTCTGTATTAGTCTATCTGGTGAACTATCTTGTCCATTCTTTTAAATAACTAACTTCTGGATTTGTTGATCTTTTGTATGGCTTTTCACATCTCAATTTAATTCAGTTTAGACCTGATTTTGGTTATTATTTGTCTTCTGTTAGTTTTGAGGTTGGTTTGCTTTTGTTTTTCTAGTTCCTCAAAGTGTGATGTTAGATTGTTAATTTGAGATATTTCTAACTTTTTGATTTGCGTGTTTAGAACAAGAAACTTTCCTCTTAACAGTACTTTAGCTGTTTCCCAGATATTCTGATATGTTGTATCTTTGTTCTCATTAGTTTTAATGAATTTCTTGACTTCTCCCTTAATTTCATTGTTTGCCCAGAATTCAAACAGGAGCAGATTATTTAATTTCCATGTAATTATATGGTTTTGAGTGATCTTCTTAGTATTGATTTCAATTTGTATGGTGCAGTGGTCCAAGAGTATGCCTGCTATAATTTCAGTTTTTTTTTAATTTGCTTAGAGTTGTTTTTATGGCAAATTATGTGGTCAATTTAGGAGTATGTGCCGTATGCAGATGATAAGATATATTCTATTTTGGTGGAGTGGAGCATTCTGTAGATGCCTGTTAGGTCCATTTGGCCAAGTATCTAGTTCATGTTCCAAATCTCTTTATAAGTTTTATGCCTCAGTGATGTCATATTGTTAGTGAAGTGTTGGACTCTCCCACTATTATTGTAGGGTTATCTAATTCTCTTTGTAGGTCTCTAAGAACATGTTTTATGGATCTGGATGCTCCTGCATTGAGTACATATATATTTAGAATAGTTAAGTCTTCTTGTTGAACTGAACCCATATTTAGCACTCCCTAAAGGACCACATAATGCCCTTCTTTGTCTTTTTTTAATGGTTGTTGGTTTACAGTCTTTGGTCTGATATTAGAATAGCAATTTTGTTTTGTCTTGTTTTCCATTTGCTCGGTAGATTTTTCTCCGTCCCTTTACTTTGAACCTATGGGTGTCATTGCACGAGAGATAGGTCTCCTGAGCACAGCATACAGTTGGGTCTTGCTTCTTTATGCAACTTGCCACTCTATGCCTTCTAATTGGGTCTTTAGTTCATTTACATTGGAGGTTAATATTGATAGGTGAAAATTTGATATGTCCCATTATCATGCCGTTATCTGGTTATTAAGCAGATTTGATTGTGTAGTTGCTTTACAATGTCGATCAATGGTCTATGTACTTAAGTGTGTTTATGTGGTGGCCAGTAAGTCTTTCATTTCTGTGTTTAACACTCCCTCAAGGACTTCTTGTAAGGATGGCATGGTGGTAATAAATTATCTTAACATTGGCTCATCTGAGAAGATCTTACTTGTCTTTTGCTTATGAAGCCCAGTTTGGCTGAATATGAAATTCTTGGATGGAGTTTCTTTTAAGAACACTAAAAAGAGGCCCTCAGTCTCTTCTGGCTTGTATAGTTTCTGCTGACAGGTCTGCCTTTAGCCTTATGGGGTTCCCACTGTAGGTGGCCTGCCCCTTCTCTCTAGCTTCCTTTAATATTATTTTCTTCCATGTCAACTTTGGAGAATTGACTATGTGTCTCAAGGATGGTTGTTTTGCATAATATCCAGCATGAGTTCTCTGCAATTCCTGAATTTAAATGTTGACCTCTTTAGTGACATTGGTGATATTTTCTTGGGTAATATCCTCAAATATGTATTCCAAGTTCCTTGCTTTCTCTCCCTCTCTTTCAGGGACACTAATGAGCCATACATTTGCTCACTTTACATAATCCCATATTTCTCAAAGGCTTTGTTCATTCTTCTTTATTATTTATTTTGTTTGATGGAGTTATTTTGGAGATCCATTTTTTGAGCTCTGAGGTTTTTTCCTCAGCTTGGTTGATTCCATGTTAATACTTGTATTATAAAATTATTGAAGTGAGTTTTTCAGCTCTATCAGACACATTTGCTTCTTTCTTAAAATGGCTATTTCCTCTTTACTCTCCTGTATTGTTTTATTATATTCCCTAGATTCCTTGGATTGAGTTTGGGCTTTCTCCAGAATCTCAATGATCTTCATTCCTATCCATACTCTGAATTCCATGAGTGACATTTCAGTTATTTCTTCCTGATTAAGAATCATTGCTGGGAAACTAGCGTGGTCTTTTGGAGGTAAGAAGACACTCTTTTTTTTTTTTTTTAGACAGAATGTCCCTCTGTTACCCAGGCTGGAGTGCAATGGCACAATTTCAGCTCTCTGCAACCTTGCCTCCCAGGTTCATGTGATTCTCCTTCCTCAGCCTTCTGAGTAGCTTGGATCATATGCACCTGCCACCATGCCCAGCTAATTTTTGTAGTTTTAGTAGAGATGAGGTATCGCCATGTTTGCCATGCTGGTCTCAAACTCCTGGCCTCAGGTGATCCACCTGCCTCAGCCTCCCAAAGTGCTAGAATTACAGATGTAAGCCATTGTGCCCAGCCCATTCTGGCTTTTTGAGTTGCCAGAGTTCTTTTCTGGTTCTTTTTCACCTATGTGGCCTGATGTTCCTTTAATCTTTGAAGTTACTGTCCTTTGCACTTTTGTTTTCTTTTTAATCATCTTTGATACCCTGGGATGTTTGATTTTCTTATGAGTTCAGTCAACTGGCTCTGACTCTGGAAGATGAGCTCAGCTCATCGCTCCTAGGCTGTGTGCTGTAATTGTGAGGGTTTGTATTGTGCCACTGACTTTGTTCTCTGACTCCTTTAGGTTAGAAACCTGCTGTGCTCAAGGGGTCAAGGTGTTTCCAGTCCACTGGCCCCAATACTGTGATGAGGGGTGCCAGCCAAAGCACTTTGTAAAGGTGGTGGCTTGTGATCCATGCTCACATATGTTTACCAGCAGCTGCAGTGTAATGGTGTGGTGCCCATGCATTGGAAGGGTAGTGATGGATTCACTGGCATCTACACACACATTTGTGTTGGTGGCATTGGTGGTGGCAATGGTTTAGTGCAGGTTGGGGAGATGGTTCCAGTGTCTGTACACACACTTGCACTGGCTACCTTAGTGATAACATGGCTGGCTGCCAGTGCCTCAGTGGGGGCAGCATGCCACCAGGGGTGGGTAGGATAGTGGGGTATTCTCATGCTGGCAGTATGATGGTGGGGTACGTGTGCACATATGCACTATCAGAGGAGGGGAGACAGATCCGCCCATATGCACATGCTAGTCAAGTTGTGGTGGGACTTCCATGTGGGGGGCGGGTGTTAGCAAAGCAGCAGGGGATGGTTGTGTATGGGCTGCTCATGTTGGCTTGGTCCAGTCTGCTAGACCTCTTCATTAGTTATGTGTGGCCTACCAGCAGAGCAGCTATGATGAGGGCCCCCAGAAAGCACTCTGATTGGATATTGGAGGCTGTGCTACAAGTAGGGACAGCCAGGCTGGAGCCACAGGAAAAGCTGGGAAACAGGGGAGCACTCAGATGAGACTGTCCCCATCACACAGACAAGATCACCCTGTTCTGTCCAGGTCTGTAAGTCTCCTAAAGGCTGAAGCCTCCTAGAGGAGCTTGGTGATCCTTGGGGAATGGGTATCCCTGGCCATGCTCCACTGAAGCTGTTCCTGCACCAAACCCTCTGTGCTCTGTAAAATCTGGAGTCCTGCCCCCATTACTTTTCTAAGCAGCAATTCCTGCCAGCTCAAGTGTCCATGGGGGATCATTGGTTCTCCTGCAACTAGGATTCTGGAGGCCCATGGATAAAGCAGGTTATTCTTTGTCTGTTTGACTCACCCATTCGCCAGGAGTGAGTGGGGTCCAGGAGTGGGTCCCAGTGCTCGGCAGGCCTGTGTAGGGTTCTCGACTTTCTACCCCTTTAGCCCAGTGTCTGCACTTTCTCTTTGTCTACTTTCAATGCCTTCTCTCTGAAGATCCATTCAGAGTGTGCCAGTCTTCCCAATGTCTCAGGAACTGGGAAATGTTATTTCTGGCTGTGTCCACTCGACCATCTAGGCTCCCCCTCTATATTGATATTTTAAATACCCTGTTTACCTCTTTTGCTACCAAAAAGTTGACTATTATATGTCTCTGTGAGAATCTTTTGTGTTTATCAAATTTGTTTGGTTTAGTCTCCTATATCTGCATATCACTGATATGTCTCTAATTGCAGGAGTTTTTGAAATATTTTTATTCTTTTCTCCTTAACTTCTGTTGCTACTCCAACTGACTCTATTGATAAACATAATAGTAGTACTGCAAGTGTCCAAGGATGTCTTGATTTTTTGGTGACCTTTCTTCTATTTTATTTAGAATGGATATTGTCTATTTACCTCTTTTTAAGTTGGTTGATTCTTCACCCTGCCTCTCAATCTTCTGTTGCATCTAACAAGTAAATTTTTCATTTCAGTTATTTTGTTTCTTAACTCCAGATTTTCTATTTGATTCTTTCAGAAAAAAAAAAATGCTTTTTTGATTTTCTCCTTTGGTAAGTCAATCATTTTCTACAGTACTTTTTTTTCTGAAAATTCTAACGCGTAGAACTGTCAAAAAACAAACTTTTGTTCTTTATAAATTGTCCACTCTTAGGTATTCTGTTATAGAAGCAAAAATGGACTCAAACAAATGCTCAGGCAGCTTACAGTTCTGCCAAAGGCTTCACTTTCTCCTTTTGCAGAGCCTCAAGTCAGGCATGGTTTCAGCCTCTAGGTTTGACACCTGAATATCTGTATTTTATGAACCTCTACCAATTGCATATTATACACTGAACCATGAGGATAAATTTTCTTAATATATTACTTCCATACTCAACTCTCAAATCTATTTTTAATGGATTCAAATTCTTTATTGATATTCATTTTTTGTGGATTTATTTTCTCAAGTACTGTAAACATTTTTCCAATTCTTTGAAATACTAGTTATGGTTTCTTTGAAATATGAGTCGGCTAAATCCAACATCTATGTCCAGTCACAGGCGGTGCTTATAGACTACCTATCAATCATATCCAAGTATAGGTCATTATTTCCTCTTTCTGTTTTTAATGACTCAGATTTGTACTGAGAACTGGAAATTTTGTAATATATTTTAGCACCTCCAAAATTTGATTTTATTTATTTTTTTCCCTCTATGATTCTCTGTTGCTGTGTGTGTTTTTGTTTCTTTGTTATAAAATACCTTGTTTAGAATTAATATGCAGAATTTGGCCACTAATTTATCTGCTCAGCATTTCCTTTGCATTATTAACTTTTAGCTTGACTTTCTAAGAGTTACCTCTTTGTCTTCTAGGTTAGTGGTCAAAGTTGTTCTAAAAATTTTTATTTCATAAGGCTTGCACCCTCTGCTGCTGACATGTGCCTGATTTGGGGAGCACATTAAACTGTATTAGTGTTCAAGTATACCCCAGCATTTACTTTCCTCTTGAGTACTCTCAAGTCTCCATTATGTGGGTATTTAGGTTGTCAGACAGCTGGTGATGTGTAGGATATTGGAGTTTTTATCAAATCCCTCAGTTGGCATCTCCTTTCTAGGAACTTTAAATTTCAGGCTAGTCCTCCCTGCTGCTACTTACCCCAACTATAATCATAACCTGAGGTTAAAAGAGTTGCGTTCACTACTGTGCATGGATTTTCTACCATTTACTCCAAATCTAATTACCCCCTACCCCTGCCTTTAACGTGGAAGTTGCTGGTTTTTGTGGATAGGCTTGCTCTGGACAAAAAATAAACAAGGTAAAATTATCAGACATGTATCATAGTTATATAATTATATATGATATAATGCAGGTATATAATGCAGAAAGAAACACAAATGTTACAATATTGATATATCACAAATAAAAAGTGACTTAAATACAGCAATGAAATTATAACAATAACATATATGCATGGTAAATACACACACATACACAAATTGTATGTGTTCACAGGATGACATTAGTAATATAGGACACACATATTAATAAAACATCAAGTTTTTGTCAAGACAGAAAAGAAAAATTTAGTTGAGGGTTAAACAGAATAAAAAAATGAAATGCTGCAATATGTAATAAAGAAAAAAACCAAAATCTAAATAATTTGTAAACAGAGACCTGATGGTAAGTCACAATAAAATAAATATTAAGATAATTTATTAATACTAATAAATTTACTGTGTTCTAAGTACTATTTTTATTTTTTATTTTTATAGGTACATAGTAGGGGTAATTATATCCATTTTTTATTTGAAGAATAAACAAAATTAAAATTAAATAATTTTATCCCTGATGAAATAAAAAGGAACAACATAAATGAGTAAAAAAGCAACACCTCTCCTTTGTGCATTATTTTATTCCATGTAAAATTCTTAAGTAAAGTAATAGGACAACGTTGAAAACCATCTCCACTCTGTCACCTTTTTGAGGAAACCACTGTGTATATACCACCTGCCGTGTATATACAATATTTTTTCTGTGAGCCTGCACTATAGATACAATATTTTAATCAAGAGTCCTCTGTGGTACAAATGCAAATTTAAGCAAGTGTAAAAAATAGGTAACAAACAAGTAAATTTAAAAAAACACTTCTTGGCCTGCTATTAGGCCTTAGAAACTGAAGTCTTGACTATCTTGACACATCATAAACTGCACGATTTCTGACTCACTCAGCCATAAAGTTGGACATACACAGTCCATTTTCCCTTCTTCATAATTTTACAAATAGATTTGTTCTCACTGCAGCTCTTAGCAACCTTAGCATAGGATTTTTTTTTTCTTTCATCTTTACACTGAAAGAAAGGAAGCACTTTATGCCTTCTCTTTGACATATCTGAATTGCCAGCATCATAACTCTTGCAGTATGGGACATCATTAAGTAAAATAACGGTTATGTAACACAGTTACTGCAATACTGTGACAGTCATCTGATAACCAAGATGGCTACTAAGTGGAACAGACAAGGAAAATATACACTGTGGATAACTGGACAAAAAATGATTCACGCCCTAGGTAAGATAGAGTGAAAAAGTGTGAGAATTTATTGTGCTATTTTGAATGATATGTAATTTACAACTTATGAGTTGTTTTCTGGAAATTCTCTTTAACATTTTTGGAACACAGTTGAATGCAGGTAACTGAAACCACAAAAAGCAAAAAATAGGTATCCAAGTGACTGCTGTATATGGTGTTCAAGACTGAACAGGCCCTGAGGCACAAGTAAGTTACATGAAGAAATAGCCTGATGCACATGGTCCCCGCTCCTCCTACACTATCTTCTGTCTCGCAGTCTCCACCCATGGCCTCATAGAGAGTGCCTTATGGTCAGATGACAGAGGAAGAAAAGACTCCAGTCCCATTTAAAGATAGTTCTGCATCATATGCAGACACCACCCTAAAAGTGGGCAACTGTAGCACTACAAGCCTTTTCTGGGACATTCCTGATGGACAGAAGTAAAGGGAAATACTCTCACTGTGCACAACTTTGAGTGGTGCACCTGGTGATGCACTTTGCTTAGAAAGTGATCATGAGAGAACAGACATGCGATAATTATGATTACATATGGATTCAGGGGCTGTGGCAAGTGGTGTGGCTAGATAGTAAAAAACGTGGAGAGGACATGATTGAAAAATTAATGACAAAGAAATTTAGGGAAGAAGTATGACCATAACTCTCTGAATGAGCAAAAAACGTGAAGATATTTGTGTCCCATGTGAATGCTCACCAAATGGTGACCTCAGCAGAGGAGGATTGTAATATTCAAGTTAATAGTATGACACATTCTGTGGATACTAGCCAGCCTCTTTCTTCAGGCACCCTGTCATCACCCAATGGGCTCACAAAGAAAGTGGACATGGTGGCAGGGACATAGGTTATGTGTGGTCTCACAGCAACATGGACTTCCACTCATGAGGGCCAACCTGGCCATAGTCACTGCTGAGTGTCCAATCTTCCAGCAGCAGTGAACAACACAGAGCCACTAATATGGCACCATTACCCAATGGGAGTAGCCAGCTGCCTGGCAGGAGTTTGGTTACATTGCACTGTTTCCAACATTTAAGAGCAGCATTTTGTTCTTAGTGCAATATATACTTACTCTGGATACAGATTTTCCTTCTCTGCAAGCAATTCTGCCAAAACTACCTTCCAAGTTATAGAATGCCTTATGTACCATCATGATATTCCACATGGCATTACATATATCAAGAAACTCACTTCACAGATAAAGAAGTGCAGCAATGTGTCCATGATCATGGAATTCACTAGTCATACTCACCATGCTGCCCAACATCCCAAAGAAACTGGCTTTGAAATTTTAATTACAATTCAGCTAGATGGCAATAATTTGAATAGCTGGGGAAAAGTTTGCAAGAAAGCTATATATGCTTTGAATTAGTCTCCAGTATATTGTGCTGTTTTTTTGCCATAGACTGGATCTAGTAGCCTAGGAATGAAGAGATGGAAGTATGAGTGACACCACTCACTATTTTTTTTAATTTTTTAATTTTTTTATTATCCTTTAAGTTTTAGGGTACATGTGCGCAATGTGCAGGTTAGTTACATATGTATACATGTGCCATGTTGGTGTGTTGCACCCATTAACTCGTCATTTAACATTCAAGACACCACTCACTATTAACCCTAGTGACCCACTGTCAAAATTTCTGCTTCCTGCTCCATTGACTTTAAGCTTTACTGACCTACAGGTCTTAGTCACAGAGGAATGAATGCTTCCACCTAGAGAAATAGCAATAATTCTATTGAATTGGAAGTTAAGACTCTTACCCAGCCATTTTGAGCTCCTCATGCAACTGAATCAATAGACAAAACAGGAAGTTATCACACTTGATCCTGACTTTCCAGGGGAAATTGGGCTATTACTTCACAATACAAGGAAGAATAAGCCTGGAATATGGGACATTCCTTAGGACATCTTTTATTAATAAGAAAAACTGTAATAATAATATACGGAAAACTGTAATAGCCCAAACTAGCCAGAACTACTAATGGCCCACATTCTTCAGGAATAAAGGTTTGGGCCACTTCACAAGGAAAAAAGAACCATGGCCAACTAAGGTGCTTGCTAAAGACAAAAGGAATAGAGTATGGAAAGAAGAAGAAGACGGTTATAAATACCAGCTATAATCATGTGGCCAGTTCAGAAATGAGGACTGTAATTGTAATGAGAATTCCATCCTAATTTTATTATAAATATGTCTGTGTATTTATTAAGATGCTTTATTCCATTTTTTATTACCTTATTATATAAATATGATATATGGACTTTACATCAATATTTAAATATTGTTACTTTTACACTGTAGAATTTTACTCTGAGAAAATCAGGAGAAGAGTCAGTATCACTCAAAGAATATATGTCCTGATTGGAATAAAGGATTAGTGAGTTTTTATTTATATGCCGGATAGTTGTGTCATGTAAAGCAAAACTATGACCTTGTTATTGTCTATGTTTAGAGAGACTAAGTATGGTTTAAGTACATGCTTATGTTTGCCAAGCTGACAAGGGGTGGAGTAATGACGATTAAAGTGTTGACTTAACTAGGCTATATGATGCCCAGATAGCTGGCAAACATTATTTCTGGGTGTGCCTGTGAGGATACTCCTGGAAGAGACTACGATTGTTAGACAGAGTAACTATCATCCTCACCAATATAGGTGGGTATCAGTGCAATCAATTGAGGCCTTGAATAAAACAAAAAGACAGAGGAAGGGTGAGTTCACTCCCTGCTTAAGCTAGGACATCCTTCGCTTCCTGCCATCAGACATTGACATCCCAGATTCCAGAGCCTTCGAATTCAGACTATGATGTACACCCTTGGCTCCCCTGGCTCCCAATATTTCAAGTTTGAACTGAATCTATACCACCAGCTTTCTTGAAGTTTGCAGACAGCAAATCACAGGAATCCTCAGCCTACATAATTGCATAAAACAATTCATAATAAATCTCTATTATCTATCTATCTATCTATCTATCTATCTATCTATCTATCATCTATCTATCTATCTATCATCTCTCATCTAACTATCTCTTCTTAGTACTGTTTTTCTGGAGAACTCTGATACACTAGTGAATACAAACTGTCTTCTACAACTAATGGACAGCCTCAAACATTTTGTTATGCTCTCAAATGCTTTAGGAATTATCAATAAATTGCCTGCCATCTCCTCAGGGAGAGTCTCAAAAGATTAAAAAATGCATAAATTGTTCTCACTGTGCCATGTGAGAGACACATGGAGGAGTCAAGACAGAGGCTTCCTTACAGGTAAAAAAAAAAAAAGTAAGAATGTTTCTTGTGGTGTCATATGTTACAGATATCTATAATGCTTCAGTGACATTGGAAAACTGCCACTTTAATTTGATGACATAACCATAGTAAAGTGTGACAATTTCTGATTCATTTCTCCGGGATTTCTGTTACTCAATAATGCCTAAGCAGAAATAACGGTGCTCCATTTTTCATATGCTTTTTAAGTATTTTACATGGTTTCACAGGCTGAATGCTATAAGCATCTTTGAAACATTATCATGATATTGTTTCTAAAGTATTCATTTTACATATTTTTCTCTAATTGAGGCCAAAACTTGGAGAAAATAAAGCACAATGACAAGGAGATAAATATATTTTTAATGAAAGAATGGAGAAACTGCAACTATTTGGTCAGTCATGTTCATGTCCTTCCAAATACTTGTTATTTAGATGCTCTAGGCTCTCAGACCCCTTAACAATAATTTAACACTGAATGATTATTCAAATAAATGTGTAGATATGATTGTTTTCTCACTGCTTGGTGAGTCAAAAAGGGGGTTGCTACCTTACATTCGAATGTGAAAAGCATTATTAAAAATTATGAGGCTTTTTGGGTAATCATAGGCACAGAAAAAAAAAACATTTTAAAATAGAAGAAAATAAAATTAGGAGACTGTTAAGTACCCAGTTTTAGGGAACAATACAATTTTCAGAAAGTACTTCAATTTCCACTAAGAGTTGACAAAAGCAGATATTATTTTCTCAAAGATTGTAGCTTTAAAAAATGCAATTGATATTCAACAAAGACAGCAAAATATGAAAAAAAGCAATCTGGTTCTTTCCACAGAACTCCAAAGATGGTGAAAGGAACCTCATTTATATTTCCTTACCTAACAAGAAAACAGGTACTTATCCATGATATTATTTGCCTTTCTAAATTGCCAAACTGTACAAAACAAGCAAACAAAATACAGGATTTATGCTGCTCATCATCTTATTTACTAAAGATATTTATCTAACTTTTCCATCTACTGCCACACATTACCATATATCTAATATGAGAAAGGTGTGTTCATTGAGTCAGGGTAGGATAGGAGTAGGTCATAATTTTATTTAAAAAATTAAGTTCAAATAATATGTAATCATCTTTATATTTAATGTAACACAATTGCTTGTCTTTATTTTTTCATAGCTCACTCTGAGATTGCTGTCACTATAATTTTCATTGTAAAAACTATTTTCTTTCTTTTCTTTTTTCAAAAAACATTGGGGCTTACGATTTTTTTTAACTAATAATGATTATCTTAGGTTATCATGCCCTCCATCTCCTGCTCTACTATATTTTAAATCTGTGGGTTATTGGGGGATATTTAGATATATATTTATTCGATTATACATATGTTAATTTGTATTATGTGCTATACCATATTTCCTAGTTTCTGTGGCTTGCATGTTCAGAAAAGTTTTAAATCACAGCCAGAAATCCACGTATATCTCATGTTTAGTGTATTCATTTTGTCTCTATGTTATTGTGTAACAAGGTGACTTTTAATCATTTCTTTAATCTACAGTATCCTTTTACCCAAAAAGTAGCTTTTACTAATTTTCATTATACAAAACCAATATGAAGGACCACATTTTCTCCCAATTTGTTCAGATTTCCTCAAACTCCCCTAAGATTTTGTATGATAAAACAAACTTAACGTTCACATTCAAGTTAGCATTTCTCAATTATATTGAGAATAAAACTATGGGAAGATTAATGTTTTAATAAAGTTTATATAAAAATAATTTATTTAAAATGTTATTAAATTCGTTGTGAAAAATAGATAAGTAATCCAAAACAATAGCATACCAATTACCCAAGTTTAGTCATGAATTGGGGGAGGGGAGAAGAACTGCCCTAAGTTGCAAGTATTACATCCTACTTGACCTGTGACTCCCCTAGGCATCATTATGGTCCTAACAAAGAAGTTAATTCATAGTCAGAATAATGTATGTGTACACATGTAAAAAAAACCTCTTTCAAGTAAGGCATTGTCACAATTAAAACAAATAACAAGAAGAAGAAAACTCACAATGTACTTGATGTTTTAGAACTACTTCTAGGCAGCAAAGACACATTGAATCACTTAATCTTCAGTCATCCTTCCCAACAATTCTGCAATGACATGTTGGTTCTGGATATTAGAACAAACAGTTTTAGATAACTTACACTATTTGCCTAAAATAACCTTTCAAATATGACATAAATTAAGATATAGTGTAGAATATATCTATATCCATATATTTCCTGATATTTTTTGCTTTGTAAATATAAATAATTGCCACTGTCATCTGTTATGCTGCTCTTACTCATATGCCTAATATCTGTCAACTCTATTAAAGTCTCAGCTGTACCACCCGAAGAGATAAGGGTATTCACAGGATGATGTTTTGAAGCAGGTGGTTTTATGCATTTTTGGAATCTGTGACAGAAATTTTTTATATAACTAAAATTGTATTATGTCACAATTTTAATCTATAAATATGACCAAGCTCTAAAAACATAGTACAATAATTGTTCATATATCAGATATCCACGGTATTAACAATGTTTTTAACTTTAAAATTTTTCTTTATATATCTATACAGACATGAATATCTGTATCTCTTTCTCTCTCTCTCATATGATTCTATCTGTTCATCCATAATCTATCTATCTACCCATTAACTATCTATCTATCATCTGTCTATTCATGTATCTCATCAGAGTTTCTCAACCTTAGCACTATTGATATTTGGGGTTGGGTATTGCGATGGGCTGAGTATTGATTATAGTGGAATGTTTAGCAGCTTACTGGCTTCTAACCTTTAGATGCAACAGTGGCCCACCTCCAAATTGTGATAAATAAAATGTCTCTAGACATTAGAAAATGTTTTTGGGTGAGTAAAATCAAAAGCAACTGAAAACTGCTGATCTGCCTTATCTCTTTCTTAAATTATTTAAACATGTTTTTATTTGTGAGAGGTATGTTTTCAAATGTCGCAAATTGTGAAATTTAGGTATATCTTCTGTTAGCTTTGCATACTAAAAAATTTCTCAGGTGATGATAGAGGAAAGCTATTGACAATGCCGATGTCTCTATCAGAATAGGTTTTCTGATGAACCTGGATGGAACAACACAATCTAACAACGGTGAATGAATTCATTCTTACGGGAATCACAGATATCGCTGAGCTGCAGGCACCATTATTTGCATTGTTCCTCATGATCTATGTGATCTCAGTGATGGGCAATTTGGGCATGATTGTCCTCACCAAGTTGGACTCCAGGTTGCAAACCCCTATGTACTTTTTTCTCAGACATCTGGCTTTCATGGATCTTGGTTATTCAACAACTGTGGGACCCAAAATGTTAGTAAATTTTGTTGTGGATAAGAATATAATTTCTTATTATTTTTGTGCAACACAGCTAGCTTTCTTTCTTGTGTTCATTGGTAGTGAACTTTTTATTCTCTCAGCCATGTCCTACGACCTCTATGTGGCCATCTGTAACCCTCTGCTATACACAGTAATCATGTCACGAAGGGTATGTCAGGTGCTGGTAGCAATCCCTTACCTCTATTGCACATTCATTTCTCTTCTAGTCACCATAAAGATTTTTACTTTATCCTTCTGTGGCTACAACGTCATTAGTCATTTCTACTGTGACAGTCTCCCTTTGTTACCTTTGCTTTGTTCAAATACACATGAAATTGAATTGATAATTCTGATCTTTGCAGCTATTGATTTGATTTCATCTCTTCTGATAGTTCTTTTATCTTACCTGCTCATCCTTGTAGCCATTCTCAGGATGAATTCTGCTGGCAGACAAAAGGCTTTTTCTACCTGTGGAGCCCACCTGACAGTGGTCATAGTGTTCTATGGGACTTTGCTTTTCATGTACGTGCAGCCCAAGTCCAGTCATTCCTTTGACACTGATAAAGTGGCTTCCATATTTTACACCCTGGTTATCCCCATGTTGAATCCCTTGATCTATAGTTTACGAAACAAAGATGTAAAATATGCCCTACGAAGGACATGGAATAACTTATGTAATATTTTTGTTTAAATTTTGTACAATATGATTCCTATAAATTAGGTTATGGGCATGAATTTTTGCTCTGCATACTTCCAGAAGACATAACAAGCATAACTGATTCAACATATATTTACATATGTCTCATACATGATAGGCTCTTCTAATTGCTATACATAGATTAATAAACAAAATAGTAGAAATCTTTGCCTTCCTTGATGGATAGATGAATTGTATTCACAATAAGTCCATTTTATATAACAGTAGAATGTGCACGATGGATATAGACAAAGAAAAAAGGGAGACAAGGAAAGCTAGTATGCTGGGTGGCAGTAGGAAACAGTGGTCATTACAGAAGGGAGTTACGAGGATTCCAGTGTTTTTTATCTGCTACTGGAATAAAATTTACAGTGTGTGTGCTTCTGTATGTTTCTGTTTGTGTGTTTTTGTGTATATAAGCATTTTCCTTCTGTTTTAGCCTTCATACTTTTTGCTTGTATATTCTGACATTGCATTTAATACTGGTTGTTTAGATGATATGTGATGATTTTAAGTCTTACAGATGTGCTCGAATAATTACTATTCCGAATATTAGGATCCTACTATTTCCTTATCAATGTTTTTATTTCCACATAGAAGTCTGTTAACCGAACATACTTTGTAGCTCAATAATCGGTAAATTCTGATTAGCACCTGATTTTGTTTCAGTTAGCCCATTCTGTTTACATGAGTAGATATATCAATTATGCTTAAGTTTAGAAGACATCCATAGAAATTCTCAGGTTTATTCTTTCTCTCTAGTTGTTCTTGCTTAATAACTGCCTTTTTCACAGATTTTCCCGTTATTTATCTAAAAAAAAGTAATAAACTGTGGTTAAAATTTGTGTTCCAGTTGTTTTTACATCTTTGAGGAGGGGGACCATTCTATGATGAATTAACTTTGTAGTCTCTCACTGAGTTGACAATCCATAATTTTTATCAATATGCACTATATCGAATGCACTATATTTTCATTTACTTCACTGTTTGATTGCATCAGTTGATTTTTCTACTTGTACAAAGCAAATAAAAGTAATAAAATGCACTACACCATACTGTATCTATCTGCTGGCTATTACAGATGTCCTTTGACAGTTACAGACCTTCACCATGCAAGTGAGGTCTGATCTGTATGCAATGATATCGTTATCTTGCCTTTTAAACATGGTTGCTTTCCTTAACTCCATATGTTTTCTTATGTATTTTGATTTCCTTTATTCTTTTTAATAATCCTAAGAATTTATTGAAAGTATCAGAGTCTACAATATTTTCTTGGTTCACCATCATAAAATAAAATCCCATGTGCAGCCAAAGAAACACTAATGAATATATCTCATTGGAATAAATTAAACATTGCATAGCACATTGTCATGTGAGGATAAATATTACCATATTGTTGCTGTACTGAAAATGAATCTTTAAGATGGTCATAGAAATTACCAGGTAGTAATAATATCTCACACTTACTATTATATTATAGAGATTCTACATGTCTCAATTAATTTAGCCATCACAACAGCTCTTTGAGGTAGGTTCTATTAAAAGTTCCATTTTTAGGATGATAAAGTAGAGCCTAGATACAGTAAGTAAGTTGTCAGAGATCACCAAGGTAATGAGTATTAGAATCAGGTTTTGTTGTATTTTTGCTCGTTCGTTTTAACAGATAGAATCTCCCTTTGTTGGCCAGGTTGGAGTGAAGTGGCATAACCATAGCTCATTGCAGCCTCAAATTCCTGAGCTCGAGGAATCCTCTCACCTCAGCCTCCTAAATAGCTGGGACTACAGCCATGAGCCACCAATGCCCGGCCTATTTTTGTATTTTTCATGGAGACAGGGTTTTGCCATGTTGCCCAGGCTGGTATCAAACTCCTGAGCTCCAAGTGATCCACCAACCTCAGCCTCCCAAAGTGCTGGGACTTACAGGCATGAGCCACAATGCCTGGCTCTATATTCTCTTTCTCTTTCTCTTTCTTTCTCTGTCTCTGTCTCTGTCTGTCTGTCTCTCTCTCTCTCTCTCATTTTTTTAAGACAGGGTCTGGCTCTGTTGCCCAGGCTGGAGTGCAGTGGCGTGATTTCAGCTCACTGAAACCTCCGCCTCCTGGGTTCAAGCAATTCTTGCGCCTCAGCCTCCCAAGTATCTGAGACTACAGGCATGTGCCACCATGCCCAGATAATTTTGTATTTTTAGAAGAGGCGGGGTTTTGCCACATTAGCCAGCCTGGGCTTGAACTCCCTAGCCTCAAGTGATCGGCCTGCCTCAGCCTCCCAAAGTGCTGGGATTAAGGGCATGAGCCACTGCGTCCAGCCCTATTTTGTCTCTTAATGTCATTTGTATGCTTCACTGATGTTACCCTGAGATGTGACAGAGCAAAACCTCACTTTGGCAGATTTGGTATTAGAAGAGAAAAAGAGCAGAGGGGTCAATTACAGGAAGAATACATGCTGGGGATCCATTGTACCACATGGTGATTGTAGTTTATAATACTGAACTTTTTACTTGAAATTTGATGGAAGAACAGATTCCAAATGTCTTCACCACACATACACACACATACACACATAAACACATGCACACACATATGCAGGGTGAACTATAGGTGGTAACAGATGTGCTAATTAATGTTATTTTAGTAATCCTTAAACAACATAGTCATATATAAAATTATCACACTGTGCACCTTGAAAATATATTTTTGTCAATGAAATATTTTCAAATAAGAAAATAAATGAAAGCAGTGAACTATGTGACACATAAAATTAATTTACAAAATACATAATCAAAAAGAAAATTGACTCAGAAATGTAAACTTATCAGTCCATTTTGACATTTTGAAAGAGTGTTTATGCTCAAGTAGAAAGCCATCAAAAAGTAGAGTTTGAGTAGAGTTGTAATAAATTGCAGAGGATGAGGATAGCAGAAATTAGCATTAAGTAGTCAGTAATATGCTGAAGACAAATAAATAATCAGGCAGATTTTCTTTATTTCTATCCTAATAAGTTCAACCATCTTTGAGAAAGAAAGATTGAGGTTGTTTTCTTAATAGGGGAAGGGACCCTCCTAGGAAAAGATGAGGAAGGACGATGACAATTTGGCAAATCCTCAGACTCCCTGGACACAGAGTAAATTACTATTGAGCTGAACAGGCATGCCACAAGGTAGAGAAGTTTCAGACATCATGAAACAGGAGGAACTATATTCTAATTTCCAGTATATGTGATTGATGCATCTTGGAACAATGAGGACCACATCGTTCACAGTGGCATATAGTGTTTTCCCCATTTTCCAGTATGTCATATTTGAGCATAGGTTGACATCATGTTTAGTTAATCTTACCTTTATAAGTTCCCTGATGAGGATGAAAGTATTTGTATATTCTTTAAGTCCCAGCTAAAACACTAGGACACATGATATAATATATGAAATAATAATAACAGGTACTTGTGGCCTGTGGGGGTCAGATTTAGATCTCAAAGAAATTGCCTAACATTCTGCCCCAGAAAACAACATTTAAAATAAAAAAAAAAAAATCAATCCCAAAATTATCAGAAGGAAACAAAAAAGATCAGAACAGAAATAAATACAGTAAAGAATAGAAAAATATAGAAAAAATAACAAAAAGAAGAGTTGGCATTTTGAAAAAATAAAATTGGCAAACTTTCAGCTTGGCTAACCAAGAGGGAAGAGTAAAATAAAATTATAAGTGAAAGTGGAACCATTACAACTGATATCTCAGAAATAAAATGGATGAGGGACTATTACGAACAATCATATGCCAATAAATTGAATAATTGAGGAAATGAATAAATTCCTAGCAAAATACAATCTACCAATATTAAATCAGACATAAATAAAGAGCCTGAAAAAACCCAACAAATATAGAGATTGAAGTAGTGATATGGTTTGGGTCTGTTTCCCCACCCAAATCTCATCTTGAATTGTAATCCCTACATGTCAAGGGAGGAACCTGGTGGGAGGCGATTGGGTCACGGGGGTGGTTTTTTCATCCTGTTTTTATGATAATGAGTGAGTTCTCAGGAGGTATAATGGTTTAAATAAAAGTGGGGCACTTTCCCTTGCCCCCAATGTCTCTCTTCTGCTGCCTTATAAAAAAAGGTGCTTGCTTCTCCTTTGCTTTCTACCATGTGTTAGGCCTCTGAGACCATGCTAAGCCATCATATCCCCTGTCACCTGCAGGTATAAATCCAGATGGCCTAAAGCAACTGAAAAACCACAAAACAAGTAAAAATAGCCAGTTCCTGACTTAATTGATGACATTCCACCATTGTGATTTGTTTCTGCCCCACCCTGACTAATCAATTAACCTTGCGACATTCCTTCTCCTGGACAATAAGTCTCTGGAGCTCCCCACCGAGCACCTTGTGACCCCCACCCCTGCCCACAAGAGAACAGCCACCTTTAACTGTAATTTTCCACTACCTACCCAAATCCTATAAAACTTCCCTACCCCTATCACCCTTTGCTGACTCCTTTTTCAGACTCAGTCTGCCTGCACCAAGGTGATTAAAAAGCTTTATTGCTCATACAAAGCCTGTTTGGTGGTCTCTTCACACAGATGCACATAACACCATGATTGTAAGTTTTCTGAGGCTTCCTCAGCCATGTGAAACTGTGAGTCGATTAACTTCTTTACTTTTAAATTACTCAGTCTCAGGTAATTCTTTAAAGTAGTTTGAAAACAGATTAATACAGAAGATTGGTAGTGAGAGAAGTGGAGCATTGCTATAAGGATACCTGAAAACGTGGAAGCAACTTTGGAACTAAGTAATGGGCAGAGGTTGGAATGGATTGGAGGGCTCAGAAGAAGACAAGACGACGTGGGAAAATCTGGAACTTCCTAGAGACTTGTTGAATGGTTTTGACCAAAATGCTGATGGAGATATGGACAATGAGGTCCAGGTTGAGATGGTCTCAGATGGAGATGAGAAACTTATTGGAAAATGGAGCAAACGTCACTCTTGCTATGCTTTAGCAAAGAGACAAGTGGCATTTTACCCCTGCCCTGGAGATCTGTAGAACTTTGAACTTGAGAGAGATAATTTAGTCTATCTGATGGAAGACATTTCTAAGCACCAATGTGTTCAAGATGTGACCAGACATTTTGTAAAAGTGTACGTTTATATGTATGAAGAAAGAAATGATCTAAAATTAAAAATTATGTTTAAAAGGGTAGCAGAGCATGAGTTCGGAAAACTTGCAGCCTGACCATGCTGTAGAAAAGAAAAACCCATTTTCTGAGGAGAAAGTTAAGCCTGCTGCAGAAATTTGCATAAGTGACTAGGAGCCAAATGTGAATAGCACAGACAATGGGGAAAGTGTCTCCAGGGTATTTTATAGATCTTCATGGCAGTCCCTCCCATTACAGGCCCAGAGGCCTAGGAGGGTAAAATCATTTCCTGGGCCAGGCCCAGGGCCCCATCACTGCTCTGTGCATCCTTGGGACTTGGCGCCCTGCATCCCAGCTGCTACAGCTTCAGCCATGGCTAAAAGGTGCCAAGGTGCAGCTCAGGCCATTGCTTCTGAGGGGGCAAATCCCAGGCCTTGATGGCTTCCACCTGGTGTTGGGCCTATGAACCTGGAAAAGCTGCAGGCACTCAATGCCAGTCCATGAAAGCAGCTGCAGGGGCCCTACCCTGCAGAGCCACAGGGCCTTGGGAGCCCACCCCTTACATCAGCATTCCCAGGATATGAGACATTGAGTCAAAGTATATTATTTTGGAGCTTTAAGATTTAATGACTTCCCCACTGGATTTCATTCTTGTACAGAGCCTGTAGCCCCTTTGTGTTGGCCAATTTTTCCCATTTGGAATGAGGACATTTACCTAATTCCTGTACTCTCATTGTATCTTGGAAGTAACTAATTTGTTTTTGATTTTCCAGGCTCATAGAGAGAAGGGATTTTTGCCTCAGATGAGACCCTGGACTGTTGACTTTTCAGTTAATGCTGAAATGAGTTAAGACTTCGGGGGACTGTTGGGAAGGCACGATTGGTTTTAAAATCTAAAAAGGACATGAGCTTTGGGAGGGATAAGGGCAGAATGATATCTTTTGGCTCTGTGTCCCTACTGTAATCTCATCTTGAATTGCAATCCTTATGTGTCATGGGAGGAACCTGGTAGGAGGTGATTGGATCATGGGGAAGGTTTCCCCCATGCTGTTCTCTTCATAGTGAATGAGTTCTCCCCAACCACTGCTGCCTTGTAAAGAAGGTCCTTTCTTCTCCTTTGCCTTCTACCACAATTGTAAGTTTTCCTGAGGCCTCCTCAGCCAGGCAGAACAGTGAGTCAATTAACCTCTTTCCTTTATAAATTATTCAATCTCAGGTAAGGTTCTTTAGAGCAGTATGAAAACAAACTAATACAAATGGTAATTAAAAACCTCCCAACAAGGAAAGCTGTGGGTCAGATGTCTTCATGGTTGAATTCTACCAAACATTTACAGAATCATTACACATCATTCTAAAACTCTTTCAAAAAATACAAGTACAGTAGTCCACTTAATCCATAGAAGATAACTTCCTAGACTCCCAGTAAATGCCTGAAACCACAGATAGTACTGAACCTGATTGCTATAAATCAGAACATGTTTCTGTCTACCTCCCATACATTTAGTGGCTCTTTTATCTTAACTAAGCATTTCTCTTGATACATTTGGCTGTGTCCCAACCCAAATATCGTCTTGAATTGTAGCTCTCATAATTCCCACATGTTGTGGGAGGGACCTGGTGGGAGACAATTGAATAATGGGGGTGGTTTCCCACACTGTTCTCATGGTAGTGAATAAGTCTCTTGAGATCTCATGGTTTTATAAGGGAAATCACTTTTGCTTAGTTCGTATTCCCTCGTCTTCTGCTACGTAAAATGTACCTTTTGTCTTCCACCATAATTGTGAGGCCTCCCCAGCCACATGGGACTGTAAGCCCATTAAACCTCTTTTTCTTTATAAATTACCCAGTCTTGAGTGTGTCTTTATCAGCAGTATGAAAAGGAACTAATACAGTAAATTGGTTCCAGTAGAGTGGGGCACTGCTGTAAAGATACCCAAAAATGTGGGAGCAACTTTGGAACTGGGTAACAGGCAGAGGCTGGAACAGTTTGGATGGCTTAGAATAAGACAGGAAAATGTGGGAAGGTTTGGAACTTCCTGGAGATTTGTTGAATGGCTTTGATCAAGATGCTGATAATGATATAGACAATGAAATCCAGGCTGAGGTGGTCTCAGATGGAGATGAGGTACTTGTTGGGAACTGGAGTAAAGGTGACCCTTGCTATGTTTTAGCAAAGAGACTGGCAGCATTTTGCCCCTGCTTTAGAGATTTGTGGAACTTTGAACTTGAGGGAAATGATTTACGGTACCTTCAGAAGAAATTTCTGAGCAGTAAAGCATTCAAGAGGTGACTTGGGTGCTGTTAAAAGCATTCAGTTTTAAAAGGGAAACAGCATAAAAGCTCAGAAAATTTTCACCCTGACAATGGGATAGAAAAGAAAAACCCACTTTCTGAGGAGAAATTCAAGAAGGCTGAAGAAATTTGCATAATTAATTAGGGGTCAAATGTTAATCACCAAGACAATGGGGAAAATATTTCCAGAGTATCAGAGACCTTTGTGGGAGACCCTCTCTTCACAGGACCAGAGAGTTAGGAGAAAAAAGTGGTTTCCTGGGTTGGGCCCAGGCCTCCTGGCTGTGTAAAGCCTAGGGACTTGGTGCCTTATGTCCCAGCCATTCTAGTCATGGCTAAAAGGGCCCAAGGTACAGCTCAGACCATGGCTTCAGAGGGTGCAAACTCCAAGCCTTGGCATATCATCTCTGCTAATCAGAGTTCTCTGGACTAATATGGTGTTAGAGAGCATTAAATCCTATGAATTGAACAGATGACCTATACCTATTTGTTTTGTGAGAGTTGAATGTGATGTTTAGATATTTCAAGTAAAGAGGAAGTTAAAATCACCTAAAAAATTTATAAGTAAGCTCATCTGTTAGACTGCATCAAGGTTAGAATTTTTAGAGAAAATACAGGTGATGATATCCAGGTTTGAAAAATAACAAATATTATATTAATATATAATTTGATATTTTTAAAAGAATATTTTATAACTATTTCTATGGCAATAGTTTACAAACTAAGAATAATTTTAATTTAAGGAAACCAAATGCAAAAACTTAAAATATTTTTAGTTCTTTCTTTTTCCTCCTGGGCTTCTTCTGTTTTTGAGAGGTTTTGTTTTGTTTTTTTTTAACAATGGGCATTAGAATCATTTAGTAGACTGAAATAAATAGAATGGCTTTTAAGACTTATGAAGTTACTGAGAAAACCCTGAACCTCAAAAAATTTCTAACTGATATTACTGTGCTGAAGATAGAAAACTCAGTCATTTGCATACTTTTTGTATTATTTCTGTCCTAATGTTTAGCCCTACATTGTTACATTTAAAATATAAACATTAAAATATTAAAAGGAGAGCAGAGATATCCTTTTCCATGCAAGAATCATGTACAAAGTGAAAGAGTTCATACCTCTTCAAAAGGAGATAACTGACACTGGATATGAAGACAGACTTAAACACAAGAAGAATCGTTGGGGTGATCAGACCCAACACCAGGTCGTGGGAGGGACAAAGTCCAGTGGAGTCAAAGGAATGAGAAAAAGACAGTTTGAGAGAGAAAGTGGGACCAGGGGCCCATTGTTGAGTGTGGAGGCTGCGAAAGCCCCAAGCTCTGGGAGCCCATGCTATATATTGGTGCTCAAACAAACACGTAGTGAGGATGTGGGGGTTGAAAGGAAACAGTGGATCAAGTGAATGAGAAACACATGGCTGCTTGAGATAATGGGAGTGCTAGAAGCAAGGAGCCAGCAAGTCTAGCAGACGTGCAAGCCCTGCCTCAGCTTCTCTCCCAATACTCAGCTTTTCTCCCAACATGCCCCACTTCTTTTTTGTAAAAACTGCCCCAGCTATCATTATTAGCATAAGGTGGCCTCTTTAAATTGAGCAAGGCAATTGCAGGCTGTGCAGCCCTTAATTGCCACTTGGTGATCCAGCTTCATTTTTCTTAGCCCTTATTCAAAATGGAGTTGCTCTGATTTGAATGCTTCCTACATATCTCCCCTTTCCCTTTTACAAGAGGACCCTTAATCCTAGGGGTTGCAGAAGGATGAAGGTCTGTCTTCTGTAACTTCTTCATGTTGAATAGGGGTGATCATACTCCTGCCTACCTATTAGGGTCTCTTGTATTCAGGGTAGAGAGGAGTTCAGTCAGAAAGCACTGGTCCATTAAGCATCTATAGGTAAAACCCTGGTGCTCCAGCAGTTTCTCAGCATGGCTCGTACTGGGGGAACCCAGGCCATGGTTGGGATCCATGGGTCCTTCCATTCTCCTGTTCCATGGTCAAACACATCTTGAGGGCATCTACATGGTTTGTTCATCTCCTGCAAAAACACAAGCATATCCTCACCCCCACGTTAGTAAATGCACTGAAACACAAGCAAAAGCATTTGTGGCTGTAGCTGGGAGGCATGCCATTGCTGAAGCATTTGTAACTCAGCTTCTGCCCTTTGGTTAATTATCATGGGGGTAAAACTTGCCATTGATAATGAGAAGCAGGCTTTTTCTGATTAACAGAAAGCATAGAAAAAGCAAATCGAGGCTTATCCTTCTTGTGCAACAGTATAGCAAAAAAGTAATCCTTAAGCCTTCAATTTGCACTGTACAGGTGGGTCCACTAGATGCTGTGGTTCATGATAGATCTTCAGATGTTTGGTGGGCACCCACACAGGCACCTGATTGTCACGTGGAGAGACACAAGCAAATCCTCTTACCATAAAATTATCTTTCCTTTTTCCCAGCTCTTTGTATGTGCATCCCTCTACCATACATCTTGTCCAGCCTTTTTATTTTCCTTTTGTCCTGTCAAGTGTTGTTCAGCTGCAGACATGGGTTGATCTTGCTGAATTTTTTCCTCAATTAATTGATGTTCCTCCCATGCTTTTTTGGACATGAAGCGTTTACTGTTAAGGTTAGAATCACCTTGTAAAGTAAAAAAAGAGGTGAGACATAGCATAGGCAGGAATGTCTAAAGTTGGACAAATCCAATTAATGTCTCCTAATAACTTTTGGAAATCATTTAAGGTTTCTAAATTATCTTTTTGAATTTGAACCTTTTGAAGCTTAATAGCACTTTGCTTTACCTTCATTCCAAGATAATGAAAGGGAGTAGAAGTTTTGATTTTATTGGGGGCTATAATTAACCCTGCCGCATTTACAGTCTTTTATAACTGTTTGTAGCACAACATCAATTCTTCCCTAGTCTCAGCTGTACACAGAATATCATCCATGTAATGGATGATATAACATTTTTTAAACTGTCTTCTAACTGGCTTAATAGCTTTCCCACATAAGTTTGACAAATAGTCGGGCTATTTAGCGTGCCTTGTGGTAATACTTTCCAATGGTAGCTGTCCACTGGTTCTTCATTATTTATGGTGGGAACAATAAAAGCAAATTTTTCATAATTTTGGGCAGCTAAAGGAATGGTAAAAAAAAGCAATCCTTTAGATCTATCACTATGAGAGGTCACTATTTTGGTATCATTGCTGGGGAGGGCAGCCCTGGTTGTAGAACACCCATGGGTTGAATCACAGCATTAGCAGCCCTTAAATCTGTTAACATTCTCCATTTCCCTGATTTTTTCTTAATGAAAAATACAATAGAATTCCAAGGGGAGAAAGTAGGCTGTATATATCCCTTTTGCAATTGTTCCTGCACCAGTTCTTTTAAAGCCTCCAGTTTTTCCTGTTTCAGTGGCCATTGCTCCACCCAAACCGGTTTGATAGCCAAACAAGAGGATTGGGAGCTGGAGGCTCAACAATGGTCGCTCCTAAAAATGACACCCCAATTCGGTCTGATCTGTTTGCCCTTTTAATTCTAAAGGTTCTGATTGGCCATTTTTATATTGTCCTAGTCCTTTTCCCAGGTGATATCCCATGTTTTTCATCATTTGTCTGCTATGATTACTATACTGATCCATAGGAATAGGTATTTCAGCATCCCATTGTTGCAATAAGTCTCTACCCCATAAATTGATAGGAATAGGTGTAATGATAGGTTGGATTGTCCCTTCCTGACCATTCGTCCTTTGACATGGTAAAATCAAGGAACTCTGAAAAACTTCTGAGGCAGCTCCTACTCCAACAATACCAGTGGATGCCTTTTGCTTAGGCCAGTGCTGGGGCCATTGATTTATAGCAATAATAGAGACATCAGCTCCAGTATCTACTAGTCCTTCAAAATCTTTTCCCTGAACAGTTACTGTGCAAATAGGTCTTTTGTCAGACACTTGATTAACCCAATACACAGCCTTTCCTGCTGGATTATTATTACCAAAGCCTCCTGTTCTTTTCACTGTGCTGCTTCCTAGTTTTATATAAGGTAACAGCAACAACTGAGCAATTCTTTCTCTTGGGGAGGCAGAACACGGAGAGGAACTAATAACTAATTGAATCTCTCCAGTATAATCAGAGTCAATTATTCCCATATGTACAGTAGCACCTTTTAAATTCAGACTAGACCTTCCAAGTAATAGGCCAACTGTTCCTCAGGGTGAGGGTCCCCTAACTCCTGTGGGTACCTTCTTTGGTGGCTCCCCAGGAAGTGTGAACTAAAAGATGAGTTACATAGATATTTACAATACACAACTGGACATTTTCCATTATTTTGGGATAAACTAAAATAAATTTTAAAGTTTCATTTGGAGATTTCAAAGCTGAAGATGCTTTCAGCAAATTCTTAGATCTTAAGAAAATGCCTTAGATCTTAAGAATATATTGTTCATTGTTTATAAAATCATTTGCCTTTTTTATCTAAAAATTTTAATACCTGAATTTAACAGGTTTTTCTTCTGGACAAGTTCTTTGACATTTAAGTAAAATCAATACTTTCAGAGTAATCATCTGCATCACACTGGAGTGACTGCTTTAATTTCTAAATCATCAATTAGTGTAGCCCAGGGATACTGATGGCCTTGATACATAATTTAGTCTTGTCATTATAGCGTGTGGAAATCAGGGCTTTGGGGGCATCATCTGACCCCATTTCTTTTTACCACAGTGGTTCCTGCCACAATATCATAGGCTGATCGATTATGCTGAAAAAACAGCAGTGTGATGCAAGCAGGGAAAAAAGAAGCAATTGAAAAATTCTTGATCAAAGCTCATGTAGTGGACATTGTAATGCTAACGTTTGAGGAAAGAATCACTAAAACCCGACTTAGTGCAATAAGCACTAATGTATCACATGTCACAACTCGAAGCCCCACCAGGAACTTCCCTGGGGTAGCTCCACCTGCTCCCCAGATGCAAATTATCTCATAGAAACAAACTAATAGTCTGCATCATTTTCTGCAAGTCTTCCACTGATGTGTCTTTATCTATTTTTTCCATTACATAATGCATAGCAAACTTAGAGATATCCTTTATCCCACTGAGGTGCATAATGCTTAAGACAATGGTTGCTTTTACAAAGAAAAGAATAAAGAAACTCACCATCCTGGGCCAAGGATGGAATAACATATTCTCCGCCTGCCTGTTGCCCGGTCTCACTCAGGCTTCACGAAGGGGCTGCTGATCCTACCTTCGTCACTGGAGTGGCCCAGACTGATGCCTGCACATGAGAAGCCCGGGGTCCCAGGCCAGTTACTGGAGCCTGGGTGCTGATGCCAGCAGCTGTACCCGGGTCAGGGCCGGCGGCCCAGGACTCAGGAAGTAGAAGGGGTTGTAATAGCCCAGCCACTGGGACAGCAGCGCTGTCCGAAGGGAAGCTCTGCGGGGACTGCTGGGGACTGCAGCAAGCCGGGAAGGCGGCCTGGCCAGCGGTGCCAGGTGAGGTAGCCACAGCAGGACTGATACAGCCACTCGCGCACTTGCCGGGAGCACTCGGTCTCTCCCGCGGGGCTGTGCCTTGGGCACTTCGGCAGCCCAGCACGGAGCCGGAAGCAGCCTCCCCGCGCTTCCTGAGCTCACCGGGGCGGCTCTGATTTGTCAGGCACAGCCATGAGGCCCGGGCTGTGGGCTGGCCAGGGGCATGGGGTTTGGCCTGGGGGTCGTCATGGGGGCATGGGACGGTGGCGGCAGGAGGGCCTCTCAGGGTAGGGAGGGACTCGTGGCCCCCTCCACCCTCGTCGTGCCCAGGAGGGCGGCCTTGGGCTTCCTCGGGCCCCTCTGCCATTGTCGCCTCAGCAGGACCCAGCACCCCCCGCCGTACCTGTCACTGCTCCGTCTTTATACACCTTTTTGAAAAAATCTCTTCCAATTCTCTCCCATTCATCCAACTCCATAGTCCCCTGTTCCGGGAACCATGGGCAAAACAGCTTTACTGTACTAAAAAGTGATAACAAACTGAGTACCAACTTTTACTCCCCCACTTCATAATAAATGCTTTAAAAAATTTAAATAAGCAGAATGTCTGCATTCACTTTGTCCCATTGTTACCCTGGTTCTTCCCAGCGCTCAGCTTTCCCGCCGAACTTCTTTTAGACGACCTCGGGTGTCCTTTGATGAGGCGTCCTCTGCTTTCACACGCTCTAGCGTTCCTTCACCAGGGTTGCCCCACATTGGGCACCAGGAATGTTGGGGTGCTCAGACCCAACATCAGGTCTTGGGGGCAATGAAGTCCGGCGGAGTCAAAGGAATGAGAAAAAGACAGTTTGAGAGAGAAATTGGGACCAGGGGGCCATCACAAGTGTGGAGGCTGCAAAGTCCCCAAGCTCTGGGAGGCCATGCTACTTATTGGTGCTCAAACAAACAGTTGATGGGGATGTGGGGATTGAAAGGAAACAGTGTATGAAGTGAATGAGAAACATTTGGCTGCTTGAGATAACAAGAGTTCTAGAAGCAAGGAGCCAGCAAGTCTAGCAGACACGCAAGCCCTGCCTCAGCTTCTCTCTCAACACTCAGCTTTTCTCCGAACAAAGGACTATTGGTAAAATTTAAACATTTCAAAGCAGTGACACTGTGGCTGCAATACTGAATTCCTTTGTTCAGTCCACTGCATCTCCTATTCTACAATAAAACCCTTTGAAGGCATACCCTGACATCTGGTAAGTTCAAAAGAATGTTTTCAAAAATGCTGGACTTACGGTTCTTACTTGTAAGGGAGGAAAGAGCCAGAAAGACAGAATGGAATTCAGTGAAGAAAGAACAAACAGTTTCATCTGGGAAGAATGGTTTCAGACAGCTTACCAATCTCCAGTCTTGCTCTCCTCCCCTGTCCTTACTTCCTGAGTCAGAACAGCAAGATCTACACATAAAACTAATCAGTTGCTGCTAACTTCCACAAGGTGAGAGTGCTCTAACTCCTCTAACCTATAGGTTTGGACCTTAAGGTGGGCTCCCAGAAGGTTCTACTTGATAGTTGTGTGGGTTAAACCTGACATTCCATGAAGTTATAACTAAATTCTGTATTTTATTTGACTGAATATTTTAAAATGCAACTACTGCTCGAATTGAAATTCATGCTTGCAGAGTTCCATGTTTTCACTGAAGAGAAACTGAATGGTAGAAGAGGAGAGACAAAGAGATTAGGCTAAAGCAGATTTTACTAACTTTAATCAGACCTGTTCCACTTTTTTTTGCTCATGTCCCACATTAATTAGATTAAATAGAGGACCAGTACTTATCACTGAAATGTTTGAAAATCACAGTGTAATGATCTGTATTCTATGGGGCAATATTAGAAATAAACGGTAATTTATATGTGATGTAATAAATGCTCAATGCTTTTAAATGCCCTCTAAACTCTGTTATTTTCACAGTGATATCTTAAAGGAAATAAAACTTATAAAATTAAATATTCATAATCCCTCTGTATTGACATAAAACAAATATTTTAGTAGGAATAGATGCACATGTTGGTAATCATTAAGCTTATATTAGTTTGGGAGTTTTTCTTTTTTCTTAAAAAATAAAATTACACATTTAAGTTGAAATATATGTAAATATTTAAAAGAAAAAATAATACAAATTTTGTCATAAACCAAAGGTCAAAAAATCATAAAATCTATAAATATTATTTTATTAATGAAATTCCAGACAAATCTCTGCACATTTGGTGGTAAGGGTGTTCTTAGTGATCATTCCTACACCAAAAGAGATAGCATTATTTAATAATGTCATTGATTTTGAGCCATATAAATATACCCATTAAACATCAAAGTATCATTAACTCAATCCTTTGTTAGCTGGGTCCTAAAAATGCCTGCAGATATGCTAATGCACTGTTTTGTCAGATAAAGTGTGATGAAGTGGAAGTCAGAATATTAATGGAAAGTGGCCTTAGTTGGTCATGGTTAAAATATCTTTGCTTACAGAATTTTCACAAAGACATATTACTTGTGAGTTTATTGTTAAATCCCTACCCAGAAAGTGCAAGTGAGGGAAACTAAAATTTAAACAACAGTAGCTTCATGCTATCTCTATCTCACTTTTTAATAATAGCACAATTCCACAAGAATTCTTTGGAAAATATGGAAGTATACTAGAAAAAAAAAACTGTGACGCCACTGTGTGGGTGAAATAAAGTCTAACATTTCCATATTAATAACTATATAATTTTGTTATCAATTGATGTGTTCCAAACATTATTGATATTTACAGTTTAACTTACCTCATAATTATATGTGTATTTAATATGGGTCCCTTCTTTTGATAGAAGTTTTCTTGTTTTTTTTTTTTTTAGTTTTAGGATCAGATGTAGAAATAATGTTTATTACCTATCGTGAATAACACCTTTTGTCTACAAATGTTATAATTTGTTTAGATGACATTACATAAAATCTTTTAACAACTGTTCTGTTTCTTCCTGGAAGAGATAACTGGACTAAATGGGCCAAAAGAATCTAACAGTGCTTACTGAATTAATTCTGATGGAAATCACAAGGCGGCTTGAGCTGCAGCTCTCCCTTTTTTGGGTCTTCCTCATCATCTGCACATTCACAGTGGTGAGCAAAGAGTGCATAATCATTTTGAACAATGTGGACTTGGGTCTACACAACATTTGTGTATTTTTTAAATCAGGTACCTGAATTTTATTAATCTTGGTAATTCTATGGTCATTTATCCCAAGATACTGGTAAACTTTGTTGTGGCTCAAAATGCCATTCCCTGTTATGCATGTACCATGCAGATGGCTTTCTTCATTATGTTCATTATCTGTGAACTTTTCGTCTCATCAGCCATGGCCTATGACCACTATGTGGACATCCATAGCCTTCTGCCATAAAATGTTATGTCTCAGGAACTTTGTCATGTGCTGGTGGTATTCCATACCTTTATAGTACCTTTCAAGCTCTGATGGTCACTATAAAGATTTTTATATTGGCCTTCTATGGCTCCAATGTCATAAGTTATTTCTACTGTTAAGATGTTTCTTTGTTAGCCATGGTGGACTCAAATGCATGAGGAATAGAAATGTTGATCACACTATTTTCAGTACTTAATTTGATATTCTTTCTTCTGGTAGTCCTAATGTCCTCCATGCTGATTCTATTAACTGTTTGTTGAATGCATTCTGCAGAGAGCAGTAAAAAACTTTCTTCACGTATGTTTCTTGTCTGATAGTGGTGGTTGTGTTCTGTGGGTTTCTATACTTTATGTACTTGCAGCTCAAATTCAGTTCCTTTTTTTTTGATAATAATAAAATGACCTCCATGTTTTCCTCTTTAGTGATTACCATGCTTTACCATTTGGTCTGTAGTGTAAAGAACAAAGGGAGTAAAAAAAATGCCTTCTATAGTTTTTTTATGAAGCAGTGAAAACTTTGTAATTTAATGGTCAATATGGAATATTGTTCTAGGAAGCTATGATAGAGGCAAATGTCACTAATGAATATTTCTAGTACATATAAATACATTATTTTGGGCTCCACAGCAAAAACTGGGTATAACACACACAAATAGGTTTTTCCTTTTCTTTAGGCAAACCAATCTTCAAGTTTTATATCTCAATTAAATGTGAAGTTCTTATCAACGTCTCTTGCTTCTGATTCAATGTTTTCTTTAGTTATTGTATAGAAGCTCATATTCCTTGCCATATAAACACTTATTAAACTCTACATCAATAAAATATGTGTTCATTTCTTTAATTTTTTTTAGAAAAGGTATCTTCTCAATATTATTTTCAAAAACTAAAGCAACAATTTAAATTATGAGAATAATCTGCAGGAAGCATATATTTGGGTGATTTTTATTAAATTAATTCTGGCAATTTCTGCCTCTTAAATGGATAATGTAATTCATTTACACTTAAAGTAACTACAGATACTGATTAGTCAGGAGAGGGGCAAAATGATTGATCAGACAAGCCAAGAAGTTCTGCTCCCGTTGGGAGAAACTAAATTATGAGTAAACCAACATAATATGAACAGATCTTCAGAGAGAAAACACCAAGAGTGAATGGAGAAGTAATGCAGGCTCTGAGGTTGAAGATAAAAGAAGCTGGAAACCCTGAGTGGAATACTTGAATGCTAGAGCTAGCTCCAAGTCACCAAATAGCTCCTGGGGAATGGATGAGAGAAAGGACTGTGGAATGGCTCACTCTCACTGTGAACCTCTGAAATCCTAGCTACAGGCAACCCCATCTCATGATGAACATTTGAGCTGGCAGGAGAATCTATCCAGACAGTAGACAGAGACAAGGCTTCATTGGAGTGGAGCTGGGGGCCTTTGTGCATGGAAGAGCTCCAGTGGAACATGGCCATATGTGTCCATCCCCTAGGGCTCTAAATCTCCCTTTGGGAAGCTCTATCCCCAGCTGACTGCTAGGCTCGGAGAAAGCAGAGACAACTTCCCCTTGGAAATGGGGCCTATCTGTTCTGCAGAAATTTCCTGCCTTCTAGCCCCTCCCATGGCCCCTGCCTGGCTACCCCACAGAAGTGTATGCACAGTGCAAACTCTGTTGCCCAGGCTGGATGTTTTGCTCTACTTCAGTATGTAACTGGTGGGGTGGGAGCATTTTGGATTCTCTAGCACACTCAGAACCCAATCCCTAAGGTACAGAGAATTAAGCTGTGAACCAGTTCTGGTGCCCCAGGGCTATGGCATGCAGGTTGGGAGCACCAATCCAAGATCTGTGGCTTGTACTTGTCTGGGAGAGGACCCTACATTCTCAGAGGACTGAGAGGGTTGAGATGCACAAGTTCATAATCTGGCATGGTGTCTTCTGCAGAGCTGGTCTTGAAAGGAGGTGGACTACCTCCCTAATAAAGCTTCTGCCCAAGGGAGTCCTGTGGCCTGGAACACCTAACAAAAGAAATGCAGGTGTGGTTCCAATAATCAGAAGGGGCTCCTCTAAGGTCCAGGAGTGAAGCTAGTGAGAGGGGTCACTTCTCTTCCCTCCACACAGCAGGCACACACAAGAAAATACAAAAGAAGCCATGCAGCTGAGTCAGAGCTTATCTACTGGCCATTACTCCTAAGCATCATCTCCTGGATAGCAGCTCAAACTACAACACCAAAAATATTTTGCTATTATACCCTCCTGTGAAACAAAGGGCAAGCATATAGCCACAAATAAAGACTCTGTACAGAGCCTTGGCCCTCTGAAAACATCTAGAAACAAAGCCAACCGACTATACTCAATTTACATCACAATTAAAGGAACAACAGTCTTCCCAGATGAGAAAGAATTAGCACAAGAACTCTAGGAATTCAAAAAGCCAGAGTGTACCCTTACCTTAAAGTGAGCCCACTAGATTTCCAGGAATGGTTCTTAACCAGTCAGAAATGAATGAAATGACATGCATAGAATTCAGAATCTGGGTAGCAATAAAGATGATCAGGATTCAGAAGAAATTTAAAACCCAATCTAAGGAATCCAAGAAATTCAGTAAAATGGTTCAAGAGGTGATGCAGACATTTTAAGAAAGAACTAATGTGAAGTATTAACAGCAGAATAGATCGAGCTGAGGAAAGCATCTTAGAGCTCAAAAACCAGTTCTTCCAATCAACTCAGTCTGAAAAGAAAAGAAAAATAATTTTTTTTTTGAGACGGAGTCTTGCTCTGTCGCCCAGGCTGGAGTGCAGTGGCACAATCTCAGCTCACTGCAAGCTCCGCCTCCCGGGTTCATGCCATTCTCCTGCCTCAGCCTCCTGAGTACCTGTGACTACAGGCGCTTGCCACCATGCCAGGCTAATTTTTTGTATTTTTAGTAGAGACGGGGTTTCACTGTGTTAGCCAGGATGGTCTTGATCTCCTGACCTCGTGATCCACCCGCCTCGGCCTCCCAAAGTGCTGGGATTATAGGCATGAGCCACTGCACCCGGCCCAGAAAAGAAAAATAATTTTAAAAATAAACAAAACCTCTAAGAAATATTCCTATATTTCTTAGCTACAACTTGTTAGCTTTCCTGAGAAAGAAGGAGAAGGAATAAGCAACTTGGAAAATACATAAGAGGACATAGTCCACAAAAATTACCCTAAACTCGGTAGAGAGATTGATATGCAAATTCAAGAAATACAGAGAGCACCAGATAGATACTGTACAAGAAAACCATCCCAAAGGCTCATAGCCATAAGATTCACCAAGGTCAATGCAAAAGGAAATAAATCTTAAAGGCAGCCGGAGAAAAGGGTCAGATAACATGCAAAGAGAACCTTATCCGCCTACCAACGGACCTCTCAGCAGAAATCTTAAAGGCCAGAAGAAATTGGCACCTATTTTCAGCAGTCTCCAAAAAAAGAAATTCCAACCAAGATTTCATATTTCACCAAACTAACTTCAGAAGTGATTGAGTGATAAAATCTTTCTCAGACAAGGGAATTTGTTTCAACTAGACCAGGCTTACAAAAAGTCTTCAAGGAGGTCCTAAACATGGAATCAAAATAAGGACACTTATTGCACTTAAGCAAAAATGCACTTAAGCATACAGCCCACAGACACTATAAAACAACTACACAATCAAGTCTACATAACTACCAGCTAAAAGCACAATGACAGATTAAAATCTCACATTTCAATACTAATACTAAATGTAAATGGGCAAGCTGAATACAAAGACAGACTCAACCATCTCCTACTTTTAAGAGACCTATCTCACATGTATTAACACCCACAGGCTCAAAGTAAAGGGACAAAGAAAGAGCTACCATGCAAATGAAAAAAAAAAAAAAAAAGAGAAGGAGTCACTGTTCTTGTATCAGATAAAATAGACTAAAACAATAACAAGGACAGAGACAGATATTACATAATGATGAAGTATACAATCCAATAAGAAGACTTAACTATCCTAAACAAATATGCAGTCAACTTTGGAGAACTGAGATTCATAGAACAAGTTGTACTTGATCTATGAAAATATTTAGCCACAAGATAATAGTGGGAGACTTCAACTTCCCACTGATGGCATTAGACAGATCTTTGAGGCAGAAACCTAACAAAGAAACTCTGGGCTTAAACTTGACACTTGACCAACTAAATCTAATAGACATCTACAGAACACTCTGCCCAACAACCACAGAATAGACATTCTTCTCATTGACCATATGTTCAGTAATAAAGCAAGTCTCTACAAATTAGAAAAATCAAAATCATACCAAGCACACTTTCACACCACAATGCAATAAAAATAGAAATTAATATCAAGGACATCCCTCAAAATAAAAAAAATGACGATTAAACAATTTTGTTCTGAATAACTCTTAGGTTAACATCAAAATTAAAATTAAGGCATAAATTTTAAAAATGCTTTTCAAGTAATGAAAATAGGGAGACAACTTACCAAAATATCTGGGATATAGCTAAAGCAGTATTAAGAGGAAAGTTTATAGTGCTAAATACCTTCAATAAGAAGTTAAAAGATCTCAAACTAAAAGTCTAATTTTGCACCTACAAGTACTAGGGAAAAACAAACAAACAAACAAAAAACAGAACAAATCAACTCCAAAGCTAGCAGGAGAAAATGTAGAGTAGAACTGAACAAAGTTGAGACACAAAAATTTACACAAAAGATCAATTAAACCAAGTGTTGATTCTTTGAAAAATTAAACAAGATTGATAGACCATTAGCTAGATCAGAGATAAAAATTTGATATTACATTGTTCCCATAAAATACAAAACATCCTCAGAGAAAACTATGAACTCAATGCACACAAATTAGAAAATCTAGATGAAATGAATAAATTCCTGGAAACACACAATATCCCAAGGTTGAATTAGGACTATATTAAAACCCTGACTAGACAAATTTTTAGTTCTAAAACTGAATCAGTAATAAAAAAAAAAAAAACCTGCCAACCAAAAAAAAAAAAAAAAAAAGCCCTGGATTAGATGAATTCACAGCCTAATCCTACCAGGTGTACAAAGATCTGGTACCAATTCAACTGAAAATAATACAAAAAATTGAGGAGGAGAGACTCCTCCTTAACTCATTCTATGAATGCAGCATCTTCCTGATGCCAAAATCTGGCAGAGACACAGCAAAAAAAGAAAACTTCAGTCCAATATTCTTGATTAGTATAGATGCAAAAATCCTCAAAAAATATTAGCAAATTGAATCTAGCAGCATATCAAAAAGTTAAAACCTCATAATCAAGTAGGCGTTACTCCTGGGATGCAAGGCTATTTCAACACATGCAAATCAATATATATGATTCAACACACAACCAGAATTAAAAACAAAAACATACAATCATCTCAATATATGTAGAAAATGCCTTTTATAAAATCCAATATCCCTTCAGGATAAAAACCCTCAACAGACTAGGCATTGAAGGAATGTACCCGAAAATAATAAAAGCCATCTGTGATAAACCCACAGCCACATCATACTGAAAAAGCAAAAGCTGGAACCATTTCCCCTGAGAACTGGAATAAAACAGGGATGCCCACTCTAACCACACCAATTTAACATAGCACTAGAAGTTCTAGCTGGAGTAACCAGGCAAGAACACCAACAAAAAAAAAGGCATAAAAGTAGAAATAGAAAAAGTCAAACTATCTCTTTTCACTGATTATATGATTCTGTATGTAGAAAACCCTAAAGCTTCCACCAAAAGCCTCCTAAATGTCCAAGCTAAGAGTCAAATCAAGAACACAATCCCATTTACAGTATCCACAAAGAAAAAAATACCAAGGAATCAGCTAATGAAGGAGGTAAAAGAACTCTACAAAGAGAACTACAAAACACTCATGAAACGAATCAGAGACGACACAAACAAATGGAAATACATTGCAAGCTCATGGACAGGAAGAATCAATATTGTTAAAGTGACCATATTGTCAAAGTAATTTATGGATTCAATGCTACTCATATCAAAATACTAACATCATTCTTCATAGAATTAGAACAAAATATTCAAAAAAAAATCTAAAATTCATATGAAGTCAAAAAAGAGCCAAAATACACAAAGCAATCCTAAGCAAAAAGAACAAAGATCACTCAACTGAACTTCAAACTATAATGTAAGGCTACAGTAATCTAAAAAAGCATGATACTGTCACACACACAGATCACTGGAACAAAAGAGAAAACTCAGAAATAAAGCCATACAACTACAACCATGTGATCTTTGACAAGGCTGACCAAAAAAAAAAAAAAAGATGAGGAAAGGACTCACTATTCAATAAATAGTTCTGGGATAACTGGCTAACCATATGCAGAATATTGAAACTGTACTCACTACTTTTCACCATATGCAAAAATTAACTCAAGAGGGATGAAAGATTTAAATGTAAAATTTCATACTATAAAAATCCTGGAAGATAACCTGGGAAATAACCTTTTGACCTCAGCCTTGGAAATTAATTTTTGGATAAGTCTGCAAAAGCAATTGCAACAAAAACAAAAATTTGACAAGTGAGACCTAATTAAACTAAATTGCTTGTGCACAGCAAAATAAACTGTCAACAGTATAAACAGACAATCTTCAGAATTGGAGAAAATATTCATAAACTGCATCTGATGAAGGTTTAATACACAGACTCTATAAAGAACTTAAACCAACCATCAATCAAAAAACAACCCCATTAAAAAATGGGCCAAGGACATGAACAGGCACTTTTCAAAAGAAGACATACAAGTGGCCAACAAACAGATAAAAAATGCTAATCATTACTAATCATCAGAAATGCCAATCAAAATCACAACAAGATACCATCTGACACCAGTAAGAATGGCCATTACTAAAAAACAAAACAAAACAAAACAAAAAAACAGAGGCTGGCAAGTCTGCCAAGAAAAGAAAATGCTTATACACTGCTGATGGGAATGTAAATTATTTCAGCCACTGTGGAAAGCAGTTTGGAGATTTCCCAAAAACTTAAAACAGAGCTACCATTTGACCCAGCAATTCCATTACCAGCTATACATTCAAAAGGAAAATGAATCATTCCACCAAAAAGACACGTGCACAAGTATGTTCATCATCACACTATTCACAATAGCAAAGGCATGAAATCAACATACGTTCCCATCAATGGTGGATTGGATAAAGAAAATAAGGTACATATACACCCTGGAGTACTATGCAGCCATAAAAAAGAACAAAATCATGTTCTTTGCCACAACATGATGCAGCTAGAGGCCATAATTAAAACAGAATCAGAAAACAAAATACTACGTGTTCTCACTTTTAAGTGGGAGCTTAAACATAAACATAGGAAAGATAGGCACTGTGGACTACAAGAAGGGGGACAAGGGTGTCTGTTGAAAAACTACTTATTGAGTACTATGCTTGCTTATGTGAGTGAAGGGACCCATACCCCAAACCCCAGCATCATGCAATATACCCATGTATCAATCCTGCACATGTATCTCTGTATCTAAAATAAAACTTGAAAGTTAAAAAAAAAAAGTAATTACAGATGTTGGAAGACATACTTTCTACTTATTGCCATTTTTTTCTTAGATGTAATATTTTTGTTATTATTTTTCATCCTTTCCTCCATTTCAAGTTCTCTTTGAGTTTGTGTTTGAACTCTAAATTATGCATGGCTATATCAAATGTCCATAAGGCTTTTCAAAGAATGACCTAAGAATTTTAAGCTGAACAATTCATAGGTATCACACTGAGAAGGAAGACATTCTAGTTACAAAAAAGCTGGAACGTATCATCCTTGATCAACAACTGGGCACCCACTAGAGATTTCAGAGGCAAATGTTACTCCAAATGCTTCTGAGGGCTTAAATCTTTGTTTAAAACATTTAATATTCTTTCAAAAAACAATGCAAAAATATACAGCACTGATTAACACAAAATTCACAATATTCAGCATCCAATCACAAATACTAGGCATTTGAGAAAGCAGGAATATGTGGCCCTATCTTGGAGATAATTCAAGTAGATATTGAAAAGGTATAATGATAGAATTAGCAAGCAAGGGCTTTAAGACAACTGTTATAAATATGTTTAGTAAACTAAATGATTTAACAAAAACATTAACATAGTGAGAAAAAAATGAAGATTTATGAAACAACAGATATGGGGCTTCTAGACATAAATATACAGTATTGGATATAAAAAATATATATTGAGTGAGAACAATGGCAGATTATGAACTGAACAAAAGATGACTTAAACAGTCAACAATGAAGACTACTGAAAATAAAGCCAGAGTAAAAATATACTGAACGAAAACCATGAAAATAGTCTTAGTGATTTGTAGAACAATAACAAGTTATTTAAGTCATGTTTAATTTTAAGTCTAAGTGTAAAGAAGAGATTATATAGTGCAGAAAATACACAGTAAAAAATATTGGCCAGAATTTTCTTCTAAATGTATTTAAAAAAAACCAAAATCCTAGACATACAAAAAGCTAAAATAATTCCAAGTAGGGTAAATTGAAAGGAAATTATGCTAAAATGCATTATAGTCAAATTTCTGAAAACCAATAACAAAGAAAAATTCTTAAAAACAGCCAGAGATAAATGATACATCATAAACAAATGAAGAAATTATTTGCCACTGATTTCTTGACATAAACAATACAATTAATAAAATATTATCTTCTCTCAGCTTAATATAGTTTATAAGAAATTGTTTTATGTCAGTTTATAATCATATATTCAACAAAATATATGTGGTCAATGGATGTATTATCAAATATTATATAACTTTTTTCAAGAAAGTCATTATTTCACTTACTTGTGACTTGTTGGGGATTATATATGTAATATTTGCATGCAATGCTGAAAATGGCATTTGTGATTTCCAGTCTTTAGTGATATTGCATAATTTATTTTTTCAGTTAGACAAAGGCATAAGTATTTACGACTTTTTCTTAATGGAACATTCGGAGAATAATCAACAGATATTCAAGGCACTTTCCCTCAGGTAATTACGTAGAATTTGTTTAACCTTGGGTCAGATTAACATTTCAACACAATGAGTCTCAAGGGAGGAGAAAAAATTTAAATCCATTCGGTAGCCACCTATGAGGCCTAAAGCAGTAGAAAGCAAAGCAAATTCTCCATTGAGGTAAGCGGAAACATTGGTCTTAGAAAATTTCTAAGGGTACATCCTTAAAGCAGGTTGTCACCAAAAATCTGGAAGGGTCCCATTCTCTGCAAAACTGTTGCCTCCCTTGCAATATACTGTTCTGTCATCAATAGGACAGATGTGCAGACAGACCTGTTATACAGTCTCCAATACTCGAGGCTGGTCATTATTTATGCCACCTTAGCTTTCAAATTACTTCATGCTTCAGTCATCTATTTTAACAAAGATCTTTATCATTATTTACCTTGTGTCTTTCCTGTCTCATTCTCACTTCCTAACAATGAAGGGTATCCCTAATGGAGAAGTGGTGTGTTAGAGTGTTTATGAGAACATATTCTGAAGGCAGAATGGCTTTACTTGAATCCTTACACTACAACTTATAATGTGAAAGATCTTTGTTAAATTATCCAACTCTTTGTGCCTCAGTTTCTTTTTCTTTTAAATGGGGATGATATTACTGCCTACTTCCTAAAGTTATTGTGTAGATCATATGAGTTAATATGTGTAAAGCACTTGCAAAATTGCCTAGCATGCTATGGATTTGCTTAGGTTCTTGATATTCATTTGTGTTTCTCTATCCACTGAGCCCTTTTTTATGATTCTCTCTTAAATGTTCATGAATTGTAAGAACAGCCAGATTTTTTTTTTCCTGCAGAAGGATGTATAATTGGGGGATTATACATCCCCCCAATTGCTCACTAGAAGCAGCAATTCAATAGGCAAAAAGTTCAAATGCAGATTAAGATATTATTAACAAAATTCTCAAATTATGGCATAAAATTTTGTTTTTGGTAAACAAGTTGAATTTATAGACAGAAGTATTGACATGTATATAATGATCAGAGATTTCCTACTGCCCTATTCATTACTCCATCTATAGTTTTGAAAATCTTGTCTTGCTTCTTTCAATGATCAGCAAAAATGTAAAGTTTAATGTATAGATGTTTGTTTTACAAATTACCTGAAAATTGTGGTAAGCAGAAACAAAAGTGGTAGCTATTTTTACATAATTAAAATGACTCTGGGTCCAAAAAGTAGGTCATAGTAGCTACATCAAAACAACAACTTCAAAATATCTTGCCCCTTTTAATTATACTTTACCACAGTTTTAATGAATGTGACTGTAGCTTTGTGTGGTTTTGACCTGATGGGAAGAGGAGACTCTATTTAGAATTTGAAATAAAGGAAATACCTCTATTGCTCATACATCAAATTGTTAATTTTCTTAGAAGATAATGTTTCAAATATAATAAATATTGATTTTCTAGTTTGCACAGTTACCAAGATGAATCATGTGGTAAAACACAATCACACGGCAGTGACCAAGGTGACTGAATTTATTCTCATGGGGATTACAGACAACCCTGGGCTGCAGGCTCCACTGTTTGGACTCTTCCTCATCATATATCTGGTCACAGTGATAGGCAATCTGGGCATGGTTATCTTGACCTACTTGGACTCCAAGCTACACACCCCCATGTACTTTTTCCTTAGACATTTGTCAATCACTGATCTTGGTTACTCCACTGTCATTGCCCCGAAGATGTTAGTAAACTTCATAGTGCACAAAAACACAATTTCTTACAATTGGTATGCCACTCAGCTAGCATTCTTTGAGATTTTCATCATCTCTGAGCTCTTTATTCTATCAGCAATGGCCTATGATCGCTACGTAGCCATCTGTAAACCTCTTCTGTACGTGATCATCATGGCAGAGAAAGTACTTTGGGTGCTGGTAATTGTTCCCTATCTCTATAGCACGTTTGTGTCACTATTTCTCACAATTAAGTTATTTAAACTGTCCTTCTGTGGCTCAAACATAATCAGCTATTTTTACTGTGACTGTATCCCTCTGATGTCCATACTCTGTTCTGACACAAATGAATTAGAATTAATAATTTTGATCTTCTCAGGCTGTAATTTGCTCTTCTCCCTCTCAATTGTTCTCATATCCTACATGTTTATTCTAGTGGCCATTCTCAGAATGAACTCAAGGAAAGGGAGGTACAAAGCCTTCTCCACCTGTAGCTCTCATCTGACAGTGGTGATCATGTTCTATGGGACATTGTTATTTATTTACTTGCAACCCAAGTCCAGTCATACTTTGGCTATTGATAAAATGGCCTCAGTGTTTTATACCCTGTTGATTCCTATGCTGAATCCGTTGATCTACAGCCTAAGGAACAAAGAAGTAAAAGATGCTCTAAAGAGAACTTTAACCAATCGATTCAAAATTCCCATTTAATATCTTAATACTCAGTTGCATAGTTGGGTACAATAATCTGTTTAGTACTCTGTCAAACCAATTATAACATAAAAAAAGTAGAAATACTCTATCTGCTTAGATTTTCCTCTTTTTCTGGACAAAACATGTCCTCTTAGAGCAACCTGTACTCTTTGCCACCTCAATGGAATAAATAAATACTATATTCAGGTAATATATGTCCTAAGCAATTTTCGAAATCATACTGGAACCGCTACTATTTATAAATAAGGCAAATTATGTCAAACTTAGAGTTGCAGAGTTAAAATGAAAAGCTTATATAGTTCAAACAGAGTAAAAATAACCGGAAAATTAGTAATAGATATTTCCCAGCAGGCACTAGGTATTAAATGTAAATAAGATTGAACCATAGAGAACATGTAGGCTAGATAGGAAGCAAGAAAGTAAGTAAATATGTGATTATAACATAACATGAAAAGGCTGTTTATTTAGCCTGACCAACTTGGTGAAACCCCGTCTCTACTGAAAATACAAAAATTAGCCAGGCACAGTAGCATTCACCTATAGTCCCAGCTATTCGGGAGACTGAGACAGGAGAATTGCTTGAACCCGGGAGGCGGAGGTTGCAGTGAGCTGAGATCACGCCACTGCACTCTCCAGCCTGGGCGACAGAGCCTGACTCCATCTCAAAAAAAAAAAAAAAAGAAAAGAAAGAAAAGAAAAGGCTGTGTAAACATTAAAGCTAAGAACACAATAAAGTATGCTATCTCAGAATGAGGTTTTTCAATCAGATGAAGTTAGTATTGTATATCTTAGGGATAAAGTAGGTTTTTGATTAGGAATGATGAGAAAAATATTGGATTATTCTAGATCCTCCTTGACAGATTCTAGCACTATTGCAAACACTGGTTTATGAGAACTTCCTGATAAGCTGATTTAGAATTGGCAACCTGAAGATAAATAAGTTATCTCGTCATCTACTGTAATGGTAGCAATATAGAATTTTGAAAAATGTATGGAGATAATAACACAGATTAAAAAAACTTACACACTCGAGGGTTAGTTTCATCTTCATTCCTGTCTTCTTTGTCTCCTTCATGAGCCTGTCTACACAGTGGCATGGAATGTATTCTACCATAATGCTGCATCTACATTGTGTACTCTCACTCAGCAAATAAATTCCTTACATCTTGGTATTCTTCCATTGTTTCGACGGGCCTCTATTTTTTTCGATTTTAAAAATATATACACTTTTCTAATTGTGTCTGTTCCAATTTAATCTAGTGTTCAAAGTAAAAATTGTGAGGAATTGAATCAGAAAATGAACCAAAGTGTCTTTATCCAGATCCATTTCTTTCATTTTTTCCTCTTCTTTCACTTATGATGTATTTTACTTCATCTAAACATAAACTGAACATAATAACAGTAATACAAAATTGCATTACCCAATCATATCAAATTTGTTTACTTCTGATTTTGATAACATCTGATCCTGCTCATAACCATATTGATTTTTAGGAATCAATTTTACATTTCCACTGTAACATTTTTATTTTTTGAGACTAAGTCTCGCTCTGTAGAGCAGGCTGGAGTGCAGTGGTGCGATCTCAGCTCACTGCAACCTCCGCCTCCCGGGTTCAAGCTATTCTCCTGCCTCATCCTCCCGAGTAGCTGGGACTACAGGTGCACACTGCCACGCCCAGCTAATTTTTTGTATTTTAGTAGAGACCAAGTTTCACCGTGTTGCCCAGGCTGGTTGTGAACTCCTTAGCTCAGGCAATCCACCCACCTTGGCCTCCCAAAGTGTTGAGATTACAGGTGTGAACAACTGTGCCCGGCCTCATAGTAGAATTTTATATTATAATGCACAAATATAACTCTTTGGTTTTGTATATTTTCCCTTCCCAAATTCTACAATTTCTATCCCTTTCTATAATCCACAACTAAAATTAAATAATATTAATAGCATTCTGTAATACCATCCACACAAGAAGGGCTTTTAAAAAATCATGCTATATTATGTTCCCTGCAATTTTTTTTTTACTTTAGAATTCATCAGCAGAATTTTTCTTGACCAATAAAAATTCTTTTTAAAAAATTTTTAATATCAGCATACAACTCTGGAAAATAGACAAATCACGTTGTACTTAGCCATTCCTTGATTGATGAACTTTGGTTGTTGACAGTTTAAGTTATTTAAACTGCCACCTAAAACATATGCTGTAATAAATATTTTATGATTATAAAATAAAGTACTGGTAATTTCTATTTCTCAAATAAATGTATATGGTTATTCCACATTCTAATAATGTGTTGTTGGGTAAATATTTTGCATACATAAATTATAATTTTAAAATATTTTAATGAGAATAAATGCCATGCAATGTTATTTTTTTCTAAGTGGTGTTTCCTCTTTTGTTCATTTTTTTAATGAAATACTAACGTTTTAAGAATGAAGTACTAACATTTTTATGAATACTAACATTTACTAATATAATTGTGTGATTAAAAAATGCAGAATGACAATAATAGGTGTCTAAAATCAGCTATTTGATGTCATAGATAAAATATAGATGGTTTTCAAACATTACATTCTTTTCTACAAAAAGTTTATAATATTCCAGACTTAGTTGGACACCGTTGTTTTCCCTAATAACCACAAAACACACATTCTGCTTACAATTATAATCATGAGTAGTTGAAAAATAATGCTGCCAACCTATATAAAATTCCTTTAGTATTTATACATTCTCAAACTTCTTCCCAGAGTTAAAACCTTGAGCTTTATTTGATTTATTATCATTCCATGTCTAATTAATGACTTGGTACACCAAAAGCTTTTACCAAGGATATTTTAATATATCTGTACTTACTAATGTTTACATGACAAGAGTTGAAAGGTCCTAATGACTGGATTGTATCTCAGGATACATACAATTATTATTTTTTTAATATATGTACACAGTTTTATATATAATGCAGCATCAAATATGGGGCATTTTCTCCTATTTTACACACTCAGATATGTTTAAAACACTTCTTAAGGCTACAAAACAGAACATAGAAAAACAAATAAGAATATCTTCAACACTTACAAAAAGTGATATGATAAAGAATATAAAGTACTAGTTTTCTTTCAACACTTCAAACATACGTATATATACTTTTTTTACAAATAACATCACAAATGATCACATATTCACATGCTTTTAAATATTATTTATACTCAATTTGAGGCTATTATCATTTTTGATACATAAAATTTTTGTAGCTCTGAAACAATGCAAAATTTTTAATCCATTTCAGTAAGTAAGTAATTTTAATAACTACCACCAAAGGTGACTGTTTTAAGAGTGGACAGGTGTAGACCTACCCTCATGGCATAAAAGTAAGGTTCCCCATATCCGGCTTTAGATCTGCTTCTATATGACACAGAAAAAATTCAGGATAGCCAAAATAATCTTGAGAAACAACAAAGTTAGAGCACTCACAATAGCTACTCCATGGCCTCCTATAAACCTCCAGTACTGGAGATAATGCAGCACTTTATAAACATAGATAAATAGATTCATGGTACAGAATAGAGCCCAAAACACATGTACATATGGATGTTTGATTGATTATCTACGAAAAAGCCCACTTAATTTATATGGGACCTTAGACACATATAAATATCACCTACAAGGCTGTAACTAAAAGGCAATCAAACAAAAATAGGATAAAATATATTTCATATAGTAAGTATTAATGGTCAATATGCACATGATAAAGAAGCCCAACATCCTCAGCTATCGAGGAAATGGAATTACAGTAACAATGGGATACTATTTTCCATTAACTAGTTTGAGTAAAATTTAAAATATTTCATTACTAAGGAGTGAGTGTCAACTTGATCAAGAGTATTAGCTCCTGAAATTATCTTACTTGCTGATTACCATGTACAATGGTTCTTCACTTTGGAGAACAGTGTGGTGGTTTATAAATAAGGTTAAATGCATTACTACCACATGTTTCCAGAGTTCACCTTCTGGATGTTTATCAAAGGGGAATGAAAACATGTCTAAAAAATGTGTACATTCGTGTTATTGATAGCTCTATTCAAAATAGTATAAAATGGAAATATTTCAACTGTTTGTAAACAAAAATGTACATTGTGCTATATTCCTAAAATAGAATACTACTCAGCAATAAAACGGAATGAGCTATTGCTATATACAGGAGCACAGATGAATTTCAATAGCATTAACCAGACACAACCTACAATATTATTCCTTTAACATGAAGTTCTAGAACAGGTAAACTAATATATGGTGATAAAAACCATAGCAATTTCGAGCATGTGAATTCCAATGAACTAAGGTTTTGCTACCAATGTCAGCCATTTACTCTCCCACTAATTGGGATTACTTTTTAAAAGAGGTCTTTTGCCCTGACATACAAGCTTTAGAAAATCTTAGAAGAGGGGTGGTTGCATGTCTTAATGCTGGGAAGCAGCAACTTTGGGTGGAACTTACTGAAATGGATTAAAAATTTTGCATTGTTTCAGAGCTACAAAAATTTTATGTATCAAAAATAATAATAGCCTCAAAATGAGTATAAATAATATGTAAATCATGTGAATATGTGATCATTTGTGATGTTATTTGTAAAAAAATAGTATATATACATAGTTTGAAGTGTTGAAAGAAAACTAGTACTTTATATTCTTTATCATATCACTTTTTGTAAGTGTTGAATGTATTCTTATTTGTTTTTCTATGTTCTGTTTTGTAGCCTTAAGAAGTGTTTTAAACATATCTGAGTGTGTAAAATAGGAGAAAATGCCCCATATTTGATGCTGCGTTGTATATAAAACTGTGTACATATATTAAAAAAATAATAACAATTGTATCCTGAGATATAATATGGAGGAATTTACTGCAAAGAGACATTGGGGAACATTTCGGGATTATTAAAATACATTATTTAAATGTTAACTCTATATAGTTGGCATTTTATTGTATGTAAATTATTGAACTTTTAACATAAACCAATATAATATGGCCCTTTTATTTATTTTTCTAAGTTTATTGAGTTATAATAGGCACAACAAATTGTATATATGTAAGGTGTACAACATGACAATTTTTTATTTTGTTTTATTTATTTATTTATTTATTTATTTATTTATTTATTTATTTATTTATTGTAGACATGGGCGTCTTGCTATGTTGACCAGGCTAGTCTTGAACTCCTGGGCTCAAGCCATCCTCCTGCCTCAGGCTCCCAAAGTGCTGAGATTACAGGCGTGAGCCACTGCACTTGGCATCGTGATGTTTTCATAAACATATATATTATGAAATTATTACCAAGATGAAGCTAATTTACATATCTATTATCTCATGTAGTTAAGTTTTGTGTGTGTGGTAAGAACATTTAAGACCTACTGTGTCAGCAATTTTCAAGTACACAATACAGTCTTGTTAACTACAATCACCATGCTGGACATTAGATCTCCAGAACTTATTTATCCTCCATAATTTACATTTTACACTTAACTTACATAATTTACATTACACACTTACATTTAACATACTACATTACATAACTTACACTTTATACTCTTTGATCAACATCTCCAAGTGGCTGCTACTCCTCATCCCCAGCAACCACTTCTACTGTCTGCTTCTATGAGTTTGATTGTTTTAGATTCCACATAAAAGTGTGACCATAAAGTAAAACATTACCCTTTTAATACTATCTTTAGTATTAAGCCTCTCAGAAGCTTTCCTCAAATTTCTATATAATTTACATAAATAAAATTTGTAAAGAATATATGATTATATACTAAACATATCCCAGAGTTTACTTAACAAATTTCTAAACTGTGTAGTTTTCAGTATTTTATCTCACTGAAAAAATAATCTTATGAAGACTTTATTTATATATTTAAGTAACTCATATTACTTCTGTAGAACAGATTTCCAGAAGCGGGTTTTCCTCCCAATGAAGATTCCATCTTTTCAGCTGTTTTGGGCCTAACATAAGAGGTTTAGAATAATTATGTTCCTCTGTTCATGACAAATTTTCATTATTCAGCCAGCAAAACCTCTTTCTTATTCATGTTTTATTCTTTCTTGTTATGGACTGGATGGTCTATCTCAAAATTCATACGTTAAAGCCTTAATCACTAGTGCCTCAGAATGTGACTGTATTTGGACACAGAGCCTTTAAAAAGGCAATTAATTTAATTAGGGTCATTTAGCTGGGTCCTAATTCAATACAACTGGCATCCTGATAAGAAGAGAGATTAGGACAGAGAGAAGGAGATATACCAGGCACATAAACAGACTGAGGGACAACTATGTGAGGACACAGTGAAAAGGTGGCCCTCTGCAAGCCCAGGTGAGGGCCCCAGAAAAAACCAAACCTGCTGAGACCTTGAGCTTGAACTTCTATCCTTCAGTACTGTGAGAAAACAAATTTCCACTGTTTAAGCCACTCAGTCTGTGGTATTTTGTTATGATAGTCTTCAGTGTACCTTTCATCTTAATTTCTTTACCCAGTCCCAACCACCACCATCGGGAAACTGCCACAAAATAACTCAATGTAAATCTGTTTGTTTTCTTGTGCTCTTACAAAGCATACAATAGTTTTCTATGTCATGGATTTATACTGTACATAAATGTCATCATGCTGTATAACTCCATTTTCTGCTTTAATTTAAGGCCTGTAGAAGCAGATCTTTGGATCTACAAAGGGGACTTAATTCCTAAATATGATAATTTCCCCAAGGCATATTCCTTTCTAAACAATTCCATTAGTCATTACATGGATAAAAATGCATACATGCTAAATGTTTAGTGTTTCAAAAAATGCCTTTGTTCATCAGGGAATTTATGTTTTATACTTTGAAATAAGAGTTAAAGGGAGACAACACAGATAGTGACATAATAAATATATTATTTATAGATAACAGGTTTTGTAAAGCTGTGATACCATCAGCTTCTAGCTCTTACATATCTCATCTTGCAATAATGAATCTCCGAATGGAAGTGAATTACTTTAAAAGATGCAGTTTAACCCCCATGTCCCTTAGCTGTAATGAACTTGAACTCACTTCAATAATACAAAATAAACACAGACTACCAGAAAGACTCATGGGGTGTCTGATTGACTTTCTAGAGGGAGACCTTGTTAAGAAACCGGTCCCAGGAGGCACCTTCCCCAAAGACATGAAAGGCAATGTGTAGATACTAGAGTCACCTGTGCTTCAGAGTTAAGGTCTCAAAGGCTTTTAAAGCCCCACCAACTCTCACTGCCAGTCATGTATAGACTCTAAGAACCTGAAGCAGATTCTCCTCTAGAGGTGGGTGGAAAAGACTTACCTTATTTTTGTATAATGACCATAATGACCTTTTAAAGATCAAAACCATACTTAAAATGAGCCAAGGTATGGTTTTGGATCTTTTAAAGCTCATTATACAGAAATATGATAAGATAAATAAGTTTGTTTTTCAGATTTATAACTGTTTTTAGGAATAGAGGGCATCAAATATGATCAAGCTATTTATGTCTCCAAAATAGAAATGGCATCATTATGTCTCATGTACTTAAAAAATTATGTCACTACTGAAACTAGGAATTGCTGCTCATAGAGACTGTTTATATCATGGTTGTATTATTGCAATATTATTTACAATAAAAATTGTATATTGTACAGGATAGCCTATGAGAGAAAACTGGATAGACATCTACCCAAAGTCAAAATGATGCCCCTTTTTGAGAATACAAGTTTAGAATGCAAGTATTCTCAGAAAAATTATCCATTCAATGTGGTAATGTACAAGCAAATATATATAGAAGCATAATATGTAATCCACTGCAATAATGGAAAGTGTTTAGTTAAATCATCTATCTTATCATAAAATAAATCTGTTAGCATTTTACTTCAGAAGAAATAGCAAAGAAGAACTTCCATTAGACATCAAAACAAAGGACTTCAATTTGCAGGAAGACATTTCCAAAAGCAGGAGCAAGACTTTAAGATACACTATCCAACCCTAGATTCCTGGTGTAATGGGACAAAATCTCTATAACATTATCAAGAGGAATATAGAAAAAAACTCATTGCCTGGGTTGCTCTTAGTTCAACTAACCTAAAATAGCATGTTCAAAAGTAAGTTTACTTTCTTTTCATTCTCCCTCAGATTGTATAACAAAAGAAAACCCTAAGTACAATGAAAGTATTTCAAAAACACACTTTTTAAAAGGCTATTATTGTTGACTAAAACTAGTAATAGGGAATAAATATATATATATATATTTAAATTAAAGTCTATTTTTGTTACCCATTAGCCGTAAAACACTGTGCTAATTTAAAGACAACTCATCAAGGACCAGGCATGCTGGCTTACTACTGTAATCCCAGCACTTTGGGAGGCCGAGGCGGGTGCATTACCTGAGGTCAGGAATTTGAGACCAACCTGGTCAACACCCCGTCTCTACTAAAAATACAAAAATTAGCTGGATATGGTGGCGCCCGCCTGTAATCCCAGCTACTAGGGAGGCTGAGGCAGGAGAATCACTTGAACCCAGGAGGCGGAGGTTGCAGTGAGCCGAGACCGTGCCATTGCACTCCAGCCTGGGTGAAACAGGGAGACTCAGTCTCAAAAACAAACAAACAAACAAACAAAAAACTCCAACCTGCCTGGGTGACAGAGTGAGACTCCATCTCAAAAAAACAAACAAACAAAAGCTCATCTATCTTTCTACGCTCTCAATTCATTTGCATTTTTGAAAAGATTGAACATGCCTAGAGAGTAATCAGAAATGACATTTTTAAATACTACAAAATTAAAGTTAATTAGCCTCATTTGATGCTACCCTCATTTCTGGTTTTTAAATGTATGGAGCCACTGCTACAAATGGTGGACAAACTTTGCAGAGAAGATTCTACCTCTCACTAAAAACAAAGCAATCTCAGAAGAATCAATAACAGTGAAGACATGGAAGGTCAGAAATAAAAATATGCCTTAAAGGCATGTTTTGTAGGGTGAATGACCAGAAAAGTCATGTGAATCTGATGATAAATGAGGTAAAAGCATATTTCAATTATTCTAATGAATACCTTGGATAACACAACCTAATTGCACAAAAATCCTTAATGACTGGCATTCTTGCCAGTACAACCATAAAGAATCATAACATGGTGAACCAAGAAGGATACAATAATTAATGAAAGTGTTATAGAAGGCTTGCTCTAAGGAAGTAGAAGAGGGAGGTGCATAGGATGGGAAAGTATTCATAGAAATTAGCAAATAGTGCAATCTTGAGATTTAAAAGAGAAAATCATAGGATGAATATGACTTTTGTGATTAAAAATCACTTTTTAATAATTAATTATTGAATTTTCAAATAAATCATAAAGCCAGTACAGCACCAGGTTTCAGCAGAAACAGAGTATCTGATACAATCTGTAAGCATTTACATTGGCTGATAGTTGGCATGTTTGCTAAGGGGGATAACAAATAGACTGAAAGCTACAGACAGAATATTAAAATTGGAAACCCAGGGAAGGCAAGGTAAGAAAAGGGCATGGGAGGGGACACAGAAGCACAACTACCTGTTACGTAGTGTTTGGAAATAAAAGGAAAACTAGAGTCTCAAAAATAGGATTGATCTTCAGTGGGAAATGATGCAAACTGAATGAAGAACAAGTTAGGAATTTTGATTATAAATTTTTATAAAATCTTGACATATGAAAAAAATACTTTATCATTATCTAGATTGATGTTTCTCAAGCCTAACCACATCAATATCCTCCAGACTTAAATATTAGCTTGCTTAAATTATTATTTAAATGTTTCATAAGCACATAAAGCTTAATATGTTCAAAATATCACTTTGCTTACTCCATCTTAAAACATATTGTCTCATATTCAAAAATGGCACAGCTGTTAGTTACCCCAGTCAAAATAAATCCCCCATCTGTCATTCTCTCATATATAAGTTATATAACTTATTATATAAATTACATTGAGGAGATCATCTTGTTTCTGCTCCTGTCAATGTTACCATGTTTTGATATTGAGTGTCTCCATTTTAGCTGAAGCCCACGTTATCTTATACCAGAAATCCCATATCAACCTCTAAACTCATTTTTTGTGGTTATTTTAAAATTTCCATTCCTGCCCTGCCTCGAGCTTTTTCAATCCTATAATTCATTATCTTTACAACAAGAGTAATCTTTTTAAAACTTAAAGCCAATAATGTTTTTCACCTATCTTAAAATTTTGTCATGGCTTACAATTCAAGGCCTGCAGGTCTCTGTCAAGCCGTGGATGCGGGCCTCTCTTCAGCAGGACGGAGTTTGTTAAAGTTGTTAAGAGTAAGGCCTACTTTAAGAGATATACCAAGTGAAATTTAGAAGACGACGAGAGGGTAAAACTGATTACTATGCTCGGAAACGCTTGGTGATACAGGATAAAAATAAATACAACACACCCAAATACTGGATGATAGTTCATGTAATAAACAGATATATCATTTGTCAGATTGCTTATGGCTGTATAGAGGGGAATGTGATAGTCCGCGCGGCACATGCACACGAACTGCCAAAATATGGTGTGAAGGTTGGCCTGACAAATTATGCTGCAGCCTATTGTACTTGCCTGCTGCTGGCCTGCAGGCTTCTCAATAGGTTTGGCATGGACAAGATCTATGAAGGCCAAGTGGAGGCGACTAGTGATGAATACAATGTGGAAAGCATTGATGGTCAGCCAGGTGCCTTTACCTGCTATTTGGGTGCAGGCCTTGCCAGAACTACCACTGGCAATAAAGTTTTTGGCACCCTGAAGGAAGCTGCGGTTGGAGGCTTGTCTATCCCTCACAGTACCAAACAATTCCCTGATTATGATTCTGAAAGCAAGGGATTTAATGCAGAAGTACACCGGAAGGACATCATGGGCCAGAATGTTGCAGCTTAGTTGCTAGCGCTACTTAATGGAAGAAGATGAAGATGCTTACAAGAAACAGTTCTCTCAATATATAAAGAACAGCATAACTCCAGACATGATGGAGGAGACGTATAAGAAAGCTCATGCTGCTATAGGAGAAAATCCAGTTTATGAAAAGAAGCCCAAGACAGAAGTTATGAAGAAGAGGCAGAACCATCCCAGAATGTCCCTTGCTCAGAAGAAAGATTGGGTAGCTCGAAAGAAGGCAAGCTTCCTCAGAGCTCAGGAGCAGGATGCTGAAAGCTAAACCAAACAATTTTCTATGAGGATTTTTCAGATAAAGACAATAAACTTATGAACAGCAACTAAAAAAAATTAAGAAATAAATAAAATTCAAATAATCACTGTGACCTAATTCTTCCTTATTATAATCTATTCACACTGTCCTCCATTAAGACCCCCTACCCCCTCAAAAACTAAATGCTTTAACTTATTTTCTACCTCATACCAGTATTTTCAGCATATACATTCTCCACTAGAATCCTTGAATGTTCTTCCTATGATTCATTAAACATCTGGTTCTTTCAGATCCTTTAGGTCTCAATACAGATGTCACCTTCTCAAGAAGGGCTTCCCATCTTAAAATAAAAGTTGAAGAAAAAGAAATTAAAACTAAAAAGAAACTGCTAAAATTAAAAAAGACCTTCCCATAACATACCATGTGAAAATATTCTCCCAAGTTGTCATAATGTATCTTCATATTTAATTTCCTTATTTATTATTGAAATGTGCAATAATCTTGTTTCTACATTTCTTTACCAGATTTTTGTATGTTTCCTTTCATTGGAATAGTAGGTCCATAAAACAAGGGATAACTAGTTTATGTGAAGTTTGCACGTTACCAGAGTAAGAATTCAATAAACAGGTGGTAAATAAATAAATAAGAAGATTATTTTGAAAAACAAGAAAAAGTGTGATGTTTGGTTTGAGAATCAAACTGAGATCGGATATTAACAATGTTAGGAATTATTTTGGTTCATTTCATTCTTTTTTCACACTGCAGGATAGTTTTCTATTTTTCTTTTCATTGTATCTTTTTTTTTACAAGGAGACAAAATTTAAACAACGCTGGGATTTTAAAATTCAGGCATTTTAAATGATATAGTGTTAACTCTCTGTAACTTAACTCCACATTTTTAAATAAGTGACTATGACAGGATTTCTTTGGGCCAGGTGTCCACAACAGGGGAACTATAAATTGTAGCAGAGACTCCAGTTGGCTTAGTTAGGGGTAGAAGATTATCCTAAATATAAAGAACTCAAGGGAAATATTTAGCCATATTAAAATAGCATTTAAATTCTATGTCAAATATGAGCATTGTAGTTATCACAGAAAGTCTATAAAATAACAATATTTACTCATTACAGTGATAAAAATATAAAAATATAAAAAAGATGAATAAAAATCAACTGAAAGAGCAGATATACTTTATAAGTGGTAAAAATAATATCTAATTATATAAATAAAAATTGTGATTAAACATAAAATACAAAGTGAAAACTATGAGGAGCTGTAAAAACTTGTGAAACAGAACCAACAAAAAGACATGAGAAAGAAGGAACAGAAAGTAGTATCCAGTAAAGCATAATGCCAAGAAATTACAAAACTAATACAATTTTCACCAATATTATACATTGAAAGCTAAAAAAAATTGTCACCTGAAAAATAAATGTGAGGGCATATCTCCATGTATTTTAGTCAGAGTTAATTTAAAAAAGAGAGAAAAAGCAAACAGACATGGATGGTAAAATGTATGAGTTAAATGTGCATAATACACATTATACAAGGATGAAATGAATAAAGAAAATGGGTTAGGATAGTACCTAGAATCACCCATTCCTAAGAAAAAGCAAGAAGTCTCAAATTTAGAAATTGGATTATTTGCAGACATAAAATGACCTCAAGCCTTTCTCATGCCTAATGCAAATGATATAAAATATTAATTGTGGCTTCAAATGTTTGCAAACTAAGAATGTACTCATAATTCAATAAGACTGTGAGGAAGTAAATCCTCAAAATGTTTCATGATGCTGGATCATCTATTTAATTTACTATACGTTTCCATACTTGATCTTTCTGTCTCTGAAATAATTACCAAGTTTACTTATTAGACCTAGAAGCTTGAGTTTAATAACTGAGTTAGAGTAATAAACAATTCAAAGAAATGTTATCAGGGAATTGTCCTAGCCATATAAGGGCAGTCCTGCAAATAATTCTTTAAAGTTTTTAACCTCTCTTTTCCCCCAAACAGATGAATTTCCAAACTCTGACATGGCTCCTGAAAATTTCACCAGAGTCACTGAGTTTATTCTTACAGGTGTCTCTAGCTGTCCAGAGCTCCAGATTCCCCTCTTCCTGGTCTTTCTGGTGCTCTATGGGCTGACCATGGCAGGGAACCTGGGCATCATCACCCTCACCAGTGTTGACTCTCGACTTCAAACCCCCATGTACTTTTTCCTGCAACATCTGGCTCTCATTAATCTTGGTAACTCTACTGTCATTGCCCCTAAAATGCTGATTAACTTTTTAGTAAAGAAGAAAACTACCTCATTCTATGAATGTGCCACCCAACTGGGAGGGTTCTTGTTCTTTATTGTATCGGAGGTAATCATGCTGGCTTTGATGGCCTATGACCGCTATGTGGCTATTTGTAACCCTCTGCTGTACATGGTGGTGGTGTCTCGGCGGCTCTGCCTCCTGCTGGTCTCCCTCACATACCTCTATGGCTTTTCTACAGCTATTGTGGTTTCATCTTATGTATTCTCTGTGTCTTATTGCTCTTCTAATATAATCAATCATTTTTACTGTGATAATGTTCCTCTGTTAGCATTATCTTGCTCTGATACTTACTTACCAGAAACAGTTGTCTTTATATCTGCAGCAACAAATGTGGTTGGTTCCTTGATTATAGTTCTAGTATCTTATTTCAATATTGTTTTGTCTATTTTAAAAATATGTTCATCAGAAGGAAGGAAAAAAGCCTTTTCTACCTGTGCTTCACATATGATGGCAGTCACAATTTTTTATGGGACATTGCTATTCATGTATGTGCAGCCCCGAAGTAACCATTCACTGGATACTGATGATAAGATGGCTTCTGTGTTTTACACGTTGGTAATTCCTATGCTGAATCCCTTGATCTACAGCCTGAGGAATAAGGATGTGAAGACTGCTCTACAGAGATTCATGACAAATCTGTGCTATTCCTTTAAAACAATGTAATTTTAAACAGTACAGGTAAATGAGGAGAGAGTTAATATAAGCTGCCATTATGTAAAAGAAAATGTAGGAAAAAGAAAAGGTAGGTAGCCGAGTTACAGGTTCGTAAGCAATCATAAGAATTACAACAAGATACAATTTAGGGAGCTTTGAATTAAAAAATAAACTGAAACCCTTTGAGTTGTGAGGTTAAGTTAGAAAAAAAAAATGTTATTTACCAATTCTGCCTGGGATTAAGCAGGTAGACAGTTTGAAATAAAAATGGTTTCCAGCAGTTAGAAAAAAAAATTAAAAAAAGTTAAATAAGTTTGAATGAGGCAAAATATTACGATGAGAGAAGTAAAATTGACTTTCTTATTCTTTGTCTTCTTTCACTGCCCTCCAGGTATAGTTGGGTATAGTCAATCAATTCATCTTGAAAAACTGAAATTTGATTAAAAGATCCTTTTCTTCATCTAAGTTATCAAAATTAAACTAACAATCATATTTAAAATAAAATTTTCTAATGATTTCTTAATTTTGCTCTAAGAATGAAATGAATACTATCAATGAATTTATATTTTGAATGCTAACCAGAATAAGATTAAAATAATTTTATTCCACTTAATATAATTTATACGATTTTTTAATGAGAGACAGAGTATCATATTTAATATGCTTTCAGTCTGGATTTGATTTATAAACTCCACGGATTCTGTACAAATGTCCCTTTCTCCTTACTCTAAGTATTATTCTTCTTTAGTGTACAAAATGAATGCCTTGTGTTATGATATTATTATACATTGAGTGAAACATATTAATGAAAGTTTCTTACATAATTGGAAATAAAAAATTCATTTTATAAAAATTTTTTTCTGCTTTCTGATAACTCTTGTTCACTGAGCGTACATTTAAATTTCTTGCACAGCTTTGCATATGAGGGGACACAGCTAAATTTCAGAATTATCAAATCAGAATCATAAGATAAAGGTCAATAAATTTATATGTTAATAAGCTTCATGGGGAATTTTTGACATAGAACCCTTAAGAATGAATCTTGGGGCAGTGGCTCATGCCTGTAATCACAGCACTTTGGGAGCCTAGGCAGGCAGATCATTTGAGGTCAGGCATTTGAGAACAGCCTGACCAACATGATGAAACCTCATCTCTACAAAAAATACAAAATTAGCAAGGTACGGTGGTACATTCCTGTAATCTCAGCTACTCAGGAGGCTGAGTCAGGAGAATTGCTGGAACACGGGAGGTGAAATTTGCAGTGAGCCAAGATCTTGCCACTGCACTCCATCCTGGGAGACAGAGCAAGACACTGTATTAAAAAAAAAAAAGAAAAAAGAAAAGAATGAATATACATATACTGGACAAGATATATTACATTCTGTGTGTATGTTCACCTTATTTATAAGGGTGTTTCAGTGTAGAAGAGTTTCTTCAATTATAGGGAGTAAATCTTAAGTCATGATAATTATGATACATCAAAAGAAATGTAGGAGAGTGGAGCTAGATGTTTGAATAGGATTCTCCAGGGATCACTCCCCAGAGAACCATCAATTTGAACAAATATCCATGCACAAAAATATCTTCACAAGAGCTAAGGAAACCAGGTGGAGTTTGCAGCACCTGATTAGAGCATAGTAATAAGAAAAGCTGCATTGAGGAGAGTAAGAAGAGCAACTTTACATCACCCACATCACCTCTCCTCCAAACCCAGGAAACACATCATAGACAGACACACCATTTGCTTTGTAAAAAGAAAATAAAATGAGCATAGGATATGTTTTGGTCCCCAACACTGGGACTACTATAGTAAAATCTAGCACCTGGCAGCCCCTCATGGCCCCTGAATCTGGGCTGGTAACTCCTGACGGAGGTCAGAGCCTCCTGCAGACTGAGTCTCCTGGCCTGCCCTGGTGCCAGGCACGAACCTATAGGCACGGCAAAATGTACCTGATTTCTTGCCTTACTGATGGCTGACTACATTGGTCTTGGGCTCTGGGCAAATCAGGCCTTAGTGGCAGTAGACTTTGAGTATACTCCAGTGCTGCACCAGCCTCAACAGTCACCAGGATTCCAGCCCCAAGATGCACTGACCACAGCAGTCTTGGGTTTAGGGTACCACCTAGCACTGCAACAGCTGCCGTGGTCACAGGATTAAGGACAATGCCACCCAACCTGCCCAAAAATTATAAGCAAGCTTACAGTTTAAGAGTGTTCCCAGAAAAGAATTTCCCAGACTGTGAAGACCAAAATAAATAATAAAATGCCTCCCATCAAAACAAAGCCCAGGACCCGATGTCTTCACTGCCTAATTTTACCAAACATTAAAAAGCAAACTAATAGCAATTCTGAAACTCTTCCAAAAGTTTAAAGATGAGGGAATATTTCCAAACTTATTTTACAAGGCCAGCATTATTACCCTGATATCAAAACCAGAAAAAAAAAAACACAAGAAAAAAAGGAAACTACAGGACACTATCCTTGAGAAACATACATGCAAAAATTCTCAACAAAATACTAGCAGACTGAATTCAATAGCATACTAAAAAGATAATTTACTATGATCAGTGGAATTATTCCAGGAATGCAAAGATGGTTCAACATATGCAACTCAATAAATGTGATACATCACATTACCAGAGAGAAGAATGAAATCATATGATCGATTCAACATAAACAGAAAACACATCTGACAAAATTCAATATCCTTTCATGATAAAACTCTAAACATATTAGTATAAAAGAAATGTAACTGAACACAATAAGACTAATACATGGTGAGTCCACAGCTACTATCAAATGCCTAGCAAATACTAGATCTTATTCATTCTTTCTATTTTTTGTACCCATTAACTATCCTCACTTCCCCCCTTATCCCCCTACTACCCTTCCCAGTCTTTAGTAATCATCCTTCTATTCTCTGTCTCCAGGAGTTCAATTATTTTCATTTTTAGCTCCCATAATTAAGTGAGTACATGCAAAGTTTGTTTTTCTGTGCCTGGCTTATTTCCCTTAGCATAGTGATCTCCAATTCCATTCATGTTGTTGCAAATGACAGGACCTCATTACTTTTTACAGAGAGACAGTACTTCCTTCATTAAATACAATAACTATCAATTTAAAAAATTATCATTTAACCTAATGTGATGATAAATTAATGAAATATCATTCTTATGTGTTCATGTAACCACATTGGACATTTCTAGGGAAGGAGAAAAATTATCCTTTGAAATAAATTTACAAAAAAATGTTTGGACCTCTGCACAAGGTGTGTACCTGGTGCTATGAAGAATGTCTCAGAAAATGCTTGATTTTATTTAGACCCTGAAGTAAAGAGTGAATGTTAAACCACTCTTTGTGTAATGATAAAGTTGTATCTATGTTCCTTTCAAACAATTTGTGTTGAAGAAACTAACAGTACAATGAGTATAACTTTTTTGGGAAGAAATTTCTGAATATCTTTCTTTATTTTACTTTATTTTAGACAGGATCTTGCTCTGTCACCCAGGCTGTAGTGCAATGGTGTGATCATAGCTCACTGTAACTTCAAATTCCTGCACTCAAGAGATCCTCCCGCCTCACCTCCCAAATAGGATGGCAGATATGCACCACCTACCATGGTTTTTTTTTTTTTTTTTTTTGGTAGAGACGGGGACTCACTATGTTGCCCAGGCTGGTCTCAAACTCCTGGTCTCAAGCAATCCTCCCACTTCAGTCTCCCAAAGTGCTGGGATTACAGGCGTTAGCCGTCATGCCCAGCCTGAATATTTTTCTTAATCTTTAGAAGTTTCTTCATAAAAGCATTGAGTAGATATTTTCCAATCCTGTCTGTTTTATGCTTCCTCTCTCTTGTGAATCAGGGTACATGGGTTCCATCTATTACTTTCCTTTATTGCTCTCCTTAAAAAAACATGTAAAAAATAACAAGATAATGCCTACAGCAATGAAATCATACACTGTGAATTTACCATAATATCTGTGAATATTTAAACACCACTATTACTTTTTTAAATAGAAAAAGGTGGTTGTGTAAAATAATTATTTATTAAAGGAAATGAGAAGACTTGCTTGAAAGGAGGGATGAAAGGGTGTAGTTACATAGGTAAGACACATGGAATTATTTCCTGTAGTCAAACTATTCAGTATGATATAATACCGTAATGGTAGATAAATGACACCATCCCTTTTTCAAATACTCATAGAGGTATACAGAACAGAGAGTAAATGTTAATGAAAGATAATTTAAAAATAAATCATTTAGTAGGTCTGAGGAACCTGAAAAGGAGTGCAGAATGTGGCAAAACAATACATTGTATTAAAAATGCACAAAACATGCCAGGCATGGTGGCTCATGTCTGTAATCCCAGCGGAGGTGGACATATCATTTGAGGCCAGGAGTTCGAGTCCAGCCTGGTCAACATGGCAAAACCCCCTCTATCCTAACAATACAAAAATTAGCTGGGAGTGGTGGCCTATGCCTATAATACCAGCTACTCAGGTGGTTGAAGCAGGAGAATCACTTGAACCCAGGAGGCAGAGGTTGCAGTGAGCCAAGTTTGTGCCACTGCACTCCAGCCGGCAAGACAGAGTGAGACCCTGTCTCACACACACACACATACACACACACACACTCACACAAATCATGAAACAATTTCCCTGGAAGAGATGGGGTAAATGTGCTGATGTAAGTAACATCTAAAAGAGTGTGAAAATTAAAGGCAGAATGAACTAATGAACGATACATTACACTGTAATTATAAAGTTGTGTCTCATAGGGATATGTTTTAACAATTCTGAAACAAGTATGATTGTATACTAGAAATGAACAGTTAAATAAATGGATGGCATATGGTTGTTCCCACATTTCACATTATTGGAGTAGAAGGTTATAGATTAGCAAGGAGAGTATTCTAGAGTGATCCATGTGATCAGGGATTAGTGTTAACGATGAAATGAACTTATAATCAACTTAATATAAACACTAGATAGAAATAGTTATGGATATGTATATACAACATATATGAGTGAGTATCCACAGTTCTACCTCCTTGATCTGTCAGCTGAGAAGGCCTAAAGGTATGTGAACAATTCAGTGCAGCAAACAGACTTAGAACCCAAATAACAGTTTCTAATAACAATATTCCAAAAAAGGAGCCAGAGCTCCTTTGAGACTTGACTAGGAAAGGGTGGGACATTTACGTAATGAATCCAGAGCATATTATAGTTCCAGAGGTTAAGGAAGCACTGAACGAACGTGAGAGAGAGAAAGGTAGGGAAGAAGGAAGGAAAGAAGAAAGCAAAAGAGAAACACGATGATAGAGCTATGTCAAAATAACACAGGAGCAAAGTGAAAGGGTTTCCAATGAATAAAGCCAGAATAATTGGTGCAACAAAAATAAATAATGTAGAATATCAGAATTGAATTATTATCCAAAGTATAAAATAATTGTTATAACATATTGGTAGAAATAAATGATTGAACAAATTATAAATGGAAGAAAAGAGACAAATGTCCCCTACAAAATTCTCACTAATTTATGTAGCTATTCTGCCCTCAAGGAGGTGAAGCATAATTCCCCATTCTGTAAGTGTAAGTTGCACCTACTGACTTCCTTCTGAAAAGTTAATATGAAAAGGAGAGAAGAGTAACTTTTCAGTGGAGAAACCTGACAGGCACTATTTCAGCCAGATGATCAAGGTTAACATGAGCAGTGATAAGTCATACTGATAGTATGTACCTTCATTATGATATGATTAGAATGTCAATTACAGTTATGATTTTCCTCCCCAATAACCAATTACCCCAGTCTAATCATGAGAAAAATATCAGAAAAAGCCTAATTGAGGGACATTTCAGAAAACACTTAACCACTATCACAGTCATAAAAATAGGAAGTCAAGAGGGCATAAGAAAACATAATGGCAAAATTCAATATTCTATCCTGGATAGATGCTGGAACATAAAATGAACATTGGGCAAAAACTAAAGAAAGCTGAATAAAGTGTGAACTTTATTAAAAACAACAAGAATGCCTGACATTCATCAACATCACTCTGTTAGCTAAGACTTACTGTGGCCCATCTCCCTCCTTTTCCATACGAATAAATGGAATTTTATTTTAAAAATGAAAATCTGAATAACACAGTTTATGTTGCTAAGTCTAGTATGTTTTTCCCCACAAAAACCTCAGGCCTCTTTATTCTTGGGGAAGAAAGACAGATGAACATATTGTGTCATCAGCAACCATGGGCTTGACTCCTGATAGAACCACTGAGTTTTTAGAAATCAAGGTATAGATACAAGGTGTGCTGGTTGCTACTAAGGTGTCACTCTTTTTAGTTACTTTCAGCAAATTTAGATAGGAATTATAAGCATGGATAACAAACCATTTAAATACACAAAAAGGGTGGGTGTGGTTGCTCTCTTCTTAACCCCAGCAATTTGGGAGGCTGAGGCAGGAGGATCACTTGAGCCCTGGTGTTCAAGATCGGCCTGGACAACATAGAGAGACCCCATCTTTGCGAAAATTAAAAAATTAGCCAGATGTGGTGGTGGACACCTGTAGTCCCAGGTACTCGGAGGCTGAGGTGGGAGAATCATTGAACCCAGCTACTCGGAGGCTGAGGTGGGAGGATTACTTGAACCCAGGCGTTGCTGGTTGCAGTGAGCTGTAATCACACCAGTGCACTCCAGCCTGGGTGACAGATTAAGACCCTGTTTTTTATAAAACAAATCATCTATCTATCTATCAATCTATCTATCTTCTATCTACACACACATACACATATACACACATATATATTAGATATTTTATATCTATCTCTCTGCCTACCTACCTACTTCACTATTATATCTATCTAGATAAGCTTAAGCACATAGTGATGACACAGCTTTTAATCTAGCATCACAGTGTTCATTCTAGTCATCTCCACTGATCATTTTCAACTTCTTTTTCTGAGAGTGGAATACACAGCTTCTTAGCTCTAATCTAATTGTTTATTTATCTGATCAAGCTTAGTATAAATAGCTTTAGAAATGTCAGCCAATGCTCATCTCCATAGAATTCAGATACATTTCAAAAAGCTGTCTGAAGCTGACAATATAATCTACACTCCCACCAAGTTTAGTAATTTTCTAACATTAATTCTCCAAGATGCATCCATAAATTCTGCTTTGCCAATAAAATCTTTATCACTAATACTGCCCTTTGACCATGAATGAATCTCCCCCTAAAACATTTAGAACCATGTAAACTTCAAATGTAGGGCCATATTGTTGACTTCAGTATCACTAAAAAAAAAACCCAAGTTCACTACGGTTCTTCTGTCAATTATAAATCCTCCACTGGAAAAAATAAATTGTCAGCTGGAAAAATTTAAGATCTAGAAAGCTCATATTTCTTAGATAAATGTTTATTCTTCTTAGATTAGAAAGATATATTTTATCTTTAATAATTTTCCTAGAGGAAAATTAGATAGTGAGAGTCATTTTGTGTGCCTGAGCTAAAATACAATTTCCTCAATTATTGAAATTACATTTCAATGACAGACTTGAGACTCTAGAAATTGCATATTTATTAGTAATTTCATGATTTTTCTTAACTATGAAAAAGTCTCTACACCATTTAATGTTTTTTCCTTTGTTTACATTGGCTCTACCTAAAGTTCTCACATAATAATTTCCCACAACTCAGGAGAAAAGGTGAGATTAATAACAATGTCCCAGTAGAGTCTTCTTTGAGGACATCAGATGAAAAGTACACCTTATTTTAAACTCTCTAGGGCCTTAAAATGAGGATTAAAACAAACAAATAAACCTCCCAATCTCCACCTACACAAGTCAAAGTGGAAAAAACAATGTTGAGAAAACACAAACTTTTCATTAGAGGAGTGGAGAGAACACTGGACTTTGCTTCCAAGGATTAATGAGAACTACACTGTGGTGATGAGGGTACATTAGGCAGACCCATCTTCCACTTCTATCAATCAGTGGCACAGATGTAAGCACAGGTATCTCTGTTTGATTGCTTATTTTTTGTTTGATTGCTCATTGCAAGAGTCAAATCTGTTACAGTCAATGGAAAAATATCCCATACTATAGAAAAATTATGTATAATTTCAGCATTTTGATGAATAAAAAAAACCTAGGGTTTCACCTTTTCAAAAATAAAAATGTAATCGACAAAACAGAGGAAACAATTGAAACTACAAAAATGTTATTTAGGGCTAGGTGCTGTGGATCACGCCTGTAATCCCAGCACTTTGGGAGGCTGAGGTGGACAGATCACTTGAGGTCAGGGGTTCGAGACCATACTGGCCCACATAGTGAAACCCCATCCCTACTAAAATTAGCTGGGCTAGGTGGCAGGTGCCTGTAATCCTAGTTACTCAGGAGGCTGGGGCAGGAGAATCACCTGAACCTGGGAGTTAGAGGTTGCGGGGAGCCAAGATCATGCCACTGGAATCCAGCCTGGATGACAGAGTGAGACTCTGTCTCAAAAAAAAAAAATGTTTTTTAGTAGAAATTTCATAGATAATACAATTTGAAAATGTTTGAAAGCATGTGGCATAATGCCTGACATATAATATACCTACTGAATGAGTATTGATGTTACTGAATAATTGCAATAGTAATAATAATAATAAAGTTTAGTCTCTGATGGTAAAAGTAAATTCAGCCATCAGGATTCATCTACTTTTGAATATTATTAAAAGTTTGAGGAATGATATTTTTAATAACTCCATTAAATATCAAGCTGTGAGTGGACACTTGTCATAGCCTTAGTTGATTTTTTGTTCCTGAATCTGTCAAAAGTGCAAAGACCATGAAAGTATCTATTTCAACAAAATGGTCACATGCTACAGAAGATGTATGTATTACAAACTTTTGAAAATATGTATTGGGTGCTTAATTTGTGCAAGATACTATTGTAGGCCCCAAAGGTACAGTAATGAACAAAACAAAGTTTCTTCTCATATGGAGTTTCTATTTGACAAGGAAGATGGATAATAAGCAAATATATAAAATAATATCAGAGAGCAAGCAGGGCTTGTGACTATGTGGAGGAGTGTTCCAAGCAGAGGGAATAGCAAGTACTCAAATCTTAAGACTAGAACACAAAGGCCATGCACAATGTTTAGTGTCTTCCCAGTACAAGTCAATATCGCTTGATCCATTCTGAACTTGGTAACATTTATATGCAACTGAGTTTGCACATCTAATTACACGACCTGGTAATATGGTTCATCTCTTGTGACCGTACATTTTCTGTTCCAATATAATATTTATGGAATCGTTTAGATTTACTACGTGTTACCCAATGTCTTGCTTCTGTATATGGAAAAATAACCAGAAATTAAAATATGTTGTAGTTACGGCAATAACAAACAAACAGACAAAAAGAAATTGCTAGAACGTCAGTGTGGCCGGAGCGCAGTGATTAAAGCAAGGAAGTTCAGGAATAATTCTGCAGTAAAAAACAAGTTCCTTTGAAAGGACAAAAAGAAGAGCCATCATTGTTGATCCACTGCTAAACAGCTGAGTAACATAAGCAACACATTACAAAGCAGTAAATTCCCTGTGGCCATTGAGTGTCATTATGATGTTGAAATAATTGTTCTGGAGGCCAACACACTGGTCAGCAAAGTTGATTCTTTCACCAAGTAAATGGAATATAAAATCAATAATACTCTATTAATCATTTCTTTTATGCAATGTCTTTATCTATTGGATGATAATAGGAACAGATGAAACTATTAAAAGAAACTCTTGATTAATCGATTATTCTCTACTAATTAATGTTACCCGAAGGATTGCCTTCTAAGCTCCCCAGTTTAGGAAGAAAACATATGAGGCCTCTTAAATAAAAAAGTTTTCCTTTATCACTTAAAATAACATTGTAAAAGATCCCTAAGTTAATATGGGACATCATTTCCTTAATTTTATTACAAAAAAATTGATGAATGGCATTTGTTGAAGCATGGCCAGCATTAACAGATGCTTCGGTAAGCAAGGAGGTGCTGCAGTTCTTCAGAATCTTTTTATTTTCCTGAAATTTAGAAAACTTAGGCATGGGAACTCATAGATCCGCTGAAAGTAAGAAAGAATGGAATTGTATAGTGACTTTTAGTATACACTCACTCACTGATCAACATTAAACACTGGTAAACAAATCTAGTCTAATGTGACAAGATTAAAAAAAATTGCCACATTACATTTATCTGAACAGTCAAGTCTACTCTCTGGGTATGGTGTTAGTATGTCTTTACTCACAGACACTGTTTTCTAAGTTATGTTTGTGATGAGATATAAGAATGAGAAAAAGGATAATGTAGAATGGACTAAGCCATGAGTTACATATAGACACTTACAGTGCCAGTTACAACTCTGAATAAGAATTGTAAAGGCCTTTGTTATTCTCTGAGGAAGAAATGTATTAACTTATATTTCAAAATACCATCATTTAAAATACATACAACATTTTCTATATAAAGCGTCTGAACTTCCATATTTTACAAATGACAATTTTGGCTTTCTGTGGCCATCTATAAATCTGATTTTTCAGGTATTAAAATTATTTCATTATTTTATTGTTTAATCTCATATATTTTAAGACAAAAAATAAAGAGAATTGGGGAACCAAATGTAATGTTTAGAGTTTTAAAATATTTTTTATTCATTGGTAAGGATTTAGTGTCAAATGGCTAGTCCAGGATCAGGATCACCACTCATCCTCTGAAAGTTTTTTTTTTTTTTTTTTTGTGCGTGTGTGTGTGTGTGTGTACATGTGCATGTTGTACTGCACATATCGATTCAGTATCTCAATATCAAACCTCAAGTCATGGCATTTTGTACGAAATCACAGAGATGGAAAATTAAGCCAATTTTACTAGATGTATTTCTCATTTGAAAAAACAACTATGTACTCAAATAATTACTTAATATATTACACACACACTTATAATTCTTATCCTAATTAATATTTACACCATTTAACTAAGTTGTGATTTCTAAGCTTTTGTCACTTTTCCTGTTTCAGTCAAAGTACTGTGTTCATAAAGCTACTGTTATTGTTAGAAATTTACTTAACAGAAAACTACAGGGATGATTTTAAATTTATAGCCAATATGGAAAATATACAAATCCACTCTTCTTACTCACACAGTAATTTACAAGACATTTCTTATCCGTTGTCTAGTTTGGAGTGACTAGGACATAAGCACATGCCCAGAGCTTTTGCAAAATGTCTCATGCATAAAATATTAAGGAGTAGGTCCTTGGAAGAATTGGATACACATTTCATAGAAAGCTATTTGTGAGAATTTTCAAAAAAGATAGTTAGCTACCTGCCTTTCAAAGCCAATATTGAAGATTGACACTAAATCTACAACAGCAAATATATTTTGTAAAACATAAAAATATAGTAATGTTTTTAAAGTTAGAGGACCCTTAATAATGTCATACTAAAAACAGCTTCACATCTGCAGTTATTTAAAAACAGATCAGGTCAATAAATCTTTAGCCTGCCTTGCAATTCCAATGAAGTACAGACTGTAATTTTTATGATACTCTTACTTGCTTCATACTCTGGAACAAGATCCTTTGGGAAAGAGACACTAACAAAAACCACATAGTCATTGCTATCCACACCTATTATGAGGAGAAATACAAGTATCCTCTTCCCAGGTAGAATAGAGCATATTTCAAGATGGTGGGCTTTGACTCATTTATAGCTAATACATTTGCTATATTAACTCGAGATAAGTATTTTTAAAATTAAAGAGTGCCGTACAATAATTAGAGAAAAATCATTACGAGTACATTTTATAAAATAAAGTGTTTTCTCTGGTTTTATTTTAATTTTATATGTGGGTATGCATTGTGATTTTAAAATATTTCTTATTAGATTGAAGTAACTAAAAATTCCTGTTTAGAATTTTTAAAAATGTTTGGAAATAAACAGTTCCGTTATTGACCAAATTATACATTCTATGCCCAAACTCTGCTTTCCCCTCTTGCAGTAGCTAGAAATTTTACCCAGGATTAGTGGGGCATTCGTTAGACATTACTAATATGTCTCTAGAGATATTTTCCAAAGAAAATAATATAACCTAGGGGCAAGGGGAAGAAATATTCAAATGTCATTCCAAAATTAATCTTTAATTCCCCATCATCTAACATCTAGAAGAGACTACATTAGGAAATGAATAAAAACAGCGTGATTTTCAACCACAAAGGGTCTAAAGTCTATCAGGGGAAGATATATGGAAACAGATGGTTGTAATAAGAGATGAAATATAGATTAGGTATGTCTAAAATGTTTTTGGAAGACAAATATGAAAGCTGTTAACATGGGAAGGAAAAATTAAGTAGCTCTTCATAGAAGTGTGATATTTCAGCAGAGCTTGAAAGATAAGTAGGAGTTTCCATTTTCACTGTCTATTTTTCTGTAAAGAAAGAAACTAGGAATGGCAAGATTAAAAATAGAGAAGTATGGAAAGGCATTTTGTTATTGACAAATTGAGACCAATCATTAATTGAAACAATGGATGCTCCTGCTGACTGGAGAGTTGAGTGGAACCGGGATAATAAAAATATTCAGAGATGATACTATAAAAAGTCACATGTCCTTTCAAATATAATGCATGCTCTCCTTTGGATTCAAAGTAAAATAGTTTGTGTGCACACGTTTCAGGGTTTTGTGTTTTACAGGTGGAGAAAAACGAATGATAAGAAAAGAGACCAGAAATATAGGGTAAAGTTGGATAACGCTTGCTTTCTTTCCAGCCTGGACTACTATCTATTCTTTCACTGCTCTATCTTCAGACTCTATGCACGCTCTGAAAATTAATAGTCCCCACTATATATTATTGAATAAAGAACTGAATGAATTGAAATAACCTTCTACAAGAGTAGCAGTTAGACAAAATCCAGGAAAATGTTAAGGATAGAATGTTCAGTCTTGGTTACAGATTACAGTGGGTGGTATAGCTAGGAACTGTTAAAGGTAAGTTGCTTATCTACTCATGTTAGTGAAAATGGTTCAGTGTGTGGGGACTAGTGTGTAGGTTTTGAAACTGTGCTTGTAACTACTAGTAGATCTTAAATCCACTTTTTAGGATCCCAAGAAGCATTGTTTGAATTAAATAGAATGGAACAGATTACGCTAGAAAACGAAAGAATATGTAATACAAGCGGATGTCAGGGAAGCAAAAGTATTATTCTCAATATATCTATTAGTTCCATGCCATCTTATAACAAGTATTTATTTCTATAGTTTGTCATAAAAAAGTTTGAGTCTGAAAGTTAGTCTTCTTGAGAAGGGTTTGGTCTGAGCAGTGCAAAGACCAAAAATTCTCTTTTTACTTACCTCCCTTTTCTCTTTTCTTTTTCCTATTTTAACTCAAAATTGACGTTCAGTTTTTAACATGCAATTAGAGATTTGGAATTTATGGGTTCCTATGTCCTTATCCATCAATTTCCATGTTGCTATAATTAGACATTAATGTTCCATCTGTATTAGGGTTTTAGGATATCTAGTATATACTTACATATTGCATATCTAATATGTATCTTATACATATAATAAATATAATTTATTTAGAATAAAATTAAGGTAAATAAGTATTTTTTGAAAGTTACTACTTACCACATTATGTTGCTCAATAAATATGTTTATTAATACAAAACACAAATAACTGAAATGGATTCTTTGATTAATTGAGCAGAAGTAAATACTCAAGAGCTATTAGTAAACTCTGAAGAACAGTGAAGAAACACAGGCTCTTATTTTATTTATATATTTATTTGCATAGTAATTTTCAAAGCGTGAAATTTATAAGTTTTTAAGGAAAGCTCTATTTTCCATTACTAGATATAATGGTGGGAGAGAGAAGAAAGAGGAGTTGAGAGACATGATATTTGATACTATTTGGGTATTCAATAATTCAATTTTAAAATTATCCAAAATGAATAAGAAAATGATGATACACAACATTAAATAGAGTAGGAAAACAAAAATTAATGCAAAAAATGTAATTAAATCAGTTTTTTAATAAAAGATAAAAAAGCAGACATAAACTGAATGTAAAGAAACATAAACTTCCAAATCTCTTAGAAAGCAAATATCAATTTTACTCTAATTTACAGGATAAGATTATGTGAGGATTCATTCCCTACATTCATGTAAGTTCATGCTTTAGATATAAAGATGTTTATACGGTGTTATATTCTTTTTGCTCTCCATCACATTTCCAGAATTCCAGTATGCTAACAATCATTATATTAGTTAAATAAATTAATAAATAAATCTAATTAATTAAACTCTTTACAATACAATAAATATAAAAACACCACATATAGGATTTACAGTATTAAAATATGACTTAGACTTAACTCTTTTCTCTACTTCCACATTTAGATGGCCAGAAAAGATATGGCTCACATCAATTGCACCCAGGCGACAGAGTTTATTCTTGTGGGCCTCACAGACCATCAGGAGTTGAAGATGCCCCTCTTTGTGCTATTCTTATCCATCTACCTCTTCACAGTGGTAGGCAACTTGGGTTTGATCCTACTCATTAGAGCGGATACAAGTCTCAACACACCAATGTACTTCTTTCTTAGCAACCTAGCTTTTGTGGATTTCTGTTACTCTTCTGTCATTACACCCAAAATGCTTGGGAATTTCTTGTACAAACAAAATGTTATATCCTTTGATGCATGTGCTACTCAACTGGGCTGCTTTCTCACCTTCATGATATCAGAATCCTTGCTACTGGCTTCCATGGCCTATGACCGATATGTGGCCATTTGTAACCCTCTATTGTATATGGTTGTAATGACTCCAGGAATCTGCATTCAACTTGTAGCAGTTCCTTATAGCTATAGCTTCCTAATGGCACTATTTCACACCATCCTCACCTTCCGCCTCTCCTATTGCCACTCCAACATTGTCAACCATTTCTATTGTGATGACATGCCTCTCCTCAGGCTAACTTGCTCAGACACTCGCTTCAAACAGCTCTGGATCTTTGCCTGTGCTGGTATCATGTTCATTTCCTCCCTTCTGATTGTCTTTGTCTCCTACATGTTCATCATTTCTGCCATCCTGAGGATGCATTCAGCTGAGGGAAGACAGAAGGCTTTCTCGACGTGTGGCTCTCACATGCTGGCAGTCACCATATTCTATGGGACCCTCATTTTTATGTACTTACAGCCTAGCTCTAGCCATGCCCTGGACACAGACAAGATGGCCTCTGTCTTCTACACAGTGATCATTCCCATGTTGAATCCCTTAATCTATAGCCTCCAGAATAAGGAGGTGAAAGAAGCTCTGAAGAAAATCATTATCAATAAAAACTAGAGTTTTGTGTTTATAAAATTAAGAAAGTAACTTGAGTAAGGAAAAATGGACTTCTTTCATGGTATGATTTTTTTCCCAGTATAAGTTATCAGGATCCTTGTTTCTCAATATGTGATGTATACATATATTTTCGCTGTGTAATACAATTTTCTAGAGAATTTCTCTTAGAACGTTAGGTATAAAAGTAACTATAAGAATTTACAACACTTCTCTTATTTTTCAAGTGGAAAATATATTAAAATTATTAATTTTCTTGCATAATATTTTATACCAATTTTCCTATTTCTCAAATGAAGAATGCATAAAAAGTCATCATCAAGATATATAATTAGTTATGTGCAGAGCACAGACAAAAGTTAACTCCTCTCCCCGTCCATCCCCAGTTCAGGATTCTGAAGCTGTATTTACAATATCCCACGTGAAAAATAAAGACACATAGTCTAAACATTTTCTTTCTCAATTCCTAATTTTTTGAAAAAATACATGACAATATAAAAATGTCCTATATTTATGCATTTAACATATTGTCTTTATTAATACAAAGAGTACTGCTTTCTAACCTCACCTATGTTACTGACTGAATGTACCTTCTACTTCCTGGAAGTCTTGTTCTGTCTCTGAAGACTAACTCTCTAAGAGAACTGCTTTTCTTATGCCTACAAGATCTCATTATACTTTTTCCCAAAATGTAAATAATGTAACTCAGGGATAGAATTCTGGAGGGAGGAGGGGAGGGCATTATAATTCAAACAAATATATTCACAGTCATTGAAACATCATAAATCATTTTTCCAGTAACAAGGATTATATACAGTTGTGCACAGCAAAGCTCAGGTAAGCTGGTCATTATTTATTAAGGTATAGCTTATAACTCAATGAACCCAGTAGGCAATGTAGCCGAGTGAATAAGCACATGCCTTATAGTCAAAGTATGTGGTTAGATCCCAAACATGTCATTGTGCTCTAGGTATGCTCTTATGAGTTTACTCATCAGATAAATGAGAATAATGTTACTCAGTTTAGAGACTTTTATAGGACTAAGCAATATGGAAAGGGGTAATAATTCATGGTAGGCACTTGAGTATCATTTCCCTTCCTTCTATGAACCTGCAGACTTGAGTGCTAGTCTACTAATTATAAGTCACATAAACGTGAGGGAGCAATTTATAAATGAAGATTATTGTACACCACAGCTGATAAATTGATAATAGAGAGAGAGAGAAAGAGAGAGAGAGAGAGAGAGTAATCATTTTAAAGTATCTTTTTAACTTTTATTTTAAGTTCAGGGATACAAGTGCAGGTTTGTTACATATGTAAAGTTGTGTCAGGGGGTTTGTTGTACAGATCTTTTCATCACCCAGGTATTCAGCCTGGAACCCATTAGTTATTTTTCCTGATTGGCTCCCTCCTCCCAGCCTCCAGCCTCTGAAAGGTCCCAGTGTGTGTTGTTCCCCTCTATGTGCTCATGTGTTTTCATCATTTAGCCTAAGAAAGATTTGATTTTATGAATCATGCCTATCATTTAATATTTTTGCTTCACTTTTTTTCATCTGTAGCCTGTTTCCATACTTAATGGCAAAAGATTAGAAATATACTATTAATGCCCACTGAGAGATTATATTAAAATAGAAATAATTCTTAAATAACCTGCTTTAGGTTAGTGTCCATTTTCAATAATTTTCTTATATATTTGTGAGGTTGTAGAGACATAGGAGTAGCATGACCCACAGTTCTCAAAAGTTTATTTCCTCCTTTTTTCTTTAAACACATGTATCTACTACTTGAACATTTCAGTGCCTTCCTATTGTCTCACATAGGATTAAGCTCTGGCAGAAGATGTTAAGTCTGTCATCTATATATTGAAAGGTTATAATTAATGTTCTTAAATGCATAACCTCTTGGCTGGGCGTGGTGGCTCACGCCTGTAATCCCAGAACTTTGGGAGGCCGAGGCAGGCAGATCACAAGGTCAAGAGATCAAGACCATTCTGGCCAACACGGTGAAACCCCATCTCTACTAAAAATATTACAAATTAGTGGGGCGTCGTAGTGCATGCTTGTGGTCCCAGCTACTCAGGAGGCTGGGGCAGGAGAATCACTTGAACCCAGGAGGCGGAGGTTGCAGTGAGCAGAGATCGCTCCACTGCACTTCAGCCTGGTGACAGAGCGAGACTCTGTCTCAAAAAAAAAAGCATAACCTCTTATCTTAGCAGGCTGGTACATTGTCTGTGCATCAGCCATTCTACTAAAGGGCGTAGATATTTTGGGGAATAAAAGCCTGAATGTGAGCTCTAAATCTAACATTTGCTGAGTTGGAAGTCCTCAACAGTTTATTCTATTTATGTATACTCTAGTTTCCTGATCTTATAAGAAAGTATGAAATATAAAAAGTAAAATGAGGTGAAGAAAATATCAACTATTAAATTCATAAAATGAAGCAGTATGAAGATAAAAATATATCAGCTGTTAAATTAATTGTCCCAAAATCAAAAAAGATTATGATTAAAAACTTTTGTTTGAGTGAAAAATTTTTTAATTGTAATTTTTACAATTTCATACCTAACTTGAAAAAGCTAAACATTTGGAAAATTATCCAATCACAATTAAAGCTTAAAATTTTCAGGTTAAAACTGAGGATTTGTTATATAACTGTTAATATAGGAGAAAAAGATTTGTCATGATTTCCGCTTAAATTTTGCGGATGATTTTGTTAAGTTGGTTTTGTCCGTTTTGAGGACAGTCATGTTTCATTTGACAAGTGCTTCAAACTCGTTAACAAATTAGTCCACCTGTGGAACATATCACAACAAAATATTTCCAAAAAATGTGAAAGTATGAGTCTGTATTTAATGGCAAATAATTGGCAAACAATCTTTTCTTTAACTTTTATTTTTGATCGGGCAAACAATCTTTAGTAGCAAATAAATTCATGCATCCCTACGGGCACCAGATAAGCACAAATTATAGAAACACCAATGTGAAAAATTAAGTTGTCAAAGTGCATAAGCATCTAAGATATTGAAACATGGAAATATGCATATAAAATTAAAGTCAAGTTTATGAAAACAGAGGATAGCATAAAATGTAAAGAACCATTAAAATTGAATGGGAAGGCAGGAAGGAAGAAAGAAATGGAAAGAAAAAGGAAAGATCAATCTCAATATCACCACATAGGTATAACTACTGTTAACATTTTGTCATATTTTATTTGAGTATTTCTGTGCACATATATATGTATACATACATGCAATATCACCTGTATATATTTATATATGTAATCCTTCTTTTCATGTCAATAAATGAAAACCTATATCAACTTTTAAAGGGTCATTTAGTATTTTATGAAGAATTTACAGTTACTAAATATCTGTTAGAACGTATTTAGACAAATTCCATTTTACGGTAACTGAAATTAAACAATATATGTACTTGCATATTTTTATTATTTTCTTATGGACTTAGCATTGAAATCATTGCATCAAGTGGCAGAAATATTTTAAACAATTTTGATGCTTACTGTTAAGCTACCTTCTAGAAAATTGAGGATAAATTACATCTTTACAGGATGTTCATGAGGATATATCCATTTCCCACACCTTTACCAACATGGATATTTTCATCCTTTTAATTTGATCAATCTTATGTTATCTAGTCCTTTGATATTTAATAAAATTGATTATTTCCCTTTGTAATTAACAAATATATTACATGGAAAGCAGCTAGAGATTCATCATTGATTTTGTGTTCTGCTTTTAGCATATTGCGTAATCATAAAATATTTGTCATTTACTAATTTTTGTATTATTTTATTTATAATATTAACCTATGTTTATATAACTACCACCAGTGCTGTGCTGGAGGCAGCCCATACTAGCGTCCAAGAACTATATCTGCAAATCTCTTTTGAACTCATGTTCATGACTGTAGGTCAGTAGCTTAAAATCAGCTAAGATGGGAGTATTTACAGCATGGAAATCACAAAATCAACAGATGTTACAAATTAAATCTTCCTTTTTCTTTTAAATTTGAAAGCCAGTTGATAAACATCCACTGGAATGCCATTGATCTCCACCCTGCTTTGCATCCTACAGTTTATATTTTACTTTTTGTAAGAATAAGTAACCTTTAATTACTTTAAGAAATATCTTGTTTATCTTGAAAGTTTAATAAATCAATTTCAGTTTATCTTTCATGCATTATGAATTTGAATTAACCTGTAAATAATTTTTTTCTTCCCCAAATGCCACCCCACTACAAAATAATGTGAATCTATAAATTTATTTAAGTTAAGCATAAACAATATGCTTAACTTCTGAAGCATATTGTTATATATGCTTAACTTATATATGTATGAATATATAAAGCCAATATTTTGCCAAGTTTAATAGTAAATTAAAATTTGGGTTTTACTTTTTCCTCATTATTTTAAATGGAATCTTGAAAACTATATTTTCACTTTTACTTGAAGCTACATTTTTATTATGGTATCATTTTCATTATGTAGCTTGGTAACTGAATGCTTCACAACAATCATAACAAATCTAATAATATTTTTCCACTGAGCTTATTGGTTCAAGTACCAATAAGCTGTAATATATACTTTAGAATATATACCAATATAGTATAATACATACTTTAAAAATAATGATATTTTTACCACTGTTTTTGTTGCATGGGCTAGGATACTGCATAATGTTTAGTCAAAGCCATGGTTGTCTTGATTCTAAGTTGAGTAGAAATATCGAGTATTTTGCCTTAATGTAGTATTCTAAAATATGTTAGCATTTCTTTTATCATTGAAGTATTTATCCTGCTTTTCCTATGATACAGGGTTTTTATTGTATATATAACATTCCACATTTTAATTCAAGATATTCTATCTTCTTTAACAATCTTCCAGACTACTAAGCATGTTGGAATATCTGACTGGAGCAAATCCCTTCTGATAATAAGCAGGGAGAATGATGTATAGGACAAGAGAGAGTTATCTTTCCAGTATGATCACCATCAAATAAGTGTGAGTCAAGTCTTTAATCCAAGAAATGGAAGATTATCCAGGATGAATGTTTTGAAGATAATGGTATGAAATACTTCTACACATATTTCATGGCCAAAACCAATAATTCAGAAGTTACTGAATTCATCCTCTTGGGACTCACAGACAATCCAGAGCTCCAAGCCCTTTTTTAGGGGGATCTTTCTAGTGATCAATTTAAGTAGTGTCATGGGTAGCCTTGGGTTAATTATGCTAATTCATATCAGTCCTCAGCTTCACACAGCTATGTATTTTTTTCTCAGCCACGTAGCTTTTGTTTATTTTTGCTACACCTCCTCTATCACCCCTAACAGCCTAGTGAACCTCCTCCAAGAAACTAAAAGAATATCCTTACCTACTTGTGCCTCTCAGTTGCATTGCTTTATCATGTTTGTGGTTTGTGACATGTATGTGCTCTCAGCCATGGCATATGACAGGTATGTGGCCATCTGCAACCCTTTACTCTATAGTATCATCATGAACAGAAGGGTCTGTATTCAAATGGTGGTAAGTACATATTTGTATGGCTTTTCTGTGAGACTCCTACAGGCAATTCTTACATTCCACTTGTCTTTCTGAGATTCAAATATAATAAATAATTCCTATTGTGATGATGTTCCCCTAGCATGTCTACCCTATCATAAAAACCATTACAAAGATGTAAAAGAACTGATATTGTTCACACTTGCTGGTTTCAATACACTTTTCTCCCTTCTTATCATCCTCATCTCCTACATATCAGTACTGTCTGCCATTCTGAGAATTAATTCAGCTGAAAGTAGACAAAAGGCATTTTCTACTTGTGACTCCCACCTGACTTCTATCATCATATTTTATGGTATAATTACCTTCATGTATATGCAGTGAAAAACAAATAATTCTCTGGATACAGACAAAATAGCTTCTGTTTTCTGTATTGTGAAAATTCCTTCAATATATAGCCTGAGGAACCACGAAGTCAAAGATGCTTTGAAGATGATTATGGAAAATCTATGTCTTACTACAAGATAAATGACCTTGGGTCTAATCATAAAGCCCTTTGAATTGGGAGGCAAAATAAAGCCAGACTTTAAGTATTTTTGCACTAGCACACCATTAGTAACCTGCTTTTTAATGTTATAATATCAAAGTTGATATCGATACAGAACATGCATTAATTTTCATATTTCATTATTTGAATTGTTAAATGTATATATTTAATTGTTGTGAATACACAATAGTTGTACACATTTATGGGGTACATCTAATATTTAATACAAGCATACACTGTGTAATGATCACATCGGGGTAAATGGGATATCCATAACTTTGAGTATTTATCATTTCTTTGTGCTAGAAACATTCTAATTCCATTCTCTTTGTTATTTTGAAATACACAATAAATTATTGGAAGCTATAGTTGCCCTACTGTGCTACCAAACACTACATCTTATTCTTTCTATCTAACTGTATTTTTGTACTCATTAACTATTTCCTCATTATCAACTCTCCTCCCCAATACACTTCCCAGTCTCTGCTCTGGCAACCACCATTCTACTATCTCCAGGAGTTTTATATATATATATACACACACACACATATATATATATATACACACACACATATATATATACACACACATATATATGTAAGAACACGTGATATTCGTCTTTCTGTGTCTGACTTATGTCACTTATAATATCTTTCATGTTGTTGCAAATGACAAGATTTCATTAATTTTATGGATCAATAATAATCCGTTGTGTATATGTACCACATTTTCTCTATGCATTCATCCACTGATGGAAACTTAGGTTGATTCCATATCATGGCTGTTGTGAATAGTGCTGCAATAACATGGAAGTGTAAACATCTCTTCAATATACTAATTTCCTTTCTTTTGGCTATATATCCAGCAGTGAGATTGCTGGATTATATAGTAGTTCTACTTTTAGTTTTTTGAGGAACCTCAAGATTGTTCTTTACAGTGACTGCACTAATTTAATTTACATTCACACCAATGGTGTTTGAGGGTTCTCCTTTCATCATATCCTTGCCAGCATCCATTATTGCCTGTCGTTTGGATAAAAGCTATTTTTAACTGGGATTAGGTGACATCTCACTGTGGTTTTGATTTGCATTTCTTTGATTACTAGTGATATTAAACCATTTTTCATATACCTATTAGTCATTTTTAGGTCTTCTTTTGAGATATGTCTAGTCAGGTTTTTTGCCAATGTTTCAATTGAATTTTTGTGGATTTTATTTTTTCCTACTGAGTTGTTCGTGCTTGTTATATATTCTGTTTATTGATCCCTTGTCAAATCTGTAGATTGCAAATATTATCTCCCATTCCGGATTACTTCTTCACAATTCAAAGTGGAGAAATGTTATTTTAAATCATGAAAGTAATCTGTGTTGATATTGTGAGAAGTGAAAATGACATTTATTCAGTTGCAAATAGTAGGCTAAATTTTGTTTCATGGAACATTTAAAAATCAATCTTTTTTTCCAGTGAAGACTTTGACTTCAACACTTTTAATATATAAACCTTGAATTGGTAAAAATTATGTCCACTTTATATCACTAAAGCAGCTTTGAGTCATTAACATTGTCTATAAAATACACATACACACCCACACACACATGACCTATTAGTTGAACCCCAAAAGAGTTATTGGTTCTGATGACATGACAGGGACACTGGCATTAACACCTAATTTAAAAAGACTGGTGCAAAGCCTAATTAAAAAATACTAAAAGAGCAACTTGAATTCTAACAAATGAAACAAAAAGTACCTTAGTGTCAAAAACAATTCTATCGATGAGGTATATTTATAATTGCTAATTTGCTGATTTTTATAATAGTAGCATGGTCATTTAAGAGAATGTTCTTGCTTTTAGTAAATATAACAAGTATATAAAGGTAAAGAGGCATCATGTCTTCAACTTATTATCAAAGCTCAGAAAAAATGTGGTAAAATGTTAACATCTGGAGAAGCTGGGTGAATGGTGCAAAATAATTCTTCGTAAAATGTTAGCATCTTTTCTGTAATTCTAAAATTATGCCAAAATAAAAGCTCAAATAAAAAAATATACCCTGTTTAATAAATGGTGCTGGGAAAATTGTAGAAGAATGAAGCTGGATCCCTATTTCTCATCGTATACAAAAATCAACTCAAGATGGATTAAAGAGCTAAATGTAAAACATGAAGCTTTAAAAATTTTATAAGAAACCCTGGGAGAAACTCTCCAGGACATTGGACTTAGCAAAGAATTTATGTCTAAGACACCTAAAGCAAATGCAAACAAAACAAAAAGAAATTGGACCTAATTAAACTAAAAAGCTTCTGCATAGCAACAGAAATAACCATTAGAGTAAACAAACAACCCATAGAATGGAAGAAAATATTTGCAAACTATGCATCCATCAAAGGACTAATACCCAGAATCTGAAAGGAACTCAAACAAATCAAAAAGAAAAAACAAATAAATAAAAGTGGATAAATTACATAAATAGACATTTTTCTAAAGAAGATAAACAAATGGTCAACAAATATATTTTAAAAATGCTCAACATCACTAATCATCAGGGAAATGCAAATTAAAACCACAATGAGATACCACCTTACCCCAACCAGAATGGCCATTATTAAAATGGACATCTATTAAAAAAATAATAGATGATGGCATTGATGTGGTGAAAAGGGAATGCATATACACTGCTGATGGGAAAGTAAATTAGCACAACCTCTATGAGAAACAGTATGGAGATTACTCAAAGAACTAAAAGCAGATCTACCATTTGATCCAGCAATCTCACTACCGGGTATCTACCCAAAGGAAAAGTCCTTATATCAAAAGGCTACCTGCTTGTATATGTTTATTGCAGCACAATTTACAATTGCAAAGATATGGAACTAATCTAGGTGCCCATCAACCATGAGTGGATAAAGAAAATGTGGTGTACAAACACCACGGAACACTACTCAGCCACGAAAAATAACAAAATAATGTATTTTGCAGCAACTTGCGTGGAACTTGAGATCATTATTCTAAGTAAACTAACTCCAAAATGAAAACCAAATACTGCATATTTTCACTTATAAGTGGAAACTAAGCTGTGGCTATACAAAGACATACAGAGTAGTATAAAATGGACATTAGAGACTCAGAAAAGGGGTGGGTGGGTGGGTTGAGCCACAAAAAACTACATATTGAATACAACATACACTACATGAGTGACCTAAAATTTCAGGCATCATCACTATACAGTTCATCGATGAAACCAAATCCGCTTTTACTCCTAAAGCTATTATAATTTAAAAAATTAAAAACTAAAAATAAGTCTTCATTTAATTTTAATTTAATGTTTTAATTGAACAATATCTTTTAATATAGTATTTTGTTGGCCCAATTCCAAATTCATTGTAACTTAAAAAAAGATTTTATTTATAAGAAATAATTATAAGTATCTGTTTTTAAGAAAATTGTTAAATAATACCATCTATTCATCTTCAATAAAGTTTAGTGTAACAAAATCGACTTTGTTTTATAAGTGCTGATTAACTAAGTTTTTATTTTTCACCAATAATAAGTTAAAACAATACTCAATACTTTTAAGAAAACGTTGTCACAATTTTGTCAAAGTTCTTAAAATATCTAGAATTTTGTTAATTACTTTATGACCAGCCATTAAATTACACTCAAGTTTCTGAGAGATATCAATGTGTATGTAAGGATTCAACTCTTCATTGAGTCAGGAGACTGGATCTGGCTCTTTCATATTCAATTCAATGTTTACACATTTGGAAGTGGGACAGTTTACAGGAATGTCATAGAAAAATACACCTCTGTATCAGTTCAGTCATTTTCACTCTGTCTGGAGTGAACCCCGGCCTTAACAGAGAATGCCTGAATCACAACCACCACTATCAAATTTCTAGCCACCTCCATTTCAAATGCAGCCAGATTCTACTCTGTCACTGTCACCAGTGTTGCATAGTACCAGAGCAAATGTCCTCAAAAGTGTTATATGGAATATTAAGCCCATAGTAATAATCCACAAAAAAGGTAATTTTAAATGATAGCCCTTTGCTTGAAGATATAATTCCCATTGGTATTAAAAAAAGGAACTTGGCCGGTCATGGTGGCTCACGCCTGTAATCCCAGCTCTTTGGGAGGCCGAGGCAGGCGGATCACGAGGTCAGGAGATGGAGACCATCCTGGCTAACACGGTGAAACCCTTTCTCTACTAAAAATACAAAAAAATTAACCGGGCATGGTGGCGGGCGCCTGTAGTCTCAGCTGCTGGGGAGGCTGAGGCAGGAGAATGACCTGAACCCGGGAGGCGGAGCTTGCAGTGAGCCGAGATCGGGCCACTGAACTCCAGCCTGGGCGACAGAGCAAGACTCTGTCTCTAATTAATTAATTAATTAATTAATAATCAAGAATGAACTGACAAAATCTCTTTCAATTTGTTTAACACTCATTTTGTTAACATTTTTGAAAGCATAGAACTTCCAGAATTTTCCCTGCCAATATTCTGAAGAAATCCCTGTTTGCTCCCAAAACCTACTTACGTGATCTAAATCCTCTGAGCCTTACCAGAGAGAGTTTCCTTATCTTTAAAGTGAAAGTTAATGTAATGATTTCCTTGAGTTTTCCCCTCACTGACTGATCTAACCAAAAATCATTAGAATTTTCATTCTGCCAAAAAAGCGTTATACTTTTGTTGTAGAAATCCTGATGTCAAAAAATCAACTTTATAGATACAAGAAAGGAGGGATAGCATCGAGCTAAGAGTCCTTTCAACTTAAAAATAAAATACCAAGAGATACTATTTTTCATTTATGAGGATTTCAAAATGCAAAAATTTGACTAGACTGAAAGTAAATAAGAACTCTCATCTGCTGCTGATGGTGGCAGGCACCTGCAGTCCCAGCTACTTGGGAGGCTGAGGCAGGAGAATGGCGTGAACCCGGGAGATGGGGATTGCAGTGAGCCGAGATCGCACCACTTCACTCCAGCCTGGGCGAAAGAGTGAGACTCTGTCTCAAAAAACAAACAAACAAACAAACAAACAAACAACAAACTTCTGTGAAGAATTATTTGGCAATATCTAGCAAAGTTGCAGGTACCCAACAATCATACTTCTAAGAAAGGAATTCAAGTATTCAAAGGAATACTGACACAAATACTAATACAAGCTAATACATGTGCACAAGGTAATTTACTGGGATATTATTTAAATTAGCAACAGATTTGCACCCGAATATCCATGAATAGAGACTTGCACCCGAATATCCATGAATAGAGACAGCCCTTCCATGTATGAGGAAAGATTTCTAGGTATGATACAGAGTAATTATCAGAATATAATATTGACAAGACAAAAATGCAGAAAAGAATTAATACTACACATTACACTGTGCAAGAAAAAAGGAAGAATATAGAATGCACATGTGTAGCTTCTTATATTTGATTAAAAATTGCAGGCTCATGCCTGTAATCCCAGCACTTTGGGACACAGAGGCGGGTAGGTCACTTGAGTTCAGGAGTTCGAGATCAGCCTGGCCAGCATGGTGAAACCCCGTCTCTACTAAAAATACAAAATTAGCTGGGTGTGGTGGTGCACACCTGTAATCTCAGCTACTTGGGAATCTGAGACAGGGGAATCATTTGAACCCAGAAGACGGAGGCTGCAGTGATCTAAGATCTTGCCACCGCACTCCAGCCTGAGGAAGACAGAGCAAGACCCTCTCTCAAGAAAAAAAAAAAAAAGACAAAAATAATGGGAGGATAAGTTAAAATGAAAAAGAGTGGAACAAGTGCAGATAGGGACAGAAGTCAACCCTTAAAAAATAAATATTACTATGTTGTTTTGATTTGAAAAACATTACAAGTTTAAGTAATTAAAAATAAAATTAAGTCAAAAGTGAAAAAAAAAAGAAAACAAACTTTTATTCTGGAAACCCATTTTATTCAAAGCAAAAGCCAAAGGACTTGCAAGGAGCCACAGAACTCTGAATTACCTGACCTCATGCTAAATCTCCGACCTTGTCACCTTAACCTTTATGCCTTTCTCTGTTCCGACCTCCTTGCCCTTACAACAGCTGCTGCATGCTTTCCGTAGCATCTTTGCATAGGCTGTCTTTTGGCCTGGTGTTGGCTTCCTCAGATATCTGTTTTCTCCTTCACTCCTGTGCCACAGTTGGTTCTGTACAGAAATAGAGAAAGGGCTTGTTATAAGAATAAGGGCTAATATGAATATTGGAATATCTCAGGAAATAAAGATTAGGGAAATATTGAGGACAGGGCTAGGAAAGCTATAGCTTGAAGGTGAGCAGAACAGATAATGAAGACCTTAGCCCTAAACAGTGACGCAAATGCCCCCAGGAAACTGTATGTATAAGAATCCCTGAGAAAGCTCCCATCCCAAGTAGCAGGGAAGTTTGCACTGCAGTTTGTGACTGTTTAGGAGTTTCCATATCTTCTCTGTGTCCATTCACAACTGGAATTACGTAATAAAATGTTTTCTATTGAAACAAAAATGATGAATTTAAAAATCCAAAACAGAGTGGCTTAAACAAATGCAATGCATTATTTACCATGTGTCATAGGACAGTTTCTGCTCTGGGCCATGCTTGGCTAATCTTGTCTGCATCCACTCATGAGTTCATCCTCAGCTAATATGTTGCCTGGAAACAAGCTGGTATAAGATGTCCCCACCTGTGAAAACTGGTTTAGCGCCACATGACTTCTCATCTGCCAACAGGTTAGCATGAATCTGTGGTCAGGGCAAAGGAGGAAGAGTAAGACAGGAAGTTGAAATACACTACACCTCTCTCAAGCCTACATTTGTGTCAAGTCTGTTATCAAAGCATCAGCTAAAACAAGTTACATGACTGAGGCCAGAGGCAGAATACAGAAGTACTATACATTTATAGAAAAAGAGCATGATTACAGAGAGGCCTTTAACTGGGGCTGTTAATACAACTAATTGATCTACTGTGCCTGAAAAGTGAGCTAGAGCATCATTCCCAATTATGACATATTAAGTCTCTGATATTCTCACATGTTCATATAAAAAGCACTGGGTATATTCCTTTGGAAAGTATCTGAAAAGGAGCTATTATATTAACACGCTGTATTTTAGAACGGTTCAAGGAACCTGCTTCAAGGAAATTCAGTTCTCATTTCAATAAAAGAGATTTTTTTTAAAATCTATGATCGGACTTAATTTTGAAAAAATCTTAAGGAAAAACATTGTTCATTGTGACAGCTGTTATTAGTTTTTTTCTCACCAGCTCCATATTTTGTCTAAATACACAAATGGACGAATATTTTAAAATACTATGCTTTATATGTCCTGTACAATTATAGAATTATATACAATTATTAAACAACATCAGCTGCCCATCCGTCTAAACCCAAGAACATCACAATCCATAACCCATTACCATAGAAACCGGGTTAAAGTACCTCAGTTGCAGCCTAATCAAGTATTGTAACCCAATACCAGTGTTGCATCCACCTTGTTACTCTCATTCTGGAATAACAACATCCCTACTGTTATTAGGGAGCACAGACCTGTAGGTCCACTCCATTCATACAAGCCGAAGAGCACAGCCACTATTGAGCCTCTAAAAAAATACCAGTTTCCTCTACGCTAGTGCATTCCTTATTGCCCAAGCAATGAAACTGTCTTCTGTGACTTCCTAAAAATATAGACAGGTGGAGAGTTTTTATTTCTACATAATAAATTAATCATCATACTCCTACATACCTCAATTTTCTTCCTGTGCCTTCATTATTATGTGAAAGTATTTCTAGCTTATCTGTTGCATATAATGTCAGGCATCTTTCAATACAGACTTTAAAGAGCCATCTCAGAAAATTTATAAAAAAAGCTTCAGATATTACTGCTAAACATTCTCCTGGATGAAGGAGTTCATCTCTTTCCATGGAATGAGAACAACTAGGTGTCAATTAACCTATGATTTGCATGCATTTCTCTCCTAGGGAGGAAAACAAATTTTTAAAAAATAATTAATCCTTACTGTTGAACTACAACGCCAATTATAACAACAAGTTGTGATATTAATCTCAGAAGGCAGATTTGAGTGTTATTAACTGGAAAAGTTATTTTTCATCTAAAACTTTATAAAATCTGCTGCTAAATATGAGGCCCACAAGCTCAACATTTATTTTAAATAAATTCTTAATTGCCATTAAAAGCCAATACAGCAAAACTAAAGCAAATGTAGCAAATAATCAAAGTAGATATAGCCATTAATCAAATTGCTTTCCCAAAAGAGATCATTAAAATATTCCTCTACTCCCTATTCATTTATTGACTAATAGTTGAAAGAGTGATCTACCATTTCAAGGGAAATAGCTTTGTCCCCAAACACTAAACATCAAATAATCGCCTGTTACTGAATAATCATTATTTTGTTTTGCAATGTTTGTTTAACAAAAGTAACAACAGAAAGTTTCCAGAGGAACCACCAAAAAAAAAAAAAAAAATTACAAAGCTGTCTCACGTCTACATAATTTTAAATGTTACTGGCTTCACAAACATTGCTTTCAGGTGCAATGTGCTATTTGGAGGTTTGTTGTTGAACTGAAAGACAGCATTTTGAATATAGAAAGACACTGGGTCATAGAAAAAACAAAAAACTCAAACTGTGGGAAAGGCATCAAACTTATATGGCTTTTACTTCTATTCAGTTAATCATTTAACAGGAAATTATTGATGATCTGTTTATATTAGACACTACTAGAGGTAAGTAATTAAAATGGGCATAAAATAATTTAAGAATTAAAACTTGCTTAAAAAGAAGACTTTCAAGTTTAGGGTGTGTTACAGACATGTGTTAACAGTTGGTTGCAATATAGTGTGGCAAGTGCTATCGTAAAGCAATCAGTGGATCCAAAATAGTGAATATAAGAAGCACTAATTTTGGCCTGGAAGGTCAGGAAAGCCTCCAGGAGGAAATTATTCAACAGAAAAATTTAAAGTTAACCAGAAGAAAAATCAGGGATAGGTAATAATAGCAGAGGAAAAGTGTTCTGGGCACAGAAGGAAACTATATAAATATGTAGATTACATTTGAATAACTGCGATAGTTGATCATATCTGGAACATGAAGACCAAATGGAGAATGCTGCAAAAGATGAGCCTGGTCTGAGATGCAGGGCCTAGGTTTTCAAGAGCTATGTCAGCCATGTTTAAAACAAACAAACAAAAAAAAAAACTAGGACCTTATCTTAAGGGCAATGGAGAAGGCATTACGAGATTTAACCAGGAGAATATTGGAATAAAGTTTGTATCTGTAAAAAGTTTATTTAAGCTGCAATGTAAGGAAGAGAGAGAAATAGGAAAGACTGGGGGCAAGAATATGAGTCAGTTGCCAGTTACAATAAAGAAAACAAAAGTTGCATCAAGAGAGGAATGTAAGTTAACAGATTTGAAAAGTATGTCAGATATAAAATTGTTAGTAATTGGGGACAAATTAAATATTGGCATAAGGAACAGGAATGCATAGTAAAAGATAATTGGTCCCTGGTTTGAAACACTGGGTGAATAATGTCCCTATTCATTTAGAGAAAGTATATATTCCAGGTTTTGAATATTAGATTTAACACACAGAGATACCAATAGAGAAAATAAATCTGAAATAGAAATATATATGTGTGCGTAGCCAGAATATAGATGCTTACTGGAGACATAGGATTGGATAAAATCACTGAACAAGAAGATGTAAAGAAGAGAGCTTGGGGGCTTAGAACCTGAAGTACATGTCACCTGAAGCATATATAATGGAAGCAGAGCTTCCAACGTACAGAATCAAAGTAAACAATCAACCTAGAGACTGCTTTGTTTGGGAAACTTAAGGTATATTAACAGAGTCCAGTGCTAATACCCTGCCAAAGAAAAATAGGCTGGATTGGATTTGGAGATCGTGAAGTCAATAGTGAAGTTGGTGAGGAGATTTTTTGGTTTAATGGGAAAGGAAGGCAAATTACACTTGATTAAATTATGAATGTGATTGAAAAAGTAGAGGCCTACTCTAAGATGTTTGGCTGAGAAGTGCAAGTGACAGAAAAGAGAAGAGACTAACCAAGATAAAATTTCTAAGGAGATGACAAAGGTTATGGGAATGGGTGTTTTTTATATTTTATTTATTTTTTTACCTTCCTCGAAGATCTGCAAGGTACATGTAAAGCAACAAGAGACAATATAATTATAAAAAAGAATCAAGTTTACTTATCCCCTGCTCTGCTTAAGAAATGCAGGGATCAATTTAACTCCATCAGCTTTCAAGCATTCAGAGCCCAGTTTGGGTTTGAGAAAATGGTCTGTAGAATTTAGTTCTTCAAAACACTGCCCAAATGCTATACACATTGGACCACTTAGATATCTAAACATAGAAGTTAAATAAGGTTTTCCGTCAGCTAAAGTTTTTTCATACTCTGTAAAATTGTTCACTGGTGTGTACTCTTCCAAAAAGACAAAGCCAGGGTATTCAAAATCCTGCTATTCTTTAATATCAAAATGAAATGTCTATAAAGGAAAAAAAAGAGATAAGCAAAAGGAAGAAAATTTTGAAATCACTCCAACTTGGATGCCCAAGATGATAGTGTTAATATTTTGATTTTGAACTTTTATGTTATATTTTCCTCATTTAATTTTGTTAATTTGTGATATCCTTGTGAACTAATATATCTGTGTATAATTTCATAAAACAAACTTACAATTTAAGAAATAAATTTACATATATTGTCAATGTTACTCACATTCTTAGCATTGCAATGTGTTTTTATTTTTTGGTTTTTCCAGAAAAGTACAACATAGATTTTGCTGTTGTATTGACTACAGTATTTTACTTAAAATACTTTTTTCTTTTACAACTCTTCACTGAATTTTCTATCTTGGAATTTCTGCCTGAACCAAATTATTTTACCTGGAAAGCATAAGGAAAATTTATGTATAATTCAGAGTACTTATCAGAACTTTAATTTAATTAAACTTAATATAATACACTGGTAAGTCATGGCTATCTTCTCACATTTAATTGGTCATTTCTTATAGAGTCAAGATTATTCAGAAGGTATGCTCTGGAGTTCATTTTAGAAGAATCCTGTATCTATTACATGGCAAAAGGCAATCATTCATCAGTGACTGAGTTCATCCTCCTAGGGCTCACAGATAATCAGGAACTTCAAGTCATTCTCTTTGGTGTATTCCTACTGATTTACTTAGTTACTGTGTTGGGTAATCTTGGTTTGATTGTGCTAATCCATATCAGTCCTCAGCTTCACACACCTATGTATTTTTTCCTCAGCCATCTGGCTTTTGTGGATTTTTACGGTACCTCTGCTATCACTCCAAACACCCTTGTCAACTCTTTGCATGAAATTAAAAGCATGTCATTTTATGCATGTGCCACTCAAGTGTGCTGCTTCATTACACTTTCAGTCTGGGAATTATTGTTGCTCTCATGGCATATGATCGGTATGTTGCCATCTGCAACCCTTTACTCTATGTAGTTCTCATGCCTAGGAGACTCTGCATTCAAATGGTCACTGGCTTATATATTTATGGTTTCACCATGGGACTCATACAAGCAGTGGCCACATTCCACATGTCGTTTTGTGACTCTAATGTGGTCAACCAGTTCTACTGTGATGATGTTCCTCTGATTGCTCTGGCTTGTTCTGATACACAAGTCAAGGAATTGATGTTGTTCATCATTGCTGCGTTCAATGTTTTTTGTTCTCTTATCATTGTTCTCATCTCCTATGTATTCATCGTCTTTGCTATCTAAGGATCCACTCTGCCGTAGGAAGACAGAAAGCCTTTTCTACCTGTGCTTCTCACATGTTTTCTATTTCCATATATTATGGGACCCTCAGTTTTATGTACCTACAGCCTAAGTCAAGCCACTCACTAGATAAAGACAAATTTGCCTCAGTATTCTATGCAGTGGTGATTCCCATGCTAAACCCATTGATCTATAGCTTGAGGAATCAAGAGGTAAAAAAATGCTATGAAAAAAATTATTGAAAAAATGTGTTCTAGTAATCAACAGTAAAATTTGTTGGTACTAAAAGAAATACTACGTACAGAGTCAGGACATTTTGAATCAAGGTTTGTACAGTGCTAGTATATGTAGAAGCCTTTGTCCTTTGGAACTTATTTTCTTTGAAAATATGTCTTTTATTGCTTTGGCTTACAAATGATAGGCATTTTGTAAATGTTTCACTTTTGAACTGCAAAAGAGAGATAAGAATAATCTACTCTCTTTAACCATGAGATGCTTCAATACTAAATAGAAATAAAGAAGAAAGCACCTTGAAATTATGACTTTATCTTATTTCACTATGATATTGAGAACTTTAGGTCATCTTGAGAGACATGTGCTATTATTATTACTGCATATAATATTGCAAATACTAGGCAAGGTTTTCTTCCATAGTTGAACTGGGGGGAAAATGGTGAGATGCTTGGCTGAAAGATTTTGGTTTGAATATCCCTTACAAGTTAGATTATCCTTCATTTTACAATATCTCTATTGATTTGACTGAATATTTTTACCTGATCATTCAAGCATCATCCCTCCCATATTACCCTCACATTCAGCCAGCACATTTACTGAACTGATGCATTAGCTATTTGTCCGGGTGCTCTTCGTACCTTGCCCCCAACTCCATGACAAGCCCCAGTGTGTGATGTTCCCCTCTCTGTGTCCATGTGTTCTCGTTGTTCAACTCCCACCTATGAGTGAGAACATGAAGTGTTCGGTTTTCTGTTCCTTGTTACTTTGCTGAGGATGATGGCTTCCAGCTTCACCCATGTCCCTGCAAAGGACATGATCTCATTCCTTTTTAATGGCTACATAGTATACCGTGGTGTATATGTACCACATTTTTTTATCCATTCTACCATTGATGGGCATTTGGGTTGGTTCCATGTCTTTGCTATTGTAAATAGAGCTGCAGTAAATATACATGTGCATGTGCCTTTATAGTAGAATGATATATATTCCTTTGGGTATATACCCAGTAATGGGATTGCTGGGTCAAATGGTATTTCCGGTTCTAGATCCTTGAGGAATCGCCACACTGTCTTCCACAATGGTTGAGCTAATTTACATTCCCACCAACAGTGTAAAAGTGTTCCTATTTTTCCACAGCCTCACCAGCATCTGTTGTTTCTTGACTTTTTAATAATCACTATTCTGACTGGTGTGAGATGGTATCTCACTGTGGTTTTGACTTGCATTTCTCTAATAATCAGTGATGTGTAGCTCTTTTTCATATATATGTTGGCCACATACATGTCTTTTTTTGAGAAGTGTCTGTTTTTTTGAGAAGTGTCATTTGTTTTTAATCCATCTTGAGTTAATTTTTGTATAAGGAAGGGGTCCATATTCTATAAGCAAAATGATTGTCAGTGATGAGTACATGTTGAGACCATTCATTATATAGCATGATCACATCAAACTTTCGTTGCTATAAAATGTATTATTTTCTTCTGAAGCAATATTGTAAATTGTTGTTGAATATATGTATAGGCTCATTCCTGACATTGTTTGCTCTGCTCACAGTGCCATTGCATACATGTAAAAGCCCTGAGGTTGCAAGAGAGGAGAAAGGATGACTGCCATCTACAGGACAGGTTATCCAGTCTTCATTGTTACAAGCCTCCTCTGCTAGAGCTAATCTTTGGGAGTTAAAAATGAAACTAATGTCTTGTGCCCACTTCTACAAAATTATCTAAAATCTCCTTTCCAAGGATACCACGTTTTTTCAAATACGTTACTCCCAGTCCTCTAACCAACTGGCCAATATTATTTCTTACTGCTTATGAATCAGTATATATCCATTTCTTCAGGCCACCTTTTCTCCATATGAAGTGGAAGACCAAATATTCTACCCACTGGGACAGTTTGCTTTCACCGTCATCCTTCAAGGCCACCTCCTAGTGGGACTATAAAGTGGCACAACTTTATATCTGATTATTTTCTACATGATGTAGCAACCCTTATTTGTACTGGGCACAAATCTTACTTGGAAACTCCTCAGTTGGAACCTCTAGCCCATGAAATAATAGCACATATTGACAGAAAAGGGTCTATGCAGCAGGAATAGGTGATAAAAACCGTGAACTCGCTGTTTATATAATTTGTTAATGCCATCTCAACCTGATTTAACCAGGTTGTATATGAATAATTTCCATTTGCAATGGATTGCTGTTGTGGCTGCCCAAACTTATAAGTTGGTGAATCTTATAATATCAAGTACAGAATAGACAGCTGATGCTTAATGTTTACTTGGTGTCCCTTCATCTGGCACTTTGTTTCAGACAGAAAACTATTTCATGTATTCATCAGAATGTCTGGCTTTGCTTCAATGTCTGTGCTGTGATGCTGATTTGGACTTTCCAGAGACCAAGTATCATTATTTCCCAGCACAGATATCTCCAACATCATTGGATCACTTTCCAAATCTACTCTTCCTCTGGGACTGAGGCAAAAGAGGTAGTCTTCTGGAATACCCAGTAAATGGCTTACAGCTCTAGACCCCAGCATAGTATATTGTTTATGGTAACCCTAAATCATTCCAAAAAGTGCTACACTTATTTCTAAACTTGTGGCACAGCAATGTGTTTTCTAACTTGGAGGAGATGAGCAAAAACTACCATAGATAAAAGAAAAACTTCAGCCGAATTAAATTTAAAGGAGTTTAATTCAGCAATGAACAATTCCCAAGTCAGGCAGCCCCCCAGAATCACACCAGATTCACAGAGCCTCCAGGAGTGCCTCGTGGTCAGAATAAATTTATAGACAAAAAAGTTAAAGTGACAGTGAGTTGGAATTGGAAGTGAGGTACAGAAACAGTGAGATTGGTTACAGCTCAGCATTTGCCTTACTTAAACACAGTTTGAACATTCAGCAGTCTATGAGTGGTTGAAGTATGGGCCACTGGGATTGGCCAACACTCAGCTATTATTACGGGTGTGTACTATTAAGTTAGGTTTTCAATTTTGTCTGACAAGCTAGGTTACAATTCATCTACAAGGACACAAATATAGAAGTATGGAGTCCTTCTCAGGCCATATTTAGTTTATTTTTTTTTTAACAATTCCCCCTTTTTGTTCATTTCCTCAATTTTGAGAGATTGATTGAAACCTTAGTCATTGATGTTACTATCACTGTCATAAATGTACTTATACAGTTTTGAAACCCACTGGGAAACAGTGAGGTTTGTAAGGAGAGAATAAGGACTGAGTAGAGGGTACCTCCTTGTGCTGGAACATCTTATTTACAGGAGAAAAACAAAACCTGTTTTGTTCTAGGATCTAAGTGTTTTCTTGAAGCCTTAGTTTGATTATGTCACATTTAGCACAAGTGACTCCATTTTCATTTGGTTTGGTTTGCTAGGGCCTCGCCCATGAGCTTAGTCCAAAATAATGGCCTCCCATAATTTTGTTTAAAAAAAATTCCCCCTTTTTGCTCAGGTTCTCACTTAGATGAAAGTGTGACCAAAGCTTAGGGCCTTAGCACCACTCTCAGTTACCATCATTTTGGGTTTCTAGTCTCAGCATGTCACTCATAAGTTACGGTGTCCTCATGGTAGCACATTTCTTTCAGCTTTCGTCATTCTAGTTGAAGAGAAAGCACTTGACATTCTAGAGATGGCTGCATGCAAACATTTAAAGCCTTTGAGAAAAATACAGTGCATCAGGGAAACTATTACTATGAATATCTGGAGGATAACACCAAGAGTTTGGAGTTATCCTTACCCAGGGTCCCCGTAAAACAAAACAAATTAAATAGATTAAAGAATGAGCTAGGTGCAAAGTCTACTCACTTGACTAAGTGGTCTTTCATTAATCCCCTGCAACTGAATTTTTATATTTTACATTTGGTGTATTTCTCCATAGGCCACAAGTGTCAGCAGCTGCACATGTGCTTTTCTGTTTAGCCAATCTATTATTTAGCATAACTTTCACAGGACAATTTAAAGTTTGTTGTGTAACAATATCCTTTATAGTGTAATTTGCTGTTGAGCCTATTATGAGGGAGACATTTCTGATTATGGCCTTTTTTATTCTAAACCATGGAAAAAGAACTTAATAAATGATGTCCTTCTAGAAGAGTGAAGGCCTCCTGATAAAGTTCTCTTTAATTCATGATATGGGTTAAGAGGAGTTTTGACTGATTATGAGGCAACATATGCACCACTAAAGTTTCTCGCCTATATTGGGCCTTCATCTTTTATCTATTGAAGTATAAGTTTATTCATGTATAAGACTGGCTGGAAAATCCTTCACAAAGAAAAGTATACACTATAATTGCACATAATGGAACCCCTTTTCACTTCTATTGTTGTTCATAGAGACATAACAAGGAAAAAATATTCAAAGATAAGAGTCTTATGGTAGTTGAAGTTTTGATCCATGATCTTGGGAAAAGCTGTTCACATCAAGTATTCCATCTTCTTCTGGGGAGAAACTTCCCTGGTTAGTTTTACCTTAAGGGTTCCAATGGGTGTACAGTTCCAGGAGTGTGGAAGGAACCTTCTCAGTTGTGAGATTATAAACCCAAAATTCAAGGGGCCAAAGTTTTGCTGTAGTGTGGATGGCAAGGACAGTCTTCCTCAGATGTTCTCAGAAGATCCAATCTTCAGGCTCTAGACTGTGAAGGAACTGTCCTCAGTGAACCATAAAAAGCTTTATTTACTAGTGAAAATACACTGTAGCATAATAAACTACTGGTATAATAACATCAGCTCCCTTGCATGGAAAACCTTTAATAGAACCAGAAAACATGCATTAAAAATGACAATGGAATGAAATCCCTTTATAAATGTTTAAATGGTCCATCTGGTAGCCAATTGTATCTGAAGCTTTGATTGTCTTCCCAGGAATATGGAACCAAACATTGGTTTTAAACTATTTTTGCAATTTATAAGTCACCACATCAATATATTTAATTTAGATTATTTTGTCTTTCCCATGACGAGTTACGGAAGGTAGAACCTTTAACAACAAAAGCTTGAAGGGCTCAGGAAGGACAAGTAGGCCATCCTGGTTCTTCATGAATCCATGCTTAACAGTGGACTCATGTCCTCTTGAATACCAGTTGTTTCTCCAATTTAGGTGCATAGCACTGATAACTAATGGGTTATCATAATCTGACTTAGACCATGGAGTTCAATTACATTGTATATTTAAACAATTTTAGTATTGACTGATTTAGCATGATAATCTAGAGCTTGATTTTGAAAGGTTTGGTCAATACCAAAGGTTTAAAACATTGGATATTACAAAATAGAATCTTAGGTTACATAAGTCATTCATTTAGCCAAAATAATAACACAAAAATGTTTTAAAGGATGAAACATTATTCTGATACATAGGAGACTCAGCTTTCCAAACAAGACAATGAAGACAGCATGAGGACAACTGACCCTGTCTCCCTTCTTTCCTTCCCCCACCTTTTCTCTTTTGTAGTTTACTTAGAAGGTAAACAAAAACATTTCATTATCTTTTAATATTACATTTCTCTTTTAAAAGAGAAAACCAGATTTTATGTTTCCATTAGTGTATTTTTAATGTTTAAGTCAGTTTTTAATAACATTTTATAAATCTATTCAGTTTTAATTATTTTGGCCATAATGTAAGATTTTTATAAACCTTTTATAACCCCTTCACATTTTGTTTTCCTCAGAGCAGAGCAATGTTCTAAAAAAACTCTGTTGTGCTTCTATTCTAATGCTTAATTCATGGGAAAAAAAACTGAATAATGCCATTTTAACTTTAGCCAATATGTTCACACATAGAATCTCTTATAATTACTTTCCATAAACTTTTAACAACTTGTTCAAACCTTTAGCTTAATTTTTTAAAACAATATTTTAATTCTCTAATCTAGGCAGAAATTTACATTTTTAATTTTTTAATTTTATAATGTTTGAATTTTTGAGAAAAGCATTGCCTGTGGCAGGGTGGGAAAGACAAAATGTTCAGAGAGGCCAGAGAAAGACCCATCCATTTGCAGCGACAGTGAAATTGTGGCTGCTGTTGTGAAGGAATTTTTTTTCCAGAAGTCCCATTAGCTCTTAAGTTTCCCCTTTTGAGGGAGAAAAAAGCTCCCCATGTCCCAAGATCCTGCATGCTTAATCCTGTCACTCATAGCTGTCAGCAAAAAGTGCAAGGCAGATTATTCCAAAGAGAATAGCAGTTGACATCCCGTAGTGCCAAACCCGTTCTTAGCCAAAAAGGACTTTACTGAGGCCCTCATTTTTTTTGGTGGGGGCAGCTGGTGGAGGAGACAGAGTCTCTCTCTGTTGCCCTGGCTGGAGTCAGTGGCACGATCTCGGCTCACTGCAACCTCTGCCTCCCGGGTTCAAGCAATTCTCCTGCTTCAGCCTCTGGAGCAGCTGGGACTACAGGCGTGCACCACCACACCCAGCTAATTGTTGTATTGTTAGTAGAGATGGGGTTTTGGGTCCAAAATTGGTGGGTTCTTGGTCTCACTGACTTCAAGAATGAAGCCGCGGACCCTCGCGGTGAGTGTTACAGCTTTTAAGGTGGCGCCTCTGGAGTTTGTTCCTTCTGATGTTTGGATGTGTTCGGAGTTTCTTCCTTCTGGTGGGTTCGTGGTCTCGCTGGCTGAGGAGTGAAGCTGCAGACCTTTGCGGTGAGTGTTGCAGCTCATAAAAGCAGTGTGGACCCAAAAAGTGAGCAGTAGCAAGATTTATTGCAAAGAGTGAAAGAACAAAGTTTCCACAGTCTGGAAGGGGACCCCAGCGGGTAGCCACTGCTGGCTGGGACAGCCTGCTTTTATTCTCTTATCTGGCCCCACCCACATCCTGCTGATTGGTAGAGCCCAGTGGTCTGTTTTGACAGGGTACTGATTGGTGCGTTTACAATCCCTGAGCTACACATAAAGGTTCTCCAAGGCCCCACCAGAGTAGCTAGATACAGAGTGTCAATTGGTGCATTCACAAACCCTGAGCTACACACAGGGTGCTGATTGGTGTATTTATAATCCCTGAGCTAGACATAAATGTTCTCCAAGGCTCCACCAGAGTAGCTAGATACAGAGTGTCCATTGGTGCATTCACAAACCCTGAGCTAGACACAGGGTGCTGATTGGTGTGTTTACAAACCTTGAGCTAGATACAGAGTGCCAATTGGTGTATTTACAATCCCGAGCTAGACATAAAGGTTCTCCAAGGCCCCACCAGACTCAGCAGCCCAGGTGGCTTCACCCAGTGGATCCTGCACCGGGGCTGCAGGTGGAGCTGCCTGCCAGTCCTGCACCGTGTGCCCGCACTCCTCAGCCCTTGGGTGGTCGATGGGACTGGGTGCCGTGGAGCAGGGGGCGGCGCTCATCGGGGAGGCTGGGGCAGCACAGGAGCCCACGGAGGGGGTGGGAGGCTCAGGCATGGCGGGCTGCAGGTCCCGAGCCCTGCCCCGCAGGAAGGGAGCTAAGGCCCGCGAGAAATCGAAAGCAGAGCTAGTGGGCTGGCACTGCTTGGGGACCCAGTATACCCTCCGCAGCCGCTGGCCTGGGTGCTAAGCCCCTTATTGCCCAGGGCCAGCAGGGCCAGCCAGCTGCTCCGAGTGGGGGGCCCGCCAAGCCCACTCCCACCCAGAACTCCAGTTGGCCCCCAAGCCCAGCGTGCAGCCCTGGTTCCCGCTCGTGCCTCTCCCTCCACACATCCCTGCAAGCTGAGGGAGCCGGCTCCTGTCTTGGCCAACCCCGAAAGGGGCTACCACAGTGCAGTGGTGGGCTGAAGTGCTCCTCAAGTGCCGCCAATGTGGGAGCCCAGGCAGAGGAGGTGCCAAGAGCGAACGAGGGCTGTGAGGACTGCCAGCATGCTGTCACCTCCCAGTTTCACCATATTGGCCAGTCTGGTCTCAAACTCCTGACCTCGTGATCCACCCGCCTTGGACTCACAAAGCGCTGGGATTACAGGCTTGAGCCACCGCGTCCGGCGAGAGCCCTCATTTTTAAATGTACTTCAATGCATTGTTGTTCATTAGGAATGTTCCACTTTAAGTTATCTTTAGTAAGATTTTGCTGTTTCTCTAAGACTTCTCTGCCTCCCAGGCTTAAAATATAAGCCAAAAGTTTTAAGGTTATACTCAGTTTCTATAAATTTCAGAAAACCGAGAAATTTCTCAGTTTTCCAGAAATTAAGGATCTCATTTTTACCTAAAACATTGGCTTTACTCTCAGTTTCTCTTGATTAACTTAACCAACAATTTTTTCCCCAACTAAGCGCGCTAGAAAAGTGAAACAAAGGGGTAGAACACAAAAATCCCTGTGAATTTTCAAATCCAAATTTTATAACCCCTGCAATATTACTGCTTATTACCAGTTCCTTTCTGACCCAGTGAGATGTAAGAGGCCTGTAACTGGATCCAAGCCAGTTAATTCCCAGATCAAATCCGTTCTTAGACACAGTCCAGTTTCTGTTGCGACTCCAAACCCAGTTTGGATCAGACGTTTGCTGAAAGTAACTTGGAGAGCTCAAAACACAAATCCGTGGAGTTCCAAGACCCAAAAGGGAGCTTACCCATGATCCCCAGCGGCTCTGAGAGACAAGGGACACAAGTGGATCCTGCAGGTTCCTTGCTGTTCACTCAGCACTCCTGCGGGTCGCTAGAAGCTCCACTTTGGTTCCCGCTTCTGACGCCATCTGATAAAAGAAAAACTTCAACCAAATTAAATCTAAAGAAATTTAATTGAGCAATGAACGATTTGTGAATCTAGCAGCCCCCAGAATCCCAGCAGATTCACAGAGACTCCAAGGGTGCCTCGTGGTCAGAACAAATTTGTAGACAACAAAGGTAAAGTGATGTACAGGAATCGAAAGTGAGGTATAGAAACAGTGAGATTGGTTATAGCTCCGCATTTGCCTTATTTGAAGGCAGTTTTAAAACTCAGCAGTCTATGAGTGGTTGAAGTATGGCCGCTGGGATTGGTCAACCCTCAGCTATTGTTACAGATGCATACTATTAAGTTAGGTTTTCAATTTTGTGTGACTATTAAACTAGGTTACAGTTCATCCACAAGGACTCAAATATAGAAGTACGGAGTCCTTCTCAGGACATATTTAGTTTGCTTTAACACTGCTTACTTAACTTGAAGCAAATGCACCCGGGAAACCACTGGACTCTGAATTTTTGTGGCTTTTCTTCTCCTACCATTTGATTTATATGTGTTACTAAGGCATTTAGAGATCTTGCCACTCAGAGTTCAACATTTACAATTAGCAAGATTCTATCAAAATGGTAAAACATCATGGTGTTTTGTGAAATAAACATCAAGGTGATTAAAACCTCCATTTGCAAAATTTTGAAACGGAAGAGTTCATATATCTTTAAGGAAGTTTGCTATACAGTATCATATTTTTTTCAGAGAAACCAAGGCCAAGAAAATTATTTAATATACAGAATAAAACATCTCGTGTCAAACTCGGAAAAAAAATCATTCTAAGACTTATACTTTGGATAAATCATTTATAATTGCGAGATAAAAATAAAATTTAATAAATTCTGGTTATAAGAAAATAAGTTGGCTTATACCACTAAATATTGTGATTATAAAGCAGTTAAACTTTATTGATTCATATTAGCCAAGTTAAGTCATTATAGTAAGCCTGTGTGGTGGGAATTATCCCAATTTTGTAAATGAATCGTAAAGGAAATGAATGTCTTGCTTGCAAACAGGCATCTTATATAAAGCAAAATCAGGATTAGGAGCTAAATGTTTCTGAATTGAAAATTCTTTTTTACTCTTGGATATTAACAAATGATCCATGGTCTCATCTGTTTTTTTTATTTTTTTTAAGTGCCTTGAGGCAGATTCAGGATCATGGTTGTTGTAGATTATTGCCAAATGGTCCACAATGAACACAATGAATCCCTTTGTCCACATGAATACTTGCATACTCCACTTCCCTATGAACTCTGGCCTTGTAACTTGCGTTATATAATAGAAAGCGCAAAAGTATATTGTGCAACTTCTAAGGGTAGACCCTAAGGGTTTTGGAAGTGTCTGTATTTTCTTCATGGGAAGGTTTAATGTTAGAACCCAACTGCCATGTTGAAAGCCCAAGGCAGACCTATGGAGATGCTGCATGAATAAAAACAAAACATTCCAGCTGACAGCCTCACCAAAAGGCAGTCAGGTGACTGAGGTCATCTTAGAACTTACAGCTTTCTCACCGTCTCAGTTGCCACCACATGGAGAACAGTCTAGTTAGCACAATGGAATTCTAAGACATAACAAATCATTGCTCTAGGTCACTAAAGTCTGGACTAAATTTTTATTTAGCAATAGATGGCTGAACCAATAATGATGACATAAATAATTGTATTTTTAATTAAATTAACTTTAAGAAGAATTCCTAAAATTAGATATTGTGATTTTGACAGAAGTAAAAAAAATTTAAAAACTTTCTAAAATAGTTGAAGAACAGATTCTCAGAGGTTCTTACCCATGTATATGTAATTGTCTTTCAAGCTTCCTTGAGTTTCTTTCAAGACTCCAAGGAAAATGAGTAGTATAATCATCACAGATTAGTTAGACATAAAAATCCAGAAAAATATGGTGACTTCCACAAAATTTTTATTTAATATTTTTGTAGTTGCTTTCAATTCTGTTGGAGTCATATTATGAAAAATCAGAGCAATTATTCTAATAAAAAATTCACATTCAGTAAGACTAAATTTTTCTTCCTGTTTTTTTCTTTTGTAAAAATAAGTGATTTCCTATGATATTTTTTATCTATATGTCTTTCAATTTATCATTCTACATCCCTACGGGTGTGTGGAATGCAGATGAACAGAGTGTGTTAAGGGCTTGAAGAGATGAAGTATTAATTTCTTTGTTATCTTCGTGATTTTAAATGTTTTCCAAAAGACCTTAGGAAGCACAACGAAATTTCAAAGTTTTGAACACTTTGAACAGAACGTTCAGACAATAATGTTCAGAGATTGAACTAAATATACCTCCAGGACAATAAGGAATTTATGGATTGATTATTATTTGCTTACTGCTCAACAGGTTATTGAGTTTCAGATATAAGGGTGCATCTTTGGTACAATCCAAATCATTACTTTGTAGGCTTGTAAAGCTCAACTGCAAGATAACTAACTTTGATTGAGTGTATACCAGGACTACTTACTAAAATTTATAAATGTCATAAAGTCTAAAACAAAGTATAAAAAATAAATCAAAACATTTTGACTTGTTTCCCATATGTTAAAATAACCTTTGCTATCCATTATTAATTCTTTATTATACTTTAGTTCAGGATAGTAACCTGCCCTTTAAGTGGTTATTTTTTGCCTTTTAAACAAATTGGGTCCCAAAAGATCAACCATAACATAATTGCTCATGCTTGTGAAACATCATTGTGTCTTTGGTTCAGAATTGTTAAAAATGATGTAATTCAATGAGAATATTCTAGAGGAACCAACAGATTATACAAAATATATTCACAACACTTAAGTAATGTTAAGTATTGTTGACCTTCACAGAATTTGCCTAAGGATACATTGGAATCTTTTTGGTTGTTGTGCATTACTCAAAAGCAAGATGTAGTGGGAAAGAAATCAAGGTAATTGAGGTAGAAAAATGGGGTTTCAGGTAACACAAACTTTGTATTCATTTGTTCGTTTATTCTACTATTATTTAAAGTGTCTAGTAATTGCTGAGTCCTGCTAAGTATTGGGGAAAATATAAATCTTTGCTTATCGAGAATTAAACAATTTAAAGTAGCTTACAAACAAATTAAGAGGTGACTAGATTGTTGGAGGTAATAATCGGGAGATAATAAAACACCTCTAGAATGAAGTAAAATTTCACCTCAGATTTGACAAGTGGAAAGATAGTAGCCAGCCAGAGGAACAAAGATATAAAGGAAGGAGTATTCTGGCCAAACTATGTTCAAAGTCCATGGTCACATCTGAGAAACTGATGGTATGCAACATGGTTGGTGCATGGGGATTGCATAAAGGAAATTGCAAGAAAGGAGACTAGTTTACAAAGAAGGGTTTATTTAGGAAAGCTTTAATAAACCAGGTTAAGAAGTTTGGGCTGTAGTCCAAAGCTAATGGGAAACAGAAAGCTAAGATTTGCATGTTAGAACGTACCCTCAAGGTGCCACATGGATATAGGGTGGCAAAACTGCCTGGAAGATAACAGTTAGAGGGTAACAATCCCCAGCAGTTATTTGAGGCTCTAATAAGGAAAATATGGAGGATATTAGAAGTAGACAGACTTCAAAATCTAGATTAAATCAGTAGCATTCACTTATGGTTTATTAGTGGACATTAGAGGGACATATGAATTTTTGTTTTTGTTTTTGTTTTTAAACTGCATGGCAGATGGCACCATTTAGTGAGTTATAAAATATATACTCAGAGGCATGTGAGTGGGGTTGGGTGGCTTTTGAACTGATGAATCCTCCTTGAACATGTTAAATTTAGGTACATCTGGAATATGTAATAGAATCTGTCTGAAAAGCAAGTAGATATGTGTACAAAGGGTTCAAAGGAGAAATGTGACCTGGAGATCTAGACATCTGCATCGCCAGCACATCAATAGCAATGATACCCATAGCATCGGATGATAGCTTCCAACAAGAATATGCAAAAAAGACATGGTTTGGCTTAGGAAATAACTGTAAAGTAATAGGGTTATTTAAATCATAAACAAAGAAGTACAGCCATCAAGGGAAGTACAAAGTAGACACAAAGATGGGAAAACCAAGAGACTCTGATGGCTTGGAAAGCAACAAAATAATGGTTTTCATGATGAAAGGTGATACTAGTGGTGTCTGATGCTACAGAGAAGTGAAATTTTTAAATCTTCATTGGATTTGGGAGAAAAGAGAATGTTGGTGAATTTGGAGAGAGTAATTGCATTGCAATGCTAAGAAAAAAATATCTAAATACAAGAGATTGATGTACAAACGTGAAGGATGCAGTGAGCATTGGTAACTTTTTCTGGTACTAAAAGAATGAAGATAAGAATAAAGGTAAAGGAATAAAGGTGGAGGAGTAGTAGATTGATGGGAGAGATTTAATAGATTAGCAGAGGAAGGAGACGTGGAAGGCCAAAGAGAATGGAACCAAAATATAAATTTAGGTATAAGAAATAGGAGACCTCCCCAATCCCCCACCCCCACAAAAACATGTAATACGAATAGATGTGGAAGCAGGTAGTTTCACACAACTGGTGACAAGAAGTAGAGAAATTTATATTTTAGTATTTTAATTCCCATTTTAAATATCAAAAAGTTTAGCATCTGCTTAGCATATGTGGTAGGAGTAGTACTGCTTAGCATGTGTGGTAGGAGTAGCATGGATAGAATTGAAAGGGTTGAAATAGCAACATGCAGATTGGGAGAAAGCCCTTGGTTAAGGAAAAGTCAGTCAAGTAAATAAGTAGCTGATTTTGAATATAAGTTTGTAATAGTTCACTTTTTCTTAACTGTTGTTCTTGATAGCTCAGATTTCATTGTGAAGACAACATTACAAAATACCCAGATTTGGGTATACCTAAAAAAATGTTGGTTGTTGGGAAGCGTAGTTGAAGCAATACGTCATGGAGACTAAGCTGTATAGGAGAAGAATTGAAAAAATAAAGTGACAAAATAAATGAGTATTTTAAGATGTTTAAGGAATAGTGATATGTGTGAATAAGTGAAGACCTGTAGTCATAACTGAGGTGAAAAGGGGAGGGTAGAAGTTTGTGATCATAAGAAAATGTTTAAGTTTTGGATATCTAGCATTTGGTAAACTTGTAGACAAATAATTTTAAACATGGAACCATGGGGGTGGAAAGCTGAAGTGGAATGGTGCTGGGGTCACTGATAAAAATAATCAATAATCAGAAAAGCCGTATGTTAAATGTGTCAAGTTCATGGGAACTAATGACAACTTTGTGACAGGACAGTGATCTTGGTGTCAACATTCTCAATAAATAACAAGGACTGACCTGGAAATACATAAGTGACTGTTAACATTTGTCTCTGTGTCGCCACCCAAATCTCATCTTGAATTGTAATCCTCATAATCCCCACGTGTCAAGGGAGGAACCTAGTGGGAGGTAATTGAATCATGGGTTGAATGAATCATGGGTTGAATGATGATTCAATCCACGATGGTTTCCCCAATGTGGTTCACATGATAGTAAGTGAGTTTTCATGAAATCTGATAGTTTCCTAAGTGTTTGACAGTTTCTCCTTTGCATACACCCTCTCTCCTGCCACCTTGTTAAGATACCTACTTCCACTTCTGCCATGATTGCAAGTTTCCTGAGGCCTCTCAGCCATGCAGAACTGTGAATCAATTAAATCACCTTGGTTTATAAATTACCCAGTCTCGAGTAGTATCTTTATAGCAGTAAGAACAGACTAATACAGTAAATTGATGCCAGGAGTGGGTTACTACTGTAAAGATACTCGAAGAATGTGGAAGCGACATTGGAACTGGGTAATGGCCAGAGGTTGGAACAGTTTGGAGAGCTCAGAAGAAGGAAGAAAGATATGGAAAAGTTTGGAGCTTCCACTTGTTGAATGTTTTTGACCAAAATGCTGATAGTTATGTGAACAATGAAGTCCAGGATGAATTGGTCTCAGATGGAGATGAGGAATTTATTGGGAACTAGAGTAAAGGTCACTCATGCTATGCTTTAACAAAGAAACTGGTGGCATTTTTTTTTCCCTGCCCTGGAGATCTGTGGAACCTCAGACTTGAGAGGTGATTTAGGGTATCTGGCAGAAGAAATTTCTAAGCAGCAAAACATTCAAGACAAGACCTGGATTATTATGAAACCATTCAGTTTTATGCATTTACAAAGATATGGTTTCAAATTGGAACTTTTATTCAAAAGGGAAGCAGAGCACACAAGCTGAGAAAATCTGCAGCCTGATGATATGGTAGAATAGAAAAACCCATTTTCTGGGCAGGAATTCAAACTGGCTGCAGAAATTTGCATAAATAATGAGGAGCCTAATGTTAATCATAAAGACAACGGGAGAAATGTCTCCAGGCCATGTCAGAGACCTTCACAGAAATTCCTCCCATCACAGACTCAGAGTCCTAAGAGAGAAAAATGGTTTTGTGGGCCAGACCCAGGGCCCCACTGTGCTCGGTGCAGCCTTGAGACTTGGTACCTTATGTCCCAGCCATGGCTAAAAGGGGCCAACATACAGATTAGGCCATTGCTTCAGAAGCTGCAAGCCCCAAGCCTTGGCAGCTTCCAAGTGGTGTTGGGCCTATGGGTGAGCAGAAGTCAAGAATTCAGGTTTGGGAGCCTCCAATTAGATTTCAGAGGAGGTATGGAAATGCCTGGCTGTCCAAGCAAAAGTTTGCTGTTGGGGGTGTAGCCCTCATGGAGAACCTCTGCTAGGGCAGTGTGAAAGGAAAGTGTGGGTAGGAGCTCCCACACAGAGTCCCCACTGGAGCACTGCATAATGGAGCCCAGAGAAGAGGGCCATCATCCTCCAGACACCAGAATGGCAGATCTACTGACAGCTTGCACCATGCACCTAGAAAAGCTTCAGACACCCAACAGCAGCCCATGAAAGCAGCTGCGAGGGGGGCTGTACCCTGCAAAGCCACAGGGGTGGAGCTGCCCAAGACCATGGGAACCCACCTCTTGCATCAGCATGACATGGGTGTAAAACATGGAGCCAAAGATGTTAATTTGGAGCCTTAAGATTTAATGACTGCCTGCTGGATTTTGAGCTTGCATGGGGCCTGCAGCCCCTTTGTTTTGGTCAATTTTTCCCATTTGGAAAGTGTTTACCCAATGCCTGTACCCTCATTGTATCTTGAAAGAAACTAACTTGTTTTTGATTTTCCAGGCTCATAGGCAGAAGGGACTTTCTTTGTCTCAGATGATACTTGGACTGTACGATATTGAGTTAATGCTAAAATGAGTTACGACTTTGGGGGACTACTGGGAAATCATGATTGGTTTTGCAATGTGAAAGTACATGAGATTTGGGAGGGGTCGGGGCAGAATTATATGGTTTGAGTCTGTGTCCCCACCCAAATCTCATCTCATATTGTAATACACATAATCCCCACATGTCAAGGGAGGGACCTAGTGGGAGTTTATCGGACCATGGGTGTGGTTTCCCCCATACTGTTTTCATGATAGTGAGTTAGTTCTCGCAAGATCTTATGGTTTCATAAGTGTTTGACAGCTCCTCCTTTGCATGTACATTCTCTCCTGCTGCCTTGTAAAGAAAGTGCCTGCTTCCTCTTCCACCATCATTGTAAATTACCCAGTCTTGAGTAGTATCTTTACAGCAATGTGAGAATGGACTAATACAGTGACAAAGCATATAAGTGTGTAAGCTTCAAAGCATCAAGGGAGTTGACACAAATGCAAGATATAATTATCAATATGCAGCAATTTTCCAAGCATCAGCAATGCCTTATCCCACCTGCCATATTTGAAATGTGTGGAGAATTTTAAATTGAGCATAGAAATGTCCTGAGGAAAAACAGATTTTCAAGGAGTAGCCAAGTTCTGTTTTAAGAAATGAGAAATCAAATGATTCAAGATGTTGGAGAGTCTGGTAATATCAGAGCAAAAGGCACACAGGTTTCAATTCAGCACAGCAATGTAAGCACTGAAAAGAGTAAGAGCCAGGAGAGGTAAGGATTAGAGATTACAATTTAGACAGGCAATGGAAGAACACTTCAAAATATTCCAAAAAAGATTAAGCTCCTACAATCATCAATATGAAGAGATTACTCACAGGCTTCTGCAGAGTAAGCCTCAATCTAAATAATATTAACGCTATCAAGAGCTAAAATTGATTTATTTGGCAAACAGTATGAGATAGTCACTACCTGAAGCACTTGGCATGGACGAATTCATTGATTGCTTTATCAAAGTTGCCTTGATCTCTTGTTGATGCAGAAATTTTTGCCTTTCTGATAATTTGCATCAACTATGGATTGAGGTTAGGGAGTCACAGACTAGGTAATGAGTTATTCTGCTTCACCTTATGCCAGTCATGAAGCATGAAGAGGGCTTAAGTTCTCAGCTTCAGTTTCTATATGTGAAAATAAAGATGATAGTCATAGGGCCATTATATAGGCTAGATGTAAAGATAATCTAAGCTAGAATAATAACAAAAAATTAAATTTATATCACTTCTGTTCAAGTGAAGATCATTAAATGCTGGCTACTTTTAATTAGCCAGGAACCAGGTTGTACTTTTACACACTCATTCTAGAATTGTTTACTTCTCCTGCTTTGCATCTGGATGTTTTAAGAAACATGACAAATGTGTTTTTTGGATCACTTAATGCATTTATAATGCTGTTATGAATATTTTTAAAAGCAAGTCTATTCACATTTTTAAGCATTTTTCTATCTTTAATTCACAAATAGTACATAGCAATTGAAGAAAAACTAAGAATTATTGATAGATAAAAGAAAAAGTAAAAATAAAAAAATAATTCTGAATGTATTATAAAGAGATTATTTGTACCCATAATTTTTTAGGAACTTTCGTATACCTACTGTGCAATATTTTTTTAAACTTATTATTTCGTGTGAATTAAAATTTTCCAGAAGAATTAGTACAATTTTATTTAAAGTGATCTAATTTTAAAAAATATTTTTTAATAGGGACAAGGTCTCATTACGTTGCCTTGGTTGTTCTTGAACTCCTGGGATCAAGTGATTCTCCTGCCTTGGCCTCTCAGAGTGTTGGGATACAGGTAGGTGTTAGCCACCATGTCCAGCCCCAGTAATTTTAAAATGCTTTTTGTTATCTGTGTTCAAATAACTCTCTATCTTGATTTTCTCTTATTAAAAGAAAGACATGACATAGATCATTCAATTATGTAAACCTTTAACATGTCATCTTTCTATCTTTACAAATCTCCACAGAAATGCATGTTTTGGAATTTCTACTTGGGACAAATTATTTTATTCAGAAAGCAGAACTAGCCTGAAGATGCTCCTTTCAATGTGTTCAACATAAGATCAGGGCGGGTCAGAATCATTTCCTAACATCTGCTTCATTATTTCCATTGGGAACACCATTACTCAGAATGTGTGCTCTAAAGGGTTTTCTGGAAGAAAACTTTTATACCTACTCAGTGGCCAAAGGCAATCATTCAACAGTGTATGAATTTATCCTCTTGGGGCTCACAGATAATGCAGAGCTTCAAGTCACTCTCTTTGGTATATTCCTTGTAGTATACTTAGCTAGCTTTATGGGTAATTTCGGTTTGATTATGCTAATTCAAATCAGTCCTCAGCTTCATACACCCATGTATTTTTTCCTCAGCCATCTGGCTTTTGTTGATTTTTCTTTTACTTCATCTGTTGCCCCAAATACCTTGGTAAATTTTCTGTGTGAAGTTAAAAGTATAACATTTTATGCATGTGCCATTCAGGTATGCTGCTTCATCACATTTGTAGTTTGTGAATTATATTTGCTCTCAATCATGGCATATGATCGGTATGTTGCCATCTGTAACCCTTTACTTTATGTCATTCTCATTCCTAGAAAACTCTGTATTAAACTGATTGCTAGCACGTATGTGTATGGATTCACTGTGGGACTTGTACAGACAGTGGCGACATCCTACTTGTCTTTTTGTGATTCCAACGTGATCAACCACTTCTACCATGATGATGTTCCATTAGTGGCTCTGGCCTGTTCTGACACTCATGTCAAAGAGCTGATGTTGTTAATCATTGCTGGGTTCAATACTCTCTGCTCTCTAGTAATTGTGCTGATTTCTTATGGTTTCATTTTCTTTGCCATCCTGAGGATACATTCTGCTGAAGGGAGACAGAAAGCATTTTCTACCAGTGCTTCCCATCTGACCTCCATCACAATATTTTATGGAACAATCATTTTTATGTACCCGCAGCCCAAGTCAAGCCATTCCCTGAATATGGATAAAGTTGCTTCTGTGTTTAATGTGGTAGTGATTCCTACATTAAACCCACTGATCTATAGTTTAAGAAATCAGGAGGTAAAAAATGCACTAAAGAGAATTATAGAAAAGTTATGTTTGGCTGTCAAATAACCTAAAAATCCCTAGACAGAGGCAAAACCCAGGACTTTGAGTTGTGTCTTATCTAGAGTCACATTGGTGGTAAATGACAGAGCCAAATTCCGTAGTTTGGCTACTCAACATCACTCAGGGTATGTTTCATCCACTGTGTCGTTTTCCATAGTTTCCACATAAAATGCATTTGGTAAATTTTATGTCATTGAATTGTAAAAGAAAAGGAAAGAGAGAGAGAGAGAGAGAGAGAGAGAGAATCTTACTCCTCTCTGAACAACACAGCTTCATCAATAATGAAATAAACAGCATGGGAAATAGCTGTTTTATTTAAATCATGTGTGATATTTGAATTATATTAAAGTTCAACATCTGTTATCTTACATTTCAAATTTGCTGCACAGATTATCTGGAAACAGTGTCAAAGTTTAAATAGCAAGGATACTTTTCTTGGTTTTAAGACTGGATAATTTCCTTAGCACTCTACTTTCTCTGCATTCTACTGGGAAGGGTAGCACCAGCAGAGTTACCATGAATTCCGTATCCATTTGGACCACTAGAGCCATTTCACACCATTATAATTCACTGCCTGCTCTATATAAGCATCTGATTAGTAACTGGACTCTTCAAATCTTCAAACAGTTTGACTAATAATTTTAGTTTCTGTGATAATCAACTGTTGTCATTGGTAAATTATTTCACATTTTGTACCTAGTTTCCTCATCTTCAAAATGCGCTTGTAGTTTCTTATCTCTTGGACTGATTGTGAAGATTAAATAACATTATAAATATAGAGCTTTGCAAAGTTCCTAGCACACAGCTGGTACTTCACATATGGTGTGTATTACACTTAATTATTGACATTGTTATTATACCAATTATTTCTCTTATTTGGCCTTGGATAGTAAGGTAATAAAGTTTGAGATAGCTGGCAATATGATATTCTTTATTTTAAAATCAACAAAAAGAAAATATAAAAGTTAAGGAGCTATTTTATTGTGGTGTTTTAAAATAAATTCTTTTAAATTTCATCGTGTGTGTGTATTGATAGACATATTTTAAAATAACTCTTTTAGGTTCCTTCATACTCGTTACTTAAAATATGCATTTTTAAAAAATAAAACCACTTTTGTTTAATTTAACAAAGACTAGATTAATAAATTACGAATTTATTGAACTCCTAATTTTTCAAAGTATGAATGAGCTACCGTCTACTGAGTGCTTTTCTTGTATCAAATTCTGGGTGAAGTGTTTAAAATGGATTGCCTCAGCTAATTTTTATAACATTGAATGGAGATGAGTATTTATTCAAGGTGGACCACTAATCAGTTGTAGATACAAAAATAAATTATATAAAAATTTTATTTACAAGAAAGTGTATTAAGGGTCGTTCACCAATAATAATAAAGCTGATACTTACCAAGGCTCTTTTAGGTGACAGCCATCATGCCAAGGCCTTCACACATGTTTCTACTACATACTCATACTGTAGCTTGTGGAATAAGCATGTTTCTTGTTTTATAAGGTATTTGAGCTTTACATATTATACACTAGAAGTATCAAAACTCAAATCTGTGGTCAAATCTTTCTGGAATCAAGCATGTTCTCCACTGATCTTAGACACCGCTAAAGACCTATATTATTTGTCAGCCTCTGTATTTATTCTATACCTAGATACAGAAACATCATAGAGATCACAAACAGAAGGGTGACAAATACAAGTATTTATTTAAATATGCCTGGAGACTGAATAGTGTTTATTTCAATGTTTTGTCTGAAGGACTGGTGTTTTAGGAGATGAACTCAGTGACCTGGAGCAATTTTCAGATGATAGTTTTAGAGGCTGCACAGAACTGCGTGTATCTGCGCAAGAATAAACATTTAAAAAAAAAAGTCTATTGAGTAAAGTTGAATTTCTTAGCTCATTTCCCTTAGAAAACCTAGGTTTATCTCAATATGTGATTGTTAATAGTAGGGAATTATAACTCTGTAAAGACATGAAGAATTCAATTAATGTTTAAACATTGCTACTGTAAATAATTCTATCAAGTAGGCAGGTGCAGTGAAACCACAGAAGACCAATCTCCTCCAGGTGAATTTTCAGGATCCGTAGACCTGAATCTCACTACCTGTAAAAAGAGAGACTGTCTATGACTCTTGTCGTGGCTCTGATATGTGAGAATATTGTGTATATCCATCCACAGAAATATACACTCACAAGACAAAGTGTGGAGAGTAGAAAAACCAGGTTTCTCTGTTAAACCTGTTTTAAAGGCCAGGTAATTCACTCCACTCACAAGGTTCTAAAAGCACCTCAGGGTAGCATATCTGAGTCATTTACAAAGAAAGTACAGAAGAGGAAATAATCACAGTATATTGTAAAGCTCAAATTGTATTTTATATAATGGCTGCAAGTATCATAATCTCCTTGTAAAATTGAAAAAAAATAATAATTTTAAACCACTACTTTTTCTGAAATGTCAAAACAATAAAAATGTATCATATCACTTTTTTTAATCATATGTCATCATCTACAAGGGTGACTGAATAAATAGCAGGCACAAATAAATTACATAATAACATAGGGTACTTTCTAATTGAACAAATATGCAAGTACAATGAAGGTGTTTATTTTAAAAATTATTTCTTATAAAACATGTTCTTCCAATTATATTTTTTAAAAAATCTGATAATGACACATTTAAATCCAATTAACCTCATTCTTAACACCCACAGTGTTAACAAAAAATTCAGATAAACCTAAATTTGCTTTTAGAATTTTCATATTGCTAGTTATGTGACCTTCAATTTAGAGAGAAAACTTCACACACATCATATGTTTACTTGATTGTAGCAAGTAGGACTACTTGACTAATTAGCCTTGAAGACCTTAATGAATTTATTTTTTAATAGTTTTATGTTTTGGTTTGTTTGTTTGTTTGTTTTTAGAGAGAGAGAGAGAAGGTCTCGCTATGTTGCCCAGGCTGGTCTTGAACTCCTGGGCTTAAGCAATCCTCCCACCCTTGACTCCTAAAGTGCTGGTACTACAGGTGTGAGCCACTGTGCCAGGCCAAATAAATTCATTTCTAACTTTATATAACAAACATTTATATACCTAAGGCTTCCAAAACACTTATTATCACTGGATATTTTTCTAAGCATTTCATAAATATTAACCTGTACAATCCTTAAAAAAAGAGCAATGAGTTAGGTCCTATTATTTCCCAGACTTGGAGACAAAGCCACACAAAATTTAGCTCAATTTTCCAAGGTTGCAGAGCTAATATGAAGGAAATAGTGTTCAAACTCAATCTTGTTTCAGCATCCCAAACTCTAACAAAAACATGCTGCTGCCTTTGCTTTAAATACACCTATGAGTGTTTGCATATATGAGTGTGTCTCTGTTTGTATTTGAACGTGGTTTCAGTGGTCTGCCAAGACTGTGATGGCCTGAATTGAATGCTTTAATTCGTACTGATTTTTCATGATCTGCCTGGTTCTTGCAGAAAATGTCAAGGTCCATTAAAGTAACAGCTACATTTTCAGTTCATTGGGAAATAATTACAAGAAAAAGTTTGATTTATTTCCTGCTTGTTTAATAAAGTTTTCTTATTTTTAAAAATGTTAATATCTGTAAGTTTTCACAACCTTTATCCAAGGCTTTCTTTGAGGCATCTTTCACTTCTTTGTTCCTTAGACTATAGATTAGGGGGTTTAACATGGGGATCACCACTGTGTAAAATACAGAAGCCATCTTGTCTGTGTCCAAGGAGTGATTTGATTTGGGCTGTAGGTACATAAAGATCAGTGTGCCATAGAAAATAGTGACAGTCACCATATGGGAGCCACAGGTGGAAATGGCTTTGTGTTGCCCCTGAGTAGAGCGGATCCTTAGGATAGCGGCAATAATAAAGATGTAGGAGGTGAGGACAATGGAAGAGGAAGAGATCATATCAAAGCCAGCAAAGGCAAATATCAGAATTTCCTTCATGTGTGTGTCTGAGCAGGACAGAGCTAAGAAGGGGAGGTCATCACAATAGAAATGGTTAATTAAGTTTGGGCCACAGTAAGTCAGACGGAAAGTGATAACGGTGTGGAAGAGGGCAACCAGGAAGCTGTATATATATGGAACTGCCACCAGTTGAATGCAGACTCTTCTTGACATCAGTGTTGAATAATGCAGGGGACTACAGATGGCGACATAGCAATCGTAGGCCATGGAGGCTAGAAGGAAACACTCAGTGATCATGAAGGTGAGAAAACAACCCAGTTGGGTTGCACAAGCATGGAAAGGAATGGTGTTGCGTTCCACAACAAAATTCACCATCATCTTCGGTGTAATAGCAGAGGAGTAACAAAGGTCAACAAAGGCCAGGTGGCTGAGGAAATAGTACATAGGTGTGTGGAGTCGAGTATCAATCTTGATTAAAGTAATCAACCCAAGATTGCCCAGCACTGTGACCAGATAGATAACTAAAAACACCCCAAAGCACGGGGCCTGAAGCTCTGGCCGGTTGGTAATTCCTTTCAGAATGAATACAGTGACATAAATGATATTAACTTCAGCCATTTATCCTAACAGGTTTTGTAGATTTTGTCGCAGTTGAAAAATAAAAAAGATACTTCTCATGTTCCCTGTCAGTGTTGGGTAAAGGTGATGATTGTTGTCTTCTTGCCTTGAATCATATCATCATGTGGGCAAAAACATACATCTTACCTCTCTAATGACAGAGGCCAATCTTGCCTGAGGGAGGGGAGTCTTTTACTTGCAGAATAGTAAATAGACCACCTTAAGAAATATTTTGCTTTGTAATTTTAGAAAATAAGAGAAGATGTTGGTTAAAATTATATAGTATGAAACCGCTTGTGACAACTGACACTAATATTTCAATGTTTTTGCTGCCATTAAAAATCTTATATATTTTCCATGCATATATAACAGAACAAAAATATTGAATTTATAGACGTGACCACATTTATATTTCCTTATTTTTCGGTTTTGTGCGTGCTTCCATAAAATATGTCAAAAATAGATCAAAATAATTTTAGAGCTCCTATGAACTATTCAATTTGCTATATTCCTTCCCACATTTATATAGAATAAGTAATTTATGCTGTAGAAATGGAAAGAAATTTGATCAGAAATATGAGAAAGGAAACATTCAGTTGTAAAAAGTTTTATGGAAACATATACTGGTGGGTGGAGTTTTTGATGCATCTTTTAGGATAATTATAATTATTTGTATTTCTACCAGCCCTGAAAAAAAGAGGATTCATCTTGTTAAGCCCAATATTAGCCTATTTAAACTTTAATTTGGTCCTGGCTTTATTTTTCAAAAAATAGAATCATGAAATATTAACTAGAAAATGCTTTGAGAGATCATCATATCTAACCACTTTGTCTTTCATATTCCATTGATTAGTACTATTATTATTTTATCTATTGCAATTGAGTGATGTCCTTATCAGATATTCTGAGTGCATTACATGAATTAAGATAGTCTCTTGCTTACCCTATGAGGAAGGCTCTCACCCATAACTCCTTATAAACATTGGAAAAATCCGACTTTCTGGTGATGGTCACAGAGTATTAGTGTGACTATGTATAACTGACAGCAGAGCCCATATTTCTAATCATCCTTATGCTGCCCAAGTGTAGTGGTTTGTTCCTTAAGCTTTAATCGCCGGGATGGATGGAAGAACGAGGCTAAAGTGTCAAACTAAATGTTTAAAGCTTACAGAAGACAAACATGAAAACTGTAGTTTTCCAAAGATTGCTAAGTTTTCATATACTAGGTCAAAGTAAAATAGAAGACTCCTAAAACATATATATATATATATATATATATATATATATATATATACACACACACACACACACACACACAGATGCATAGACATATACATATATACATATATATTGCTATTCTCAGTAAATAACTGTTTCGTTCATGAATATTCAAAAGTGAGAATTATCTGACTTACATATGGGACTTGAATATGCTCAATTTTTTTTCACAAAGGATTTTATGTCAATTCGAGCTGTGAAGTTATAATTTGAACCCTAATTGAGGATAATTATAAGGCTATCCCACAATGTAAAAGTAAATAGACCACCTTCACTGAAAAATAGTGTCAGGGAAAGAGGTTTATCTACCATTTATTTCACTTTATTTTTTACTTAATGAAGTCCATCTATATGTTAGCACTTCTTGTGTTATTGCTTTTATATAACTTCAAGATTTGTGGTGGTTCCAAGGTACATGTCACACCAAATGAGAAAAAGCCACATGAGAAAATAGATGTATCAGTAAGAACGTTAACTATGGTGGACACGTGCTATTAGGTAACATGGAATATTTAAGTTTAAGTAGATACATACAGCACATTATGGTAGAAAAACAAAGTCCACAGCGAAGTTGGATATTAAACTGGAGTTTACATTCCAAATTCAATAAACTTAAAAATCACGTAGAAATAAAATTACTTATAAAAATCTGTTACAGTGCTCATAAAAATACAGCATTTATGATTTTGTATCTACCTTACAACTCTGTACATTATTTTATTAATTCCTCTAAGTTTTTAAAAGCAGTTTTTCTTCATAGCCTCCAATTCATTTGTCTGGGTTTTTTTGAATTAATCACCATCCCAAAGTCTCACCACCCATTTGGTCATTTTCATATCTTTACCTATTTTTAGGGGAAATCTAAAATCAATTCCATATTTCAAACCAAGAGTTATTTCATGAGCACTAATGTTTCTTCCTTCACTTCATCTTCCTAAAGCAAGTTTTGCCTTAAACTTTACTGCATATTGGAATCATCTAGAGCTCTTAACATGACAATACTGGGGCATCCAATACCATTTATTCAGAACATCTTGGAGGCACCGAGGCCCAAGTGATTCTAATGTACAACCATGTTTGAGAATCAGTAATCTAAAGAGCAAATTTGATTTTTGGAATGGCAACCAGAGTTCAGATATATTTTCAAAATTTTCAAAATATCTAAAATTTTTTGGAAATATTTTCAAAATTTCTTTTTGGGATTTGTTTGCCTAACCTGTGAATTAGTTTGAGTACAACACTCCACCATGTCAGTGAAATCCCAACTGCACAAAAATAGTCTTAAGAAAGTTAATCTTCAGTTCCTCTATTTCTATCTTTCCATTTTTCTGAAAATGATTTGATTGAGAAAGTACCTGTGCTCTTGGTTCTCCTTGGTTTTCTATTTTCAAAATCATTCATTTTCCCATGTTATAAACAAAAGGCATACTTTTCATCCATCTGGAATCTTATGATCTCTTGCCCCCAGGTGTAAAAAATATCCTGGATTCTAAAAGACTTCAGCATTTGGATAATCCTTCTTATCAAGACACCATTAATATGACTCCCATCTCATTAATAAGACAATTTTCAACAAGTTAAATTTATATTTAATCATCACTCATCAAAATTAGAAAAATATAGGTTATGTTAATTATTTTATATTAAGATACATTTAATTTTAGGCATTCATTTAAATCTATATTTAATTTTAAATGCCAATATTTACAGCATTGAAAAATTACATCTTAGTACCTTTTTAAACTATTGGACGAAAATTTTAGATATTCACTTAACCATGCATGTTGAAGAAAATATTGGTTTTTCTAATTATTTTGGTGAGTACCAAAATTAATTAGCAATTGTCTTTTTTAGGCCTTTCTGATAGTTGGCTAGTTCTTTAAAATTAAGCAGTTTTATTTATTTTGCTATCTTCAAATCTCCGTAGGTTATATTTGCCCATCTAGATTCTCAAAACTCAGTTGCAACATGAATTATATCTCTCTCTGAAACACTAATTCTTGAAGGGCTTGCCTTGCTTCTTAAGAATTAGAGACATATATCTCAGGTTTTAAACACTTTGGCATCTAATACAATGGCAATGCTTTGCATAGAAAAATATATTCAATAACGGAAAAGCAAAAGATTAATGGAGACCTCCTCTTGCCTTTCCACTGCCCTATCAATCAAAACATCAAGACATTTTCTGATTTACTCACTGCCTAGTGCTATTCATGTTCTACCTTGTTCTTTATCAGGGTGTTCAGGGCTTTTTCAGGCCAAGCATTCTTCATTCCAGGACTGCAACAAGCTTGATTTCTTCACCAGATCTTAGCAACAGGCTGCAGGGGCACCCTGTGCGCCACCAGTGTGCTATAGGTGTTCAGACCTGAGGACATCTTGAACCATTGGTGTTCCCTCTATGTAACTTAACGCATGCAAAAATGGCATGATATGGCATGGAAAAAGGTTGGGAAGCCCTGGTTTGATTTGGATTACACTGGAGCCCTGGTTAAAGCTGAATACTTCACCTGAGAAGCAATATTCGGTAAATGATATGCCAATAGGTTTCTACTTTATTGTGTTATAGGATTCAAAAATGTATAGTGAGTATTCATTCTTATTTAGAAGGGAAAATTTTACCTTATGTTCAGTGTTTGCCAAGGCTAAGGATGGATTATTAAAAATCTCATTTCCAGAACTTAAGGAGGGCCATTCTTGGTAAATGAATTTCCTAAGAATTTTAGTCAGAAAATCACATCCGCATACATCTCTCTCCTCCATCGTCCATATAGTAACAACTCTTATTTTGTGGGAACTATTGCAGAAAGCATGGTAAATTCTAAGAGGTTCTCTGCTCGACTTATCATGTCATCATTTAAGAAGAGAGAGAGAGGGAGAGAGAGAGCGTGTTTGTGTGTGTGTATGTTTGTAAGGAGGAGAGAGAGAGATAGCACTGAGGATTAACGAAGTATTCTTATTGTTATTATTATTATTATTTTATTTTGTTGGAGACGGAGTTTCGCTCTTGTTGCCCAGGCTGAAGTGTAATTGCGCGATCTTGGCTCACTGCAAACTCCGCCCCTCGGGTTCAAGAGATTCTCCTGCCTCAGCAGTGAAGTATTATTTCAAATACAAATTTAAAATACAGCAATGAAGTATTATTTTAAATACGAATAGATATCCTTTAGACAGTTCTGGAAAAGCAGACAGTGTGAAGGTATGAAATACAGTTAGGATGCAGTCTGAATCCATTTAACATTAAAGCTTACCGAAGAGAGAGGCTTCTAATGAGGATCTGAGGCATGGGTGGAGGGATGCCTCTTGGCTCCATATAAAGACTCACTTACCTGCTTAGCAGTGATCTTGACTCCTAATGAGCTCATTTAGAAGTTATTCAGATGATTTATTAGTTCCTAGGTCCCATTGGATCTAAACTTGAACCTCTAGAGGTATCTGAAAGCTTGATGTTTCCTCCTATGTTTCTCTCAATGTGAGATGAGCTGGACAAATTACATTGAAAAAAATTTTTAATCCTTCAAACTACCTGTATTCCTGAGACAGTCATACTTCAAAAATACTTATATACATATCCATGAGGGCAAATGTGTGATCTACTACTGGAAATGATATAATAAACCATAACACCCAGTTCATTTTTATTAAGAATCAAGTTTTGTGAAACAATAAGATGAACACTTAAATCCTGAGCAACTTACTTATGAGATCTTGGGAAAAGGTCTATGACTTTTTGAGCCTCAATCTCCTCAATTTTAAAATGAAGTAAAATTATACCTTCTCTATAATGTCTTTGAGAGTACTGAATGAGTTAATGTATGTGAAAAGTTCGGTAAACTGTCGGGTAGGCAGTAAATGTTCAAAGATATCTGTTTTAATAAGCAAGACAGAATCAGAACCACAAATAAAACAAAGATACTCCAAAAGCTGACAAGAAAACCAAAACCGTTACTACCAGTTTCAATCTCTATCTAGGTGGAAAATTTATTAAATCTTTCTGGTGTACATTATGCTGTCTTCAATGAAAATGATTTCTACATACTCCTCAAAATTCATTTCCTCATGTATCTGTCTCTCTCCCACCACCCATGTATATGCATACAGACACATATATGACTCATCATTCTAAGTTCTACATCTCATCTCATTATGTTTTCTTACTGTTCATACCTTTTTTCTTTTTGCCACTGAATCTATCTTTTCTGATTGATTTGTCTCTCTACATCTTCTAAAACCATCTTTCAATATAAAGGATTATACCCTTATTTTTAAATTTTATATCACTTTAGAACATTGGAAGACATTGATTTTGTAGTACATTAAGAACTTCTAGCCGGGCGCGGTGGCTCACGCCTGTAATCCCAGCACTTTGGGAGGCCGAGGCGGGCGGATCACGAGGTCAGGAGATCGAGACCATCCTGGTTAACGTGGTGAAATCTCGTCTCTACTAAAAAATACAAAAAATTAGCCAGGCGCGGTGGCGGGCGCCTGTAGTCCCAGCTATTTGGGAGGCTGAGGCAGGAGAATGGCGTGAACCCGGGAGGCAGAGCTTGCAGTGAGCCGAGATGGCGCCACTGCACTCCAGCCTGGGTGACAGAGCGAGAATCCATCTCAAAAAAAAAAAAAAAGAACTTCTTTCTACCGTAAAGACACATGCACACATATGTTCATTGCAGCACTATACACAATCGCAGAGACATAGAATCAACCTAAGTGTCCATCAGTGGTAGACTGAATAAAGGAAATGTGAGACATATAAAAGATGGATGGATGAAGCTGGAGGCCATTATCCTTGGCAAACTAACACGGGGACAAAAAACCAAATACAACCTTTTCTCACTTGTAAGTGGGAGCTGAATGATGAGAATACAGGGACACATGGAGGCAAACAACAGACCCTGGGACCTCCTTGAAGGTGGAGGGTTGGGAGGAGGGAGAGGATCAGAAAAATTATCTGTTGGGTACTAGGATTAGTACCTGGGTGACAAAATAATTTGTACAACAAATCACTGTGACACAAGTTTACCTATATGACAAGCCTGAACATGTACCCATAAACCTAAAAATTAAAAGAAAAAAAAGAAGAAAGAAAAAAAAAGTATACCTGAACAAAAGAAGTCCTCATTTCATGCTTTTTCTAAATCAATATTGAAAAATATATTATTTGTTATTAATGGTGAAGTTCAGCTTCTTCTCAAATTACAAACTAAGAAACTATTATATATGAATTAGGTATGTGGATGTAAAACACAACCTGTAGCACTAGTCAGAATTCTCAAAAAAGTTGTTTATTGTTTCCAATTTTTCATAATCCTTTGCTCTTTCAAATCCAGCTTCCCACTTATCACTGAGACCAATCCTTTCTAGGTTAACCTACTGTCTCACTATGGATATATACAATGGAAAATTGTCCATTCTTAGCTGAATTTCTTCTGAAATTTGGAAATGTTGTACAATGTCTCACTTGTCTTGTGTGATGCCACCACATTTTCTTTGTTTTTCTCTTACCTCACTAATTGCAGATTTGGCATCCTCAGTTCAGCTGTTAGTTTTTCCCATTCCTCATTTTTGTAGACTGTTTTATTATACCCACAACTTCAATTATCAATGATTCTTACATTTGTTTCTCTATCTTACCACTTCCTGTAGCTTCAGAGCTCTATATCCAAATACCTAGTATTGAGTTTAAGTTGCATGGCTCAAAGGCAACTAAAATTCTACATTCCCAAGGCCAAGTTCCCAATATCTTGACCTCAAATTTAGTCGTTGTCCTGTGTGCTTTATCCCTATTGTCTATCCTACTAGGCAAGTCATACGCTAGTATTTATCCTTCACTTCTTTGTCTTCCTTACTTCCCCCATTTTATGTCTAATTTTTTACCTCTTAGATGTTCACCTTATTCATGCTTTTCCTTCCCTCTCCGTTGCCATCCTCCAATCCCAACTAACATCATCTTTTCTAAAATGGCTAAAATATCATTTTAATTAGTCTCTAATAAATTTATTGAAACATAAACCCCATTGAATAATCATATTGATTTAAGAAGTTTTAATGACTTCCAAATATTGTTAGAATAAAGATGAAATTTTATGCAATCGTATTCAGGTTCCTGCATGATCTAAGACTTTCTTCTCCAGCTCTACCTTGCTCTCCCTCAAATTCACTTTTGTTCTAGCCACAGTAGCTTTTCTCATTTCTTCTGATGTTGCAAGTTTCTTGCTGCTTCAAGATTCAGAATATTGTTTTCTTTCTCCTTAAATGTTGTCCCTACTCTCACCCCTTTTGCCAATCCTTTGGTATTCAAACTAAGCATCATTTACCAGGGAAACTTTTGCTGAAAACTGAACTATTTTGGGTTTCTCTTCCAATTCTCTCAGCATCATGCATCTCTTCTTGGAAGGATTAATCACAGGTCGTAATTTTATGCTCCTTTGTGACCATTTATTTTAAGTCTCTCTCAGTCAATTGTAAGATCTGTGAGGTCAGGGACCATTTCCAATTTGCTCACCACTGTATTCCTGCATCCTAGCACAGGTCTTACTATAAAAAATGAAAATAAATATTTTAAAATTGACTTATCTATCAGTCAATTTTAAAAGTAGTTTGTTCTGTACAATATAAGCACACAAAAACACAACTGAAATCAGATGAGAGGAAAAGTGTGTTTTAAACCTTGCTTTTAATTTCTTAATGTAGGTCTTACAAGTAATTATTTGCATCATTCTCTATCTGGCCTTCTAAGATCATCTAATTTAACATGGTCATTTAAACAGATGGGGAAACCAAGAATCCTCGAGCTCTCACAATTATCTCTCTTAATTTCATCTATGAGTGAAGAATAGGACACCACAGTCTTTCGTAGTAATAATATTCACTCTGGTAATAATATTCACTGTAAATAAGACTATAAACTCATTTATAGTCACTCATATTGTGCCAAGCAGTAGTCTAAGAGGTCCATATATTAGCATATTTAGTCCTGGCAACACTATAAGTAGTATTATCATCCCTATTTACAAAGGTGAAAACTGAAGTCTAGGAAGGTCAGGCACTTTGCTCAAGGCCACACAGCAGCGAACTGGGACTTTGACTAACTCCAGAAACATAACTACTAATTTACACTTTTCTTTCTTGCTCTTCTCTAAGCATGAAGTTACTGATTTCCATGGACTACATCTCTAAGGAATACTTGATGGCTGGATTCAATAGGTTGCAGCCAATTGGAACCTGTAACAGGAGATCAGATGGGATGAGGAGAGAGAGGCCAGAATACATTAGCCCTGCTCTCTCTCTGCTCTTGAACTATGGCTGTCACAGTTCTAAAGTGATGCCTGGCAGTAGAGGCATCCCTGTCCTCATTTCCTTTCAGGCAACCTCTCACTCACACCCTACCTATCATTGGGTTCTCGATTCCCATTGAGTCCCTTCAGCCACTGAGGTGCTAATAGTTTCATGGTTAGATCCCAGGTACTCAGTATCCCATGTTTGTTTATTTCTCTTTATTTGAATTATTGTGGGTTGTTTCTTCACAAGAATCTGACCAATAATTCTCTAATTTCCTTGCAATTTATCTAACATTTTTCTTGATAATTAAATGCTTTGGGAATTTTTTTAGAAATAATATCACCTCTATGTATTTAGGTGTGGGTGGGTGCATTCTAAGACCTTTGAGAAAAATTTAAGTTGGGTAATTGTTATAGGGGGATTTCTATAAAAATTCTTCTAATTTTATATTTGTTTGAAAATGTCCATAAAAAGTTTTTAATAGTTTCTTATATAATAAGTAGTTTATATAGTAAAAACATAAAAAGATTACAATTTTTAAAATAGTTGTATTAGTTTGGGGTTTGAAATATCAGTACCTCTCTGTTAAAAGTATTATCATAGAGGCTGACAAATCTACACAAAGGAAAAGTAAGACAGATTTGTTAAAGAAAAAATAAAAATATGTTTTACAAGTTATGTGATCAGTAAAATCTAAGGAAATCAACAAATCAGAATGTTGAAATTTTAATAAAAATGAAACCCCTATGTATTGCAGACAAAAATTTTAAAAATACAATGGGAAAAAAATACTTAGAGTGGGATCTGTTAGGTAAAGTGTATGTTGAATTAAACATCAAAAATATTCAAATAAAAAAAGGTCCTAAAGAAATAAAATGATTTGGCTTGAAAATTTAATTAAAATGATAATATTTTATTATTATAAGGGTTTTTTTGAATGCCTTTCAAATGGGTCCACTATTTGCTAAAATAAATAAATAAATAAGAATAATAAACTGAGTCACCATAATATATAAGACACTGGAGGTAAAGAAAGGGATAACTCGGTCAGAATTCCTGTCCTCAGATAACTCCTAGCCTAATAAGGGAAACAGATGTGGAAAGAATTATAACACAGTATGAAAATACAACAGTGACACAAGAAGACACTGATAGTACACTGAGAAATGGTTAATTAACTTTTTTTTTCTATTGGAGATCAGGTAAGGAGAAGAGTGAGTGCATATGGTAAATTTCTTCTAAGAAGTTAACTTCTGAGCTTGTACTAGAAGGACAAGAAAATGTTAGGCTTTAAAACCTGACACTGCATGTTCTCACTCATAGATGGGAATTGAACAATGAGAACACTTGGACACAGGAAGGGGAACATCACACACCGGGGCATGTTGTGGGGTGGGGGGAGGGGAGGAGGGATAGCATTAGGAGATATACCTAATATAAATGATGAGTTAATGAGTGCAGAACACCAACATGGCACATGTTTACATACGTAACAAACCTGCACGTTGTGCACATGTACCCTAGAACTTAAAGTGTAATAAAAAAAAAAAAGTATTTCAGTGACACAGCAAGTGCAAAGACAAGAAATGCAGCCACAGCCAATGAAGGAGAAGTTTTGTGGTAGGCAAGGAGGAAAATATTAGGGAAAGAAGTTACAAAGAAAGGAGTATGGCAACATAAATCCTCATAAGTCATACCTCTGAGTGTAGTCTAAGTCCCATAGCAGACAGAAGCTGTATAATGCTATATAGTAGGTTGGTGCAAATGTAATTGCAGTTTTTGCATTGTTGAAATTTGTTGTTTGATGTTGGAATGCATTCTTAAATAAATGTGATTATGTTATACATCATTTTAATGCGCATTTCTTGCTTTATTTTTTTTTGGCTAATGACTTATTACTTGATGTTTATTTTATATTTATTTTAAACTATGGAAATGTTGTTAGACAAAAAAACACATTTGAGCAATTTTCTTATTCGAGTTCAAAATGGGTCATAAAGCAGCAGAGACAACTCACAACATCAACAACACATTTGGCCCAGGAACTGCTAACGAATGTACAGTGCAAAAGTTTCAAAAACTTTTGCAAAGGAGACAAGAGACTTGAAGATGAGGAGTATAGTGGCCAACCATCGGAAGTTGACAATGACCAATTGAGAGCAATCATCGATGCTCATCCTCTTACAACCTCATGAGAAGTTGCCAAAGAACTCAGCATCGACCATTCTACGGTCCTTCAGCATTTGAAGAAAATTGGAAGGTGAAAAAGCTCAACAAGTGGGGGCCTCGTGAGCTGAGCAAAAATTTTTTTAAAATCATCATTTTGAAGTGTCATCTTCCCATTCCACACAACGAACCATTTCTCAATCGGATTGTGACGTGCGATTAAAAGTGGATATGGCAACTGGTGACAACCAGCTCAGTGGCTGGACTGAGAAGAAGCTCCACAGCACTTCCCAAAGCCAAACTTGCACCAAAAAAAGGTCATGGTCACTGTTTGGTGGTCTGCTGCCAGTCTGATCCACCTCAGCTTTCTGAATCCTGGAGAAACCATTACAGCTGAGAAGTATGCGCAGCAAATCAATGGGATGCACCAAAAACTGCAACACCTGCAGCCGGCATTGGTCAACAGAAAGCGCCCAACTCTTGTCCACAACAATGCTAGACTGCACATCACATAACCAACGCTTCAAAAGTTGAACGAATTGGACTATGAAGTTTTGCCTCATCGGCCATATTCACCTGACCTCTTGCCAATTGACTACCACTTCAAGAATCTCGACAACTTTTTGCAGGGAAAACGCTTCCACAACCAGCAGGATGCAGAAAATGCTTTCTAAGAGTTCGTCAAATCCCAAAGCACGGATTTTTACACTACAGGAATAAGCAAATTTATGTCTCATTGGCAAAAATGTGTTGATTATAGTTGTTTCTAGTTTGATTAATAAAGATTTGTTTGAGCCTAGTTATAATGATTTAAAATTCATGGTGCAAAACTGCAATTACTTTTGCACCAACCAGATATATAAGATTGATATAATCAGAAGTAGCATTTTCAAAAAGTCCTTCAATGAAATAGGGGCTTAACACAATGAAATACAACTTAGTAACTTTCAAAGAGGCTAAAATGTGGGAAAATTAAGAAAAACAGAATAAAATTCAAAATTAAAAAAAAATTACAGGTTGTGTGTATGAAACTTAAAAAAAGTGAAAATTTTGATATTTATGTATTTAGTTTACTATTCCCTGGATTGTGTTACTGGGATTCATAGTTAGAAGACTGATAGTCTTAGTTGAGGAATTTAATAATATATGCATAAGTGTGCGCATGTATTAAAGAAAAAAACAATATCTAATGACACTTGTTAAACAACAGTAAGGAAGAAATTATCCAGGACCACTGGCAGAGATACAGGGATGACTGCAATGGGGTCTTGCAGCAGGGGAGAGAGTTTGAGCTCAGCTCTGAGTAGGGCATGGGCAAGTAGAAATGTATAGCCAGGGGGCAGAGTGGAGGTCAGTGAGTGGAAAATGACTAAGAGAAAACATAATTGTTAAAGAAGCTTCTGGCTAAACCAACCTTACAGGATTCTTGCAGAAGACAGGCCAGGATGATCAGACATTACGTAGAGAATGGTGGAAGATAACGAACCTGATCAGATATTGAAAGAAATCAGATATCATGGGTGGGGGGATTCTTGTTAAACTGACTTAGCGGGGTTATTTGCTAAAATTGAATTTTACAAGCAGGTACATAGATGGGCTTAGGAGAAGGCTCAGGAGCCACACAAAGGTTTGACCAGGCAAAGAATTATTGTCATGTGCATGTATGTATGTAGGTATGTATGTATATATCTGTCTGTCTCTTATCTATATGTCTAATACAATGTCTATCCTATTATTACAAATAACATGAGAATGGCAAATTTGTTACAGTTTACTGAGACACAATCATAATGCATGCTTTAGTATCTTAGAATAAATTTTGAAAAAATAAAATAGAAAGGGAGGGAATAAGCACAATAGTAGCCAAAAATATCTAATCTATATTCACATCTGGATTCTCGCTAACACTTTTATCAGCTGTAGCTTAAGGCAAAGTATTTAAATTATCTGAGCCTCTTTTCTTACTCAAAATGTGGACTCATTTTACCTATATCTTCATGTTTTTATGAAGATTAATGATATAATATATATAAATATTTTAGCACCTTGTGTAGGACACAATAAGCATTGACTAAATGTTAAACACTGTCATCATCATTAATGTTATTTTATTCACAATCCATATATCATTAATTTCTATTTTGCAGAGTAATTTAATATTCACTATAACTGTACATTTTAAAATAGTCCTCTGCTGTAAGTAGTATTTTCATTTCTTAATTGAGGCTCTGAGTTTATATCTTTCCCAAGAGCGCATGGGTAAATAGGAGAAGACCCTGGGTACAAACCTAGGTTTGGCTCCAAATCCTCTTCTTTTCCCACTAAAATACCTTATCTCCCAAAGGAAGGTGCTTCGAAGTAGAGGAAATGACCATCCCTGAGGAAGAAGATAATTATCTCAACACTTTCAAATTAAACTGCATATTCATTAATCTTAATGAAAAAGTTGAAACTTTGTGTTTGTTGAGATTGGTTCCAGTTAATATGTCCCCATGAAAAAGCTGAGAAACCAATCATTTTAATAAGGCCCTTGGAAACTGATTAGTAAGTAAATCAAATTTTTATAGCAATTACGGTAAGGAGTTGTGTCTGCAATGAAGAATTTTGTAATGAGACCCAGAGAGACAGTTTCATCATCAATGTGTAAGCAAACTCTGACTTCATTTCTCTTTACCTAATGATCAGCAATTATTTAATTAAAATCAACAGAGGAAGAATAGCAGTTACATAAAATGGCATTTTTCTTAATTTTTCCAGATACTTTGACTTTTTGAAGTCTGGCTAGAAATAGAATTGCTAAACTAATTCCTTTTACACTGGTGCTCTTAAATTCTTTGGTGAGCCAGTGTATATTAATCTGTATAAAGTAATTTGGGAATATAATCACCAATTAATGTTTTTTACATTCAATGGCAAACTACAACTTTTATCACAATAAAAATTTTTGACATGTTCTATGGTAAGAATGCCCTATTAGAATGCATTAAAGGAAACTAAGGGCTGTTTCATTCTTTCTTGAACAAGAAATACAAGACAGACAACCAGTTAAAGGCCTACTCACATGTAGATAGGATATAAATATCAAATGTGGAGACACACATGCTAATAATATAACATAGCACATGCCACATCTGCACAGTTTCAATGGGGTTGATGATTTATGAGCTTCAACAGTTGGGCAGATCATTGGTTACTGCATATTTTGAGAGTATACATTATAAACTGAACTAAGATAAAATGCTTATAACTATGGTCTAATTATTTTCTAGAAATATAACAGGCCACAAATATCTTATTGCATAACAAATATTGTACTAAAACATATCAAAATAAATCACTCTAGTTAAAACTACTAAAATAAATGTTCTTGAAGGAAAATCTTAATTTTGCAGTTTAGAACATCAGGGCCATAATTGTTTCTGAATGTGTTTACTTACAAATGAAGGTATATGCAGAGTGTTATTCATGCACAGTGCTATACCACTTTGTAATTAAATAAGAAAGACTGTAACAAGGTGCATTAGATATTAAGTTCCAAAAATTGAGAAAAGAAAAAAAAAGTCTGAGATAAGCTGAGTTTCAAATTAGAAATAAAATAAAACATTAATATGGAAATCTGTATAACAAATGGTTAAAAGATTCATGTGGTTCATATGGGGGAGGTGGTGAGAAAACTATATTCTCTGTTTCAAACTTACACAACTTGTGTGATATTGAGCACCTAGTCTTCCTTCTACTGACCTTATTTTATTCACATGTAAATAAAGAGCAGAAGAAAATATATATTATTAATATTAAAACCTGAAATCAAGGGTTATTATAAAGGGTAAGTTGACATAATTTGTGAAAAGTTATTAGAACAGTTTCAATGTATTAGCCAAGCACACTGCCGATATATTAGCAATGGTCCACACTAGCAAACATGATTATATTTTCAACAAAAATGCTCATGTATTAGCAGCAGAAAGGATATTGTCAGAGAGAAAAGATAGACATTAACAATACTATTGACACAGGATTTTTCTAGGCCACTTTGCCATCCAGGGACCTCCACAGCCAGCAATGCCCCCACATGTGGGCCTCACTCAGCCCTGGGCCTGCTGCTGGAGGTACCCCACCAACTTGGCCCACCTGTGCTATAGCTTGTACCCATGTTCAGTGGTTCCCAAGCTCTTGTCCTATGTCCAGGAAGAATGAGGATATGCTGAAAATTGAAGAGTGAGGATGAGTGAAGAATTTTTTTGAGAGGCAGAATGGCTCTCACCAGAGAGTGGACATGGGTGTCAGGGGGTGGTCCTCCACCCCTGAGTTGGGTGGTTTCTCCAGTGTGGCTGGGTCCAAGGCTTTTATGGGCTCAGAATAGGGGAGAGTGTGCTGATTGGTTTGTGAGTATGAAAAAAAGTTAAAACAAAGGCATGACTCAAAGTTGAGCCTGACAGTGTAAGAAAACAAATAGGGAAGGGTAGGCATTTGTAAAATAGGTGATGGGCAAAGATGAATCAGAGAAAACCTTGCCAGATGGGAAGACAGTTTCTTAATCTGGTTCATGGATTTGACTTGTAGCTTGGCTTTCAGGCTGCCTTTGGCATGGAGGTGGCCTTTCACTGAGAACCCTCTCCATCTGCTTAGGCATTTGTCTGCCTCCTGCTGCTATCACTGATATAATTAAATGGTTAAAAAAATTAAATTAATTTTTAAGACACTATATCTATTTGCTTGGTATTTTTAAATGTAAAGATTATTCTAATTGCTAATGAGTTTTCATTGTTGAACTTAGTGGTGTGATTCAAAAAATTAATGAGACGAAAGAAATGCATTATTCCCCTAATACATTTTTTTAGAAAGTGTTTAATAAAAATTAATTCCTCATCATAAATAAAGCTCCAAGGGAACAGAAATAAGAAAAATATTAACATAATAATAAGGATGATCTGTCACAAATTAGTAGTCACTATCATATTTAATGGAGAAAAAGTAGAAATGTCTTAATGAAAATCAGGAAAGAGAGAGATTCCTTTTACCTCCATTAATTTTCTTTTAAAATTATAGCCTAAGAATTTTTGTGAGGGTGGTAGGCAGTAGGAAAAATAGAGACTAGGAAGTAAGAAGCCACATGCAATAAAGAAAGAAACCAAATGCAATAAAGATAAGAAGACAAATAAAAGAAATAATTATTAGCAAAAAGGAGACAGGTATTCTATTATTTCTGGGCAATATAGAAAAGCCAATACAATGTATATAAATTAACAAAGTTTTATTAATGTGGCCAGTTACAAATATATATATATATATATACACACACACACACACACACATACACATGCATATATACATACAACTATACATGTAATAGCTTAATCTTGCATCATTGTCAATAAAAAATACTTCTGACTATACTAAGGAGAAAATGAGCAGAATATTGTTATAATAAAAAATGATAGGACTAACACAAAGACACTTTAAAAGGTTTACTGTGGGACATACAATAAAGAAGCCCAGTACATTTCATGAAGGAACATACCTAATATCATAAATATTTCAATTCTACCTTCTAGTTAATTTATAAATGTGGTACAATTATAATAACAAAATGGATTTTCTTTTAGAAAATAACAGAGATTCTAAAATTATGTGTGTATATACATATACACATACACATATATGCGGGGGGTATATATACACAGATATTTATTTAGAAAAATATAATGAATGATCTTGACTATAATTTTTTGAAAAAACAGAATATTAGGTGAGAAAATACACTGCCACTTAGTAAGTCATTTTCAATCTATAATAATCTTTAAACTGTGATGGAAGAGTTGGGAAAGAGTCGCTCTGTTAATGGCACAATACAGAAATCAGAGAAGCAAACCAGGTTTGTAGGAGTATTTCAAATAATTTTATTATTGCTTTGTGAGTTCCTACTCATAATCATACCTCAACAGAATGATACTGACCTCTATTTTAGACCAGGCCCTTCTGTTACACATTCTCCTAGTACAACACAATTTTTTTTTCATAATTGATTATAGTTTGGGAAAATTTATTTCACTGTGCATTAATATCCCTTCCCCATCAAAATATGTGACATATGAGCATGGGTCTTCTCTGTATTTACTTGCCGTTGTGTCTCAAGCATATAATATAGTGTTTGACACATAGTAGGTACTCACTATTTTAAATAAACAGAAAAAGATGTCTTAAACACCAAATGAGGCTCTGATCATCAACCAATTTTATGGAGAATAAATAAAGTTAAAATGTGGAATCCTTGATTTATTCCCCATAGTAAAATAAATTATTGATTAATGAGTTATTTATAGTTATTATAAAAATAATTATGACTAATTAAAGAGTTAATTATACTTTTAAAAGACATAAAATTGCCCCAGATTAACATTGATACAATGTTAGCATGGAGAAACTCAAGCATAGCCAAGAGGAAGAAAAAGAGGAAGGAAGGAAGGAAGGAAGGAAGAAAGGAGGAAGGAAGGGAGGGAGGGAAAGATAGGAGGGAGAGAAGAAAGGAAAGAGGGGAAAGAGAGAGAAAGAAGAGTTAAAAGAGGGGAGAGAACAAAGAACTTAATGGGTATATTTGCATTCATTTAAGCTTCTCTATTTTGAAACTCAACAACAAAAATTTATGCACAGGAAACAGTGAGGAGAAGATTTCAGTAAATGAAAACATATTCCGATATTTTAAAATAACATAGTATTATAAAGCAGTAAATAAATCTGAAAAACAATGTGAAAATACATAGAAATCATGAACAATCTCAAATAGAAAAAAGTGAATAAAAAACATGAAATCAATTTCTATTAATGATCAAACATATACACATAAAAGAAGAAACAGCATTTTTAAGTAATCAACTTGGCAAATTTATAATGCTTAATAACAGTGCAGGAAAAATTGGGCATTCTTACAGCAGTTCTGTGAGTGAAATTGTCAAAGCTTTCTAAGAGATTCTTTCATTTGAGCAATTTCATAGTGAGTCCCTAGTTTGTGTCAGACACTACGGAAAACAGTGAAAAGGAGACCAAAATGTTTGCAGACACAGTAAATATCAAAAAGAGGCCAGGCACGGTGGAACATGCCTGTAATTCCAGCACTTTGGGAGACGGAAGAGGGCAGATCACCTGAGGTCAGGAGTTTGAGACTAGCCTAGCCAACTTGGCGAAACCCCATCTCTACTAAAAATACAAAAATTAGCTGGGTGTGGTGGTGTATGCCTGTAAATCCAGCTACTCAGGAGGCTGAGGTAGGAGAGTGACCTGAACCTGGGAGGCAGAGGTTGCAGTGAGCCGAGATTGCGCCACTGCACTCCATCCTGGGAGACAGACCAAGACTCCATCTAAAAAAATAAAATAAAATATCAAAAGGACATCAAATAATCTAACAATTTTAAAATATTATATAGTGATAAATGTTATGAGAAAAAAGGTATATGGGAAGGAATACAGTGGTAGTACTATTATAATGAATCCTTATACAGCAGGATTCTAGATCTTCACACAGTTTAACCCAGTCTTCAAAGCAGCACTTGAGGCATTTACTATTACTGTTACTCTTTTAAAGATGATGAAAATAAGACACAGAGATGTTATGTGACCAAGTTCTTATAGAAGGTAATGGCAGAGCCAGATTTACAGCCAGATAGTCCACCTCCAGGGCTCTCACACTTTATAACCATGGAAGTGTCAGTAAGTGAGAGAAAGCATAGCAATATCTGAGAAAGACTTATTCCAGGAAGGGAAAGCAAGTACAAATACTCACGGCTGCCCTGGCCCTGGAGTGTTTGAGGTCAGAGTGGATAGAAGAATGGTGATTTCAAGGTAGCACTAAGAGATCAAGAATCAGAAAGTTAACAGGGGCCAGATCATGCCAGATTTTACGGGCTGTCATAAGGACTTTGAATTTTTGGGTGAAACAGGGCAACCATTGCAGAATTTCTGTGCGGAGGCAATTCTTTTTAAAAGGATTATTATGGCTACAGTGTTAAAACAAAAACAAAAAAACAAAAAAAACAAAAACAGTCGACTGTAGGCGGAAAGCATAGAAACTACAAACCTACTTGGAAAAATATTTGTATTACAAAAAAATGGTAAGCAAGACCACAGAATATGAGTGCAGTTGGTAAATGTAGTTGTACGCTGGAGCCAGAATTCCTACCAGAGTGAATGTGAGATAGGAGTAACACGAGTCAAGCCTTACTCTAAGGATTTTGCCTGATGCAACCATGAAGTGTCCATGCACTGAGCTAGGAAAAGTTAAAAAGAAGCCGATTTGAGGTGGTTTACCAAGAGTTCAGTTTGGACAATAAATTTGAGATGTTTAATATGCTTCCAAGTAAAGGTGTCAAATAGGATGTTGAATATAGGAGTCTAGAATTCAGAGGAGTGTGCTGAGATGAGGAGGTAATTGGGAAATTTTACATGCACACACACACACATACACAGTCCTCACTTAATTTCAATGATAGGTTCTTGGAAACTGTGACTTGACACAAAACAAAGTATAATGAGATCAATTTTATCAGAAGCTAATTGAAGTAAACAAGAGTTAACTTCCTACGGCATATTTCTGGTAACAAAAACATCACCAAATTTCTTTTTTTTCTTCTTTTTCAAACTCATGTAAATTTGAGGACTGGCTTTTTCATTGCTGGAAAAAAATGGATCTAGGTAGAGATTGCATTGAATCTGTAGATCATTTTTATTGCCATCTTAATAACACTGTCTTCCAATCCATGAACATGGGAGGACTTTCCATTTATTTAGACCTTTATTATCTTTCAGCCATGTTTTATAATTTTCATTTCACAAATCTTTGATTTTCTTGGTTAAACATATTCCTAGGCATTTTATTCTTTTGGATATATTATAAATTGATTTTTTTAACTTTTATTTTAGGTTCAGGTGTACATGTGAAGGTTTGTTATATAAGTGAACTTGTGTCATGAGGGTTTGTTGTACAGATTAATTCATCTGTACGCAGGTATTAAGTCCAGTATCCAGTGGTTGTCTTTTCTGCTCCTCTCTCCCCTCTCACCCTCTGCCCTCAAGTGGACCCCAGTGTCTGTTGTACCCTTCTTTGTGTCCATGAGTTCTCATCATTTAGCTTCCACTTGTAAGTGAGAACATAGGGCATTTGGTTTTCGATTCCTGTGTTAGTTTGCTAAGGGTAATAGTCTCCAGCTCCATCTACAGTCTCACAAAAGACATGATCTCATTCTTTTTTATGGCTGCAGAGTTTTCCATGGTGTATATGTACCACATTGTCTTTATTCAATCTGTCATTGATAGGCATTTAGGTTGATTACATATCTTTGCTATTGTGAATAGCGCTGCAATGAGCATTCACATGCATATGTCTTTATGGTAGAATAATTTCTAAAATAAATACCAATACACTTCTAATTATCTCACAAAATAAATGTGAGATAGATAGATGATAGATAGATAGATAGATAGATAGATAGATAGATAGATAGATAGATTTAAGAAACATTAATAAAAGCAAGTAAGATAATTATTTACCTGCTTATTCCAGTTCAGGGCGGCAGGTAGCCAGACCCTATCTAGCAGCTCAGGACACTAGACAGGCACTGATCCTGGACAGGATGCCATTCCATGGCAGGGCACACTCACACACCCACACTCAGTCTGAGACCATGTAGATGTGCCAATTCGTCTAACGTGCACATCTCTGGGATGTGGGAACACACAGGTTAGCCAGAGAAAACTCACACAGACATGAGGGGAACACGCAAACTTCACACAGACAGTGGCTCTGGCCAAAGATTGATGTTTAATTTTTAGTCAACTTTATAATAAAATGATGCTGAACAAAAGATTGTTATTCTAGGACCTGTTAGGTGTGTGTGTGTGTGTGTGTGTGTGTGTGGTGTGTATAAAAACTGAATGAAATTATCAAGGAAAGGAAGATGTGCAGCTATAAAAAGACAAAATGGCAGAGAAGTGACTGGATCTGTGTCTCTCCAATATTAACAAGAGAAGGCAATGAAGAAGGAACAGCAATAAAACCGAGAAGGTACATCCAGAGAAGTAGGAGAAAATCAGGAGAGTGTAGGAATCCACATAAGGAAAGATAATCAAAGAGTGACTAGCTCTGGCAAATACTGCTGACAGGATAAACAGCATGTGATGGAGACTTGACAATCGTTTTATGCAACATAGGGGTCGTGTATGGCCTTGGTAAGATTTTCAGTGGAGTGGTGGAGGAGGCGGGTGTAAAAGGCTATGGAAGCTATTTTAAAAAAAATGAAAGGAGACAAACTGGAAGCAACATGTAAAGACACAACACTCTAAGGAGTATTATCAGAAAAAGTTAATTTAGCAATAAGTAAAAAGTTTTACAGTAGCCATATTGTCTTGTTCAACACATATTTTTTAGTATTTTGTTCTAAAAATGTTGGATTATTTCTAACAAGTTAAGAATAAAATATTTTATAATAGCTTATTATTTTACTAATTAGAGAAAAATCACAAAATGCCAAAATATGTTGTGCCGCAGTAGATTTATTTAGTTTTTAATTAAATCCATGTTCTGAATTATAATACTGCATTATTATGACCTACGTATTCTGATAGTGTTAGAATGGATTTAGCAACTCATTCTGACATGTTAATTGTACTCCAAAAAAAGCCATGCTAAAAGTGTGTGTTATAGTAACAGACAATCCCTTTTCTATCCTGACCTGATTAACCTTGTTATTCACTCTATTATTGCTATCATCTCACCAACAAGCTCATGATTCAGATCCAGGTATGATTAGTACTTAAAATTTGCCAGCATTCCAAGGGTGGCACCTTAGCTAAGCAGGAAGAAGGTAGCTCTTGGAATCTTACTGTCTTGATGTCAAAGCTCATTTGTACCATGCACTGGTTAAGTTAAATTAGATAATATTCTGACTTCTCTCAAATGGACTCCTCAAAACCAGTTCTGAATGGTGGGCAAAAGAGGCAAAGCTGCTTTAACATTATGAACTCCTGGGTGAATGGTGCTCATAAAACTCAGAAACTCAAAGCTGGCTCTGTCCCGGAAAACATTTCATTCTACAATGTAGGAAGCACATGGTACATCTGAGTCCCCTCCTAACACGTTTGCATATTATATGACTGAAATTAATCGGTCATATAAAAACAGAAACTTTCACATTAGATGTACTGGACTTCAAGCCTTAATTATATTACTTAATAGTTCTGAACATTACGGAAATTACTGAACTCTGAAACATTGTAAAGAAGGTGGATAACATATAAAACTCATGAGAAGCAGTGCCTATGAGGCAGATAATATCCCCTAAAGTTACTGTATATGGTAAAACTTTGTATATTATATATGCATATATATTATTCTATGAACAATACATCCACACTGACTCTGTATACATATGACAGGCTGGTGTGTGCATGTGTGTTTGTGTGTATATGTATGTGACTGTGTTAACTTGGCCTAGAGTTGTGTTTTCAGAACATTTTTTCCACATTCTTTTTTCCTACATTGACAAATCACATGGACTATTGTGTGCTAAGCATATTTATCTTAAATTAAATCACATTTATTTAAATAAATCCGAAACTAAATTTTATATAGCCACTGCAAGTGATAATTCTGTGCCAATTGTCACAAATAGAAAGCAACAAATATTATATATTTTCAAATATTGAAAATACCAAAATGTCTGTGTGCTATACATAACAATCTCATATGATATTTTAGTAAATATTGGCAAAAATTGCTGTATTAGGAATTAATGAGAAGTCTTTGAAAATCACATTAGCTTAAGTTAGTTCAAGTTATCTTAAAACAGGTTTTATGGTTAAATTTAGATACTAATGTGAAGACATTAATATTATTGTATTAAATTATGTATTTTTTAAAAGCATTTTTATATCTGCCTTACCCAATCTGAACATTATCATAAAAGCAGAAAGGAAGTGTTCTAAATGAATTACTGTCAAGGTACAAATTCTGGACAAAAGGAATGAGCTATAATTATGACATTCAGGCTCGAAAGTTTATTTTGCAGAGGTAGTGTAAAAAGCAGAAAATAAATTTTGAAGCCAGAGTGAGAACACACTTATAATGACAAAATAACGATTTTTCTAATCATAGGCAATAAGGGTTGAACCTGAATTTGGCAATGTGGGTAGGATTTAAAGGCTATTGAATCGTTGAAAAGAGATTCTACTGCCCTTCTACTGAAGCAGGATACTTCCCTGACGCCTTCACAGGACTCGCCATAGGGGTGCCTCATTTACTCAGCCTGCCACTCTCAACTCCTTGTTGGAGGAGTGCAGGAGTGAGCGAGGCAGGAACTGGAGTGCAGGAGCACTGGGACCAGCTGGCTTTTTCAGTGCTGGTGAGATCAAACTCCCTTTACTTGGTCCCCAATGAATTCCACTCTTCATGGGAGAGAGTGCACAGGTGAACACATGCAGGAGCTGGAGAAACAATTTTGGGCACCAGCAGGAGTGAACTCTGTGCAGGCTACACGGCAGCATTCAGGCTGGGTGCCTGTGACACCACCTGAAGCCCCAGAGGGTGTGTTACAGTGCTCTTTCAGCTTGTCTTCCATGGATAGCTTAAGTGTTAACAGCTCATTGGGCCTGTGGCTTCCCTCCACCAGGGAGGGCAAAGGCGAGTGTGACAGCCCTTTGTATCCATAATCATGGCTCCTGAGTTCTTGTCCAGCGTCCAGGAAATATGAGGTCACACAAGTGAATTGAAGGATGGTAAATGCCGATGATTTTATTGCCAGTGGAGGTGTCTCTCAGTGGGAAGGGGAGCTGAGAAGAGGATGGGGAGGGTAGGTAATCTTCCTCTGAAGTCCAGCCCACTCCAGCTGGATTCTTCTCCAAAGTTACACCATCAAGCTGAAGTCAAGCCACTTCTCTCTGATGTCCAGCTATAGTCCCCAACATCCAGCTGCTTATCCACTCTGCCGGCTGAGTCTGGGGTCTTTATAGGCACAGGACGGGGCAGGGCTGGGCCATGGATAGTTTAGGAAAAGCAAACGTTCCATCAGGAATACAAGGATGGAAGTTCTCACTTTGGGCCATGGTCTCAAGCTTTTCAGCTTGAGGTGGGAATTCACTAGGGACCTGCCCCATCTGTCTAGAATTTTGCTGCCCTCTGTCCCCATCACTACTAGGTAGCATCCTAAATTGAGTTGAGGTATAGAAAAACCACAGTCCAAGAGTTGGATCAGTTTGAAGAGATCCCAGAGGAGAAGGAAAAAACAGCCCACCCTCCTAGGCTTTAGAGAAGGAGACTAATAAAGGCTGATATGAATGACAGTTCTAAACTGAAGAGTGAAGTATTAGTTTCTTCAGCTGCCATAACATAGTACCACACACTGAATGACTTAAGACAACAACAATGTGTTTTTGCACAGGTCTGGAGGCTAGAAACCCCAAATCAAGGTTTCTGCAAGGCCATCCTCCTTTCTGAACTCTAGAGGAGAATCGTTTGTTTCTTCTTTTAGTTTCTAGTAATCCCAGGCATTCCTTGGCTTGTGGTAGCATAGTAACAATCTCTGCCTCCATTTTCACATGGCTGTGTGCTATGGTTTCAATGTTGACTCCAAATCTCATGTTGAAATTTAATTGCTATTTTGATGGTATTAAGAGGTATGACCATAAAGAAGTGATTCTGTCAGGAAAGCAAAAAGAGTCAAAGTCTGTAAAATATTTGAAGCAATGTATTCTGAGCTAAATATGAGTGACCATGGCCCATGACACAGCCCTCAGGCTGTCCTGAGAACATGTGCTCAAGGTGATCAAGGTACAGCATGGTTTTATACAATTTAGGAAAACATGAGACTTCAATTAATTTATTAATATCATTTAATTTTAGTGACATATAATTTAATCACCCATTTCTAAAAAAATCATAGATAAAATCCTACAAACATCAAATAAAAAACCTTATAAATATATATACCTACTATATACCCATAAAATTACAAAATAAAATTAAGAAATTAAAAAATACAAATTGCCCTGGACTCTGAGACAGATGCATGCATCTTGGAGTATGTGCTAGAGGCATGGGATGAGTTTGGTGGATCAGTGTGGTCTGTGTATATTTCTGGGTGTGTGAGGTATGAGTCCCAATGTGAGCAAGTAGGACAGGAAATATTATGCACCTTACTGTATTTTCTATACTACCTAGCAAAATACTTAATACTATATAATCATCAAAAATGCAATAACGACTAAGACACTGTGTTCGGTTTCAACCTATTCATAGTCTAGCCTTATGAAACATGCACTTAAAATGAACTGTAATAAAATGTGGTAGCTACGACATGAGCAATCTGAGCTAAGGGCTGTCAAAATGCAGGAGTAGAGGTTATTAATTTTACATGGGAGCCTCCAGGAAGTGTTTAAGAGAAGACAACATTTGCATAACTCAAGTAAGCAACTCTTGAGTTAAGTTACCTTCTTTCTATCTTGGGGAGGACTTTAATTAGGACTAGAATAAGAAAAGCTTACTTTCTTGCTATATGGAATGAGTCTTATCTGGATTTCTCTATGTTAGATAGCTGGCTCTCACAGCTTATCACAGTAACTGATAACCACACTTACAACATAAAACCCAGAAAAATCACATGAGGCTATTTAGCGATTTGTAGACTGACCTTGAAAATTAACCCTAACACAATATTTGTACAGATAAAAATTAGTTAATTTGCAACTGAAAAACAGTCTGTGTTTGGAGAATCGTAGGTAATGTGAGGCCCGTCCAGGTTCAGTGGCTCATGCCTGTAATCCCAGCACTTTGGGAGGCCAAGGCGAGCGGATCAGGAGGTCAGGAGATCGAAACCATCCTGGCCAAAATGGTGAAACCCCGTCTGTACTAAAAATACAAAAAAAAAAAAAAATTGCTGGGTGTGGTGGCACGCATCTATAATCCCAGCTACTCAGGAGGCTGAGACAGGAGAATAGCTTGATCCAGAAGGCGGAGATTGCAGTGAGCCAAGATCCCATCACTGCACTCCAGCCTGGAATAGCAAGACTCCATCTCAAAATAAATAAATAAATAAATAAATAAAATGTGACCTCTGTGGATAGTAAACTCCTGGCAATAGATAGCACAATTATTCTCTCATGCCAGTGATTATTCTCTCTAGATGCACTCAGACCTCTAACTTTCACAGTCTTAACCAAAGTTCTTCAGTGTTAAACTACAACTTCATTTTGTGCCTGAAACATCTCAACATTATTCTGAGAAGTACTTAGGAAGATTTAGCTATATACCTCTTCTGTGTATCTGGTCATTGATTGAAAACTTGATCACTTTAACAAATTTCTTCAGTTAACAAATATTTTGTCAGCACCTACCATGTGCTAAATACTGTTATAAGTACTGGGGCTGGGCTGGGGCAATTCAGTCAATGGCCCTTTAATTAAAATTGTATTACCATGGAGAAGGAATAATGGATGTGAGGAGAAACCAGCAATTTTCTCCACAGCTTAATGAATGAGAATCAACATTTTTTGTGTGTTGGGGGGGGGAATGTAAACATGGCTGGTGTTAATGGAGTGCAGTGGGGAGGCCAAAAGAGGGGACAAGTTTGAGCTGTGGGAGTAAATTATCAGGCACCCAAGTAAAGTGATCAATTGCATATGACACCAAAACAATCCACAATTTTTGGCTATACAAAACACAGATTTGTGTTCCCTTAAGTCCATAAAGACTATGATACAATGCATCATGTACACCACTTATGAAATGAAAAGGAGAGTGTTTTAGGATTAGGAAATAAGAAATTTGGTCCCTTGCCTTGTAATGGTTATCTGTCGGACAAAAGGATGAGATGGTTAATGGTACACATTCTGGAATCAGGAATCTAGTTCCTGATTCATTGAAAGTGTGACATTGATCAAGTCACTGAACCTCTGAAAGACTCAGTTTTTTGTCTATAAGATGAGAGTGAGAGTAATTGCCTCAGGGTTGAGTTACAATAATTAAATTAGCACAAATATTTGAAGTATGCTACTTCAAAAATGCATTATTGTTGCTATTATTATTACTACTACTTGGAGTAGTATTTTTATTATTTATAAAATGAGGAAATTGAAGAAAACAGATTTTGTTTTCTGCTTTGATTTGCTATAATTTTAATTATAGGAAATAACGCTTGACTCATCTTCCCTGGAAAACCCAAGTGGCAGAGAATGTGAAGTATAGAGCATGAAATTGATATGTACAGTTTGAGTAACAGTATAAACAGGTTTAGTATGATAAAAATCCCCTCCCAAATTTTATTTAACTCTAGTACCCATTCAAAAAAACTGGAGTTGGGGGAATATAGTATTGTAGAAAAGTCAAAAAAAAAAAAAACAACAAAAACCACAAACTCAACAGTTGGCTTTTTCTCTAGAGATGTACTTCCCACAGGGTCATTTTTAAGGAAAAAATTCTTAATTGCTTTATGCTTTCTAAGGAAAACAAGGGAGGCTTCTCCTTTGCACTTCTCCCAGTTTCTCTTTTGTCAGGTTGAAAGTGTTTACCATTCTCATATATAGCATGAACTTTACAACTCTGCACCTTTATTGGAGAGACTTCTCTTCATTCTCAGGTTGGTGAAAAATGCATCTATCTAGAATTGTTAGATGGAGCTTGCATTGTAGATTTTATTTTCCTCTACGATTTATACGAATACATTCACAGTTTTATCTATTATGTTATGTGTGTAGGGTGTGAGAGAGATACATAAAAGAGATTTTTTCAATAAAATTATATTATTTGATAATTACAAATGATTAATGGAGCACATCTGATAATTATTTTTTAATCTATTATGTGTTAATATGTAATGCCTCTTTTCATAGTCAACATAGTCAAACACGCAATGAAATTGATACTATTAAGTCATATTGAGGAACAGGAAACTTAAAAACAAAACAAAAAACTAGAATAAAACATGTTCAGTTTTATAAAATAAGTCATAGAGCCAGGATCCAACCAAGGTCTGACAATAGAAACAGAACTTTTTAACTAGGATACTTTTTTGTTGTTGCTGTTGTTTTTGAGATGGAGTCTCGCTCTGTTGCCCAGGCTGGAGTATAGTGGTGCAATATCAGCTAACTGCAACTTCCGCCTCCTGGGTTCAAGTGATTATCCTGTCTTAGCCTCCCAAGTAGCTGGGATGACGAGTGCACCACCACACCTGGCTAATTTCTGTATTTTTTAGAGATAGAATTTCGCCATGTTGGCCAGGCTGAACTTGAACTCCAACCTCAGGCAATCCAACCCCCTCAGCCTCCCAAAATGCTGGCATTAGAGGCGTGAGACACCACGCCTGGCCTGACTGGGATACTTAATATTGCTTCATACCTGGTCTAAAAGAGAATCCATATTTATTGGTAATTGAATTTGAAATAGAGTAATTCAATAAGGGGAGGTTATGTGTGTATTTTTGATTTAGGTGGTGAGGAAATCCTCTAAATACTCCTGAGGTCCCCAATTCTCTATTTCTTTGTACACCTTGCAACCCCTAGGATCATATCTAACCCCTAGTTTCCTGTAATTTTACTATTGCTATTCATCACCTGGATAACCATCACTCAGGGCTATTTGTATTTAGTTTATGGGGAGTACTAACAATGCCATCTTCTACATTCTTGTTTGTGCTGAATCATCCTTAGCACTACAGAATGAGATATGATTTTCCAAGTAAGAATCCCTCTATTGCCAGTCTTGAAAATTACATAAAGAAGAATATTTCAGGCAGCTGCAGGCATAAACTGTTGAATCAGAAATCTGGAATTATCTGTGGACATGTCTGTAATCTCTGTTCAGTCATGAATCTAAGGATCTTAGAGACTATTTTAACAAAACTATAAGAGATTTTGCAGCCTATACATAAATGTATTCTAAGGCGCTTTATATCATTTTTAGAACTTTAACAATTATTCATTCGTAAAAATTTACCCAATAATTAATGCCTCAAATTTTTATGAATTAAACCAAACCTCTAGAGCCATGTAGAATGTACTCTGTTTCAGTTAGTAATTTTCTCCTCTATCCATAGAAAAATGTTCTTTCCAAGTTTGGTGGTTGAAAACTTGGATTTTCACTGTGGATAAGTTTGCACTTATTTTCACTATGCAATGAGATTTACCTTCCTGCCTGCTTTCTAAATTTTCTGGTAACTGCTAGCCAGTAATAATTATAGATAAATTTCGTCAACTTGTGGTTGAACATAGTTTAATACTGCAGATTACAAGAAGGGTCTTGGGAATAATCGTTTGCTCTAGAGATGATATAGCCATCAGAAGGTATGAAACAACCCCATCTCCAACAAATATATTGTCCTGCTGAAAGGCTGTCTCAAGATTCTTATTAGATTGATTTACACTTTTTGTTCTGCAGAATGTGAATGTTCATTGACAAAATATCTAATTCATGGAATTTCTCTCATATATATATGAGAGAAATATATAAGCTATAAGTATGAGAATATACATATAGGTGTGTGTATATGTATATACACACATATGTATAGACATATATATATAGACATGTGTGTGAGTGTGAGTGTGTGTGCATGTAAATTTGTAAGCTACATGAATGATGTGTAGAGTAAATAACTTTACTAGGGAGGCTGTGAATTACTAAGAGATTTGACAGAGCACAAAGATGTCCCATTTGATGGAGGAACACTTGTGGATTATTCTCTGTTATATCTATTAACATCATGCAAAGCACTAATTATATTTCTAATATACTTAAAACATAATTTGAGAAATATTTTCTAAAAAATTTTTCAAATGTAATATATCCTATGTTTGAAAATAAATTTCCAAAATATCAAAGAAACTTTCCAGTGAATTCCCAAAGAAGAATCAATCCCTTCCTAAATTTCTGTCCTTATTATAACTCTATAAGAATACATCCAAGTTTCAAAAAGTATTTATTTACATTAGTACCTTCATAAATGCTGACAGTAATCTGTATGTTTTACTTATTTTTGAATCTCTAGAACATAGAAGTACATGATATCTAGTGGATGATAATTTCATGTTAGAATTGGGAGTCCATATCCAGGATATGTTTATATAGTGTGAACATGGGCAAATAATTCACCCTTTAACTTGACTTTGATGGCTACTGTCATCTGCTTTTTGTTCTTCACTTGAAAAGAATGCAAATATGAGATTAGGTTAAAAATATTTTGATAACACTTTAGGCTGATGAATTATTTCGTCATATGGCTTTTTTCTCTAATCATTGAGAATATGCTAATAATGAAAGAGATTAGGTTTAAAAAGCAGACTTGTTTAGTCCTATTACAAAAAGAAGTATAATCCCCCATAATTATCGTAAAAATATGAAACTCCAAACATGCCATTATTGGAAATGAGGGATATTTAGAAGTAATCTTAGAAATTTGACTACTCACAATACTTACTACCAGTGTATTTCAGCCACTAAACTTTGTTTAACGGTTATATAATAGGGACTGTCTACATTTATTCATTGTGGAGCCTATTACATAACAGTAGCTGAGAAAAGATTTGCTGAAAATAATAATGTCAAAGTGTGATCATAGATATTATATAAAAGGAGCACAGATAAAGGTGTAAATTAATAAATGAAAAATACTAATTTTTTATTTTATTTTAGTTATTATGAAGATTTGTAACTCATATTGACGTAGAATTGAGAAAATGCTCAATTTCACCGATGTGACAGAGTTCATTCTTTTGGGGCTAACGAGCCGTCGGGAATGGCAAGTTCTCTTCTTCATCGTTTTTCTTGTGGTCTACATTATCACCGTGGTGGGCAATATCGGCATGATGTTGTTAATCAAGGTCAGTCCTCAGCTTAACAGCCCCATGTACTTTTTCCTCAGTCACTTGTCATTTGTTGATGTGTGGTTTTCTTCCAATGTCACCCCTAAAATGTTGGAAAATCTGTTATCAGATAAAAAAAAAAACAATTTCTTATGCTGGCTGTTTAGCACAGTGTTTCTTCTTCATTGCTCTTGTCCATGTGGAAATTTTTATTCTTGCTGCGATTGCCTTTGATAGATACACAGTGATTGGAAATCCTTTGCTTTATGGCAGCAAAATGTCAAGGGATGTCTGTATTCGACTGATTACTTTCCCTTACATTTATGGTTTTCTGACGAGTCTGACAGCAACATTATGGACTTATGGCTTGTACTTCTGTGGAAAAATTGAGATCAACCATTTCTACTGTGCAGATCCACCTCTCATCAAAATGGCCTGTGCCGGGACCTTTGTAAAAGAATATACAATGCTCATACTTGCCGGCATCAACTTCACATATTCCCTGACTGTAATTATCATCTCTTACTTATTCATCCTCATTGCCATTCTGCGAATGCGCTCAGCAGAAGGAAGGCAGAAGGCCTTTTCCACATGTGGGTCCCATCTGACAGCTGTCATCATATTCTATGGTACTCTGATCTTCATGTATCTCAGACGTCCCACAGAGGAGTCTGTGGAGCAGGGGAAGATGGTGGCTGTGTTCTATACCACAGTGATCCCCATGTTGAATCCCATGATCTACAGTCTGAGGAACAAGGATGTGAAAAAGGCCATGATGAAAGTGATCAGCAGATCATGTTAAACAAAATAAAATCAAGTTTGAATTAATTTTGTCTTCTATTATTTGATTGGAGAAAGGTTATTGCCCAGTACTTAGGAACATTAAGATAAAGATATTCTGTGGGTTGAAGAAAAATAAAAGTGATGCAAATGGAGAAAATATAAGGTAGAATGTTTCACTTCTGTTCATGTGAGTATGGAGATTAATTAAATATGAATAAATTAATTAGTTGAAATGGTGATGTGTGCCAAAGTTCATAGGTGTGCTAATGGAAGTTGCTCAAATACTTAGCTGCAATGAAAAGAATTTCTCTTATTCAAAAGTGCAGTTGCATGAATTTAGGTAATATTCATTTGCCCAATTAAACACTAATTTGGGGCAGAAAAAATTCAAAATATTTAATTTGGTTTTCCAGTGTGAGGATGTAAAATAGTGTTCTCACTAATGGTTATGAGATTGTTTATTGTTTAATGCGTCTTTCATTATGTTGGGTAGGGTCTGTTCAGAGACTGCTACTTTGAAAATAGCAATACTATTGTATTTTATGTTTTTTAACTTTTTGGTGTTTCTTAAGAAACAACGTGGTAGATGTCTCTTTTTCACAGATCCCAGTAACTGCCATGTTTCAACTCTACGATTGCCAGTCACCAGACTGTGGTTTGCCCCTGCTGGTGTCTTCACTCTGACTGAAGAGTAGGAGAATTAGTGGAAGAAGTTGTCATTGTAAAACCATGGCTCTCCAAATTCCACAGAATGAATTACATTCCACTCATGTGAGATATTTGGTACACCTGTGACCAAGACATGGCACTTACATATTCTAGTTAACTTTTGCATTTGAAATAAATTCAGTATTTAGGATGCACTATTTGTTGTTATCAATAAGATTTTCTGACATAATAATGGGAACATAATTTCACATCTCTTGCATCTTATTTCATGAAGCACAAGGATGAAGCTACAACTTAACTTATTTCATCAAAGTCTACGTCCTTAGGCTAAATAAATAAGTAAATAATCACTATCTGTTTTGATGCAAACAATATATGGCTAAAGAAATGTAACTTACATATTTTGAATTGTACATTTAAAAAATTAAAAATTATCTGCAAAGATGTGAATATAAAACAAGATTGGCGCCATCTGAGAAAAAAGCATTCTTCTTTTCTTTAACTTTTATTTTAAGTTCAAGGGTAGGTGCGCAGGTTTGTTATATCGGTAAACGTGTTTCATAGAGGTTTGTGGTACAGATTATTTTGTCATGCAGGTATTAAGCTTAGTACTCATTAGGTATTTTTCCTGATCCTCTCCCTCGTCCCAACCTCTACCCTCTCATAGCCCTCAGTGTGTGTTGCTCCCCTTTATGTGTCCATGTGCTCTCAACATTTAACTCACACTTCTTTTTTATTATTATTATACTTGAAGTTTTAGGGTACATGTGCACATTGTGCAGGTTAGTTACATATGTATACATGTGCCATGCTGGTGCACTGCACCCACTAACTCGTCATCTAGCATTAGGTATATCTCCCAATGCTATCCCTCCCCCCTCCCCCCACCCCACAACAGTCCCCAGAGTGTGATATTCCCCTTCCTGTGTCCATGTGATCTCATTGTTCAATTCCCACCTATGAGTGAGAATATGCGGTGTTTGGTTTTTTGTTCTTGCGATAGTTTACTGAGAATGATGTTTTCCAATTTCATCCATGTCCCTACAAAGGACATGAACTCATCATTTTTTATGGCTGCATGGTATTCCATGGTGTATATGTGCCACATTTTCTTAATCCAGTCTATCATTGTTGGACATTTGGGTTGGTTCCAAGTCTTTGCTATTGTGAATAGTGCCACAATAAACATACGTGTGCATGTGTCTTTATAGCAGCATGATTTATAGTCCTTTGGGTATATACCCAGTAATGGGATGGCTGGGTCAAATGGTATTTCCAGTTCTAGATCCCTGAGGAATCGCCACACTGACTTCCACAATGGTTGAACTATTAACTCACACTTCTAAGTGAGAACATGAGGTATTTGGTTTTCTACTCCTGCATTAGTTAGCTAAAGATAATGGTCTGTATCTCCATCTATGTTCTTGCAAAGGACAAGATCTCATTTTTTTTTTATTTTCTTATGGCTGCATAGTATTCCATGGCGTATCTGTACATTTTCTTTATCCAGTCTATCACTGATGGGCTTTTAGGTTGATTACATGTGTTTGCTATTGTGAATAGTGCTGCAATGAATATACATGGACATGTGTCTTTATAGTAGAACAATATATATTCCTTTGGGCATATACCCAGGAATGGAATTGCTGGATATTTCTGTTTTAGGTCTTTGAGGAATCACCACACTGTTTCCCACAAAGGTTGAACTTAGATACATGAGGCCAAGAATCATATGAAAAAGCTCAACATCACTGATAATTAAATACATGCAAATTGAAACCACAACGAGATACTGTCTCACATGAGTAATAATGGTTATTATCAAAAACCCAAAAAAATATCAGATGCTGGCCAGATTGGGAAGAAAAAGGAACGTTTGTACACTGTTGGTGGAAGTGTAAAAAAGCATTCTTCTTTGTCCATTATTGAATTTTATTTACATCAAGAGAAACCAAAAATGCAATGAACTCCTTTCCACATACATACGTATAAATCATGGGCAACATTTTAAAACCTTTTGCATATATAAACAAATTGCTAATTTAGATTCAATTATAGTGTCACTGTGTCTTTGGATGAAAAATGTTAAACCTCTAGAGACTTTTAATATCTAAGGTACATAAGGTTCTTTTGGGACTAAAGTTAAAAGTAATTTATTTTGGCAATAAGAACATTTATTTGCCATTTTTGGGGAACTCTTGATATGCCAAATTAGTTTCTTATTATTAATCAATTGCTAAATATGTTTTTAAGCATTTAATCACTTGCAGCCTGTTGGCAGGTAAATTTGAACCATCTTTGTTACCTCTTTTTTTCAAAGGTAAAATGCATTTTCTCTTTATTCTTTTGGAGAGTTAGTTTAGTGTTACATAAAGAACGATGAATCTAGGTCAGTGGTCAAATCATGTTTCTGGTTTCAGTTTCCAAATTTCAAGTGAATTTGTGGATGACCTTGGACAAGTCACTTTTTGTCACCCATCTAGTTATTTTTAAGGTTGTAGACTCTGATTTCTACATTTTCTTGAGATATTGCATATGAAGTCAAAATTCCCTAGTGTCAAACTCATCCAATAGACTTTCTCAATAATAGGTGAGAAGAAATTCATAAATTCTGGGTACTTTGGGGCTGAAAAAAAATTTTCCCAAGCACAATTCTGTTCATGATTTTCCAGACTAAATTTAAGAAGTATACTTTTCAGAATTTAAATAGTGTAGGTTTGCATCTGTATTCTTTGGCTTGATAGTATCTCAACTTGCCAATACTGCATGTTCTCACTTACAAGTGGGGGCTAAACAACAAGAATACATGAACACATAGAGGGGAACAACAGACACCACAGCCTCCTTGAGAATGGAGGGTGGGAGGAAGGAGAGGAGCAAAAAAATACCTATCAGGTGCTATGCTTATTATCTGGGTGATGAAATAATGTGTACACCAAGCCTCTGTGACACCAGTTTGTCTGAATAACACACCTGCATATGTACCCCTAAACCTAAATTTAAAAAATGGAAAATTTAACATCATATTTTTTTCACATAGGAATACTTTTATTCTTCAAAGTAAGGATAATATTAACCTCAATCCTAAAGAAGTGGTAAGATAATAATAGTAAACTGTTTAGAGGTAACACTGCACAAATAATGACAACTTTTTGTCTGCTTCACGTGCAACAGGCATTGGGAACAGAGTTATCCCTATATTATTCTAAGATCATCTCAACCAAAATGTAAGATAATAGATTCCCTATTCTACAGATAAGTACACTGAGGCACAGAAGTACATCGCTTGTCCAAGGTAACATAATGAAAGCGTGTGTATAGCAAAGGTATAATTTCAGATCTGTCTGACTTCAGTAATGACTTCTACTTTTACTCATTCTGCCAGTGATTTATTGTTTGAGGCATCTGACATCTGAACACAGCCATGAGATGCATGGGACATGCATTGCTATGATCATCTATCCTGACAGATGGTGCTTTTTTGAACAGTTGTCCAACCAGAAAGAGACTCACTGAAATTTTATATGATGCAAACCAATATTTTGCCAAAATGCATAATTATCAACGTGTAGAACTTTTAGCAACAGGAAAGAGACAAATTCGTAGGCAGACAGGGTTCAGTCCCTAGTGAAACTCCACCTTCAAGCCCAGGACAGTCTAAGGCCTGAAAACTGAGCCACTAGTTCCAGATAGAATCCACTGACCAGAGGGAGAACTCCCATCCCTATCTTACCCACTCTTTCAATTTTTTTTTTCCTGAATGATGCCTTTTAACCAATCGAATGGTGTCTTTTCCAAGCTCACCGATAAATCAGTCAGCATGCATTCCCTATTCTAAACCCATAAAAAGCTCAGACTCAGCCTTACGTGAGGCTGTCCACTTTTGGGTCCCCTCTTACTGTTGAGAGTGTTTCTTTCACTTAATAAATTTTACTGAGCCTTACTTACTCTGCAGTGTCCATGTACCTCATTCCTCTTGGTCTTGAGAGAAGAACCTGGAACTCATGGAACTGCAGGAGTCAAAGAGCTGTAACACTTCCTCCAGTTCACCAATCTGTGGGAGTGAAGAAGGTAATGGGTGCCACTCCCTCCCACTCACTGAAGTATGGGAGTGAAGAAGCCACTGGTCAACACCCCCTCCTGCTTGCCAAACTACAGGAGTAAGAAAGCCACAACAGAACAATTTATTTTTTATTTTTATTTTTGGATATACATACAGTAATGGGATTGCTGGGTTGAATGTAGTTCTGTTTCAAGTTCTTTGAGAAATCTCCAAAGTGCTTTCTACAGTGACTGAACTAATTCACATTCCCACCAACAGTGTATAAATGTTACCGTTTGTTGGCAGCCTTGCCAGCATCTGTTGTTTTTTGGCTTTTTAATGATGCCCATTCCGACTGGTGTGAGATGGTGTCTTACTGTGGTTTTGATTTACATTTCTACAAAGATTAGTGATGTTGAGTATTTTTTCATATGTTTCTTTGGCAACTTGTATATGTTAGAAAACTGCCCATGTCTTTTGACCACTTTTTAATGGAGTTATTTAATTTTTGCTTGTTGATTCATTTAAGTTTCTTATAAATTCTGGATATTAGGGCTTGGTCATAGTTTGTGAATATTTTCTTTCATCCTGCAGGCTATTTCCTTAGTCAACAGTTTCTTTGGCCGTGCAGAAACTCTTCATTTAATTAGTTAGGTCCCACTTATGAATTATTGTTTTTGTTGCAAATTGCTAACATAGCAATTGTTAAATTGCTGAATGCATTTAGCCACAAATTATTTCCCAAGGCCCATGTTCAGAATGATGTTTCCCAGGTTTTCTTCTAGGCTTCTTACTTTTTGACTTCTTACATTTAAACTTTAATTCACCTTAATTTTTGTAGATGGTGAAAAGTAGGTGTCAAATTTCATTCTTCTGCATATGAATAGCCAGCTATCCCCGCAATATTTAATGAATAGGAGGTTTTTTTTTTTTTTCTGACTTTCTCAAATGTCAGATGACTGTAGGTATGCAGCTTTATTTGTGGATTCTCTATTCTTTTTCACTGGTGTATATGTCTGTTTTTGTACCAGTGCCTTGCTTTTTGGTTACCATAGCTATATAGTATAGTTTGAATTTAAGTAATGTGATGCTTCTGGCGTTGTTTTTTCTTTTTCTTTTTCTTTTCTTTTCTATTTTTCTTTCTTTCTTTCTTTCTTTCTTTCTTTCTTTCTTTTTTTTTTTTTTTTTGGTACTCAAGCTCTTTCTGGTTCCATAGGAATTTAAGAATAGTTTTTTTTTTTCTAATGCTGTGAAGAATGATGTTGGTAGTTTGATAGGAATAGTACTGAGTCTGTAGGTTGCATTAGGCAGTATGGCCATTTTAATGATACTGATTCCAATTAGTTGTGTCATGTATGATTTCCTTCGGCAGTGTTTTGTTTTTAGTTCTTAGAGAAATCTTTCACCTCCTTGGTTATATGTATTCTTATGTATTTTATTTTTTATCTTTTGGTGGCTATTGTAAATGGGATTATGTTCTTGATTAAACTCTCTGCTTGGATGTTATTGGTATACAAAAATGCTACTGATTTTTACATTTATTTTGTATTCTGAAACTTTACGGAAGTCATTTATTAGTTCAAGGAACCTTTTGGCAGAGTCTTTAGTGTTTTCTAGGTATAGAATCACATTGGCAGCAAAGAAAGATTGTTTGGCTTTTTCTTTTCTTATTTGGATGCCTTTTATTTCTTACTCTTGCCTGATTGCTCTGGCTAGGACTTCCAGTAGTATGTTAAATAAGAGTGATGAGTGGTGGCATCCTTTTCTTGTTCAGTTCTCAAGGAGAACATTTCCAGCTTTTGCCCATTCAGCATGATGTTGGCTGTGGATTTCTCATAGATTGCGCTTATTATTTTGAGGTATGTTGTTTTGATGCCCGGGTTGTTGAGGGTTTTTATCATGAAGGGATGTTAGATTTTTCTCAAATAGTTTTTTGAATAGGTTGAGGTGATTGTATAGTTTTTATTTTTAATTCTCTTTATATTGTAAATTACACTTATTGGTTGATGCATGTTGAAACAACCTTGCATCCCAGGAATGCAACCTACTTGCTTGTGGTGAATTAACTTTTCAGTGTGCTCGTGGATTCACTTTGCTGGTATTTAGTTGAGGATTTTTGCATCTATGTTCTTCAAGGATACTAGCCTGAAGTTTCCTTTGTGTATGTGTGAGTGCCTCTGACAGAGTCTGGTGTCAGGGTGTTGCTGGCTTAAGAATGAGTTAGGGAGTATATCTTCATCCTCAATTTTTTGGAATAGTTTCAGTAGAATTGGTAACTAGCTCTTCTTTGTACATCTGGTACACCTGTGAATCAATCTGTTCCAGGGCTTTTATTTAAAAAAAAAGTTGCTAGAATTTTTATTATTGATTCAATTGCAGAACATAATTTGGTTTGTTCAGGGTTTCAATTTCTGCCTGATTTAATTTGGGGAAGGTGTGTGTTTCCAGGAATTTATCCACTTCCTCTAAATTTTCTAGGTTGTGTGCATATAACCAATCCCACAGAAATGCAAAAGATCCTCAGAGACTGTTATGAACAGAAGTATACATTTGTTACTAAGTTTTGACAATAGATCAGAAGAAAGTTATATGTAAAGTTAAGAATAATCTCCTAAAGGCCAAAGCCACTAAACCTGAACTTTCTCCTCATTTTCATACTCCAAAATGTGGCCACTGAATTGAACACCCTAGATGGTATTATGGGAGACACATCTTGAGGGTCTAATTGCCTTATTTAATACTCATAATCACCTGATTGCATAAAAAAGAAATATAAACCTATCTTTTTAAGTTACTTTGTTTTGGTGGTTCATTAGTTACTGCATTTAGCACCCTAATCCTCCTTTTAATTGTTCTTATAATACTTTTCAGATACTTGATTCTTGGCACTTTACCTCAGCGTAAGATTCCTTCCTAGGGCAAGTTAATAATTAGATAGGATTCATTTTACTTTAACACTTGGTGAGTCCTTAGCCACACTGTGACACATTAGTTAATACTGTGTCCTACTTCTAGGCTATTTCTCTCTGTTAGCATTTTCATACAAGCTCTTTCTTGGGTTCATTAATTCTTAGTTATTTTCTCTGCACCATGTTTCTAGCTAGGTATAAACTAGGCAAACCTCCACTATACATTTTTAACCAATACAGATCTTAAGCTATTGTTACTTACTATGGGTTAAATTGTGTTCTCTAAAAATACATGTTCTAAAGCCCAATCCCTCTGAATGATATATATTTGAAAATACAGTCATGAAAGATGTGACTAGATGAAGTCATATTGTAGCGTGTGCCCTTAATCCAATGTGACTGATATCCTTATTAGAAGAGAGATATTTGCATACACATATTTAAAAAAAATTAAAAAAAATTTCTTCATCTGCATTGCTATAACATATAAATTATCCATAGTCTGGGTAATTAATAAGAAAAAATATTTGTGTCTTATAGTTCTAGAGGCTGGGAAATCCAAAGTTGAGGGGCCCACAACTGGTGAGAGTCTAACATCCCTTCATGATAAAAAACCCTCAACAAACTGGGCATCAAAAACACATACCTCAAAATAATAAGAGCCATCTATGAGAAATCCATAGTGAACATTATGCTAAATGGGCAAAAGCTGGGAGCATTATCCTCGAAAACTGAACAAGACAAGGATGCCCACACTCATCACTCCTATTCAACATACTACTGAAAGTCCTATCCAGAGCAATCAGGCAATAGTAAGCAATAAAAGGCATCCAAATAGGAAAAGAAAAAGTCAAACAATCTTTCTTTGCTGCTAATACGATTCTATACCTAGTAAACACTAAAAACTCTGCCAAAAGTTGTTTAAACAAATAAATGACTTCAGTAAAGTTGCAGGATACAAAATAAATGTAAAAAAAATCAGCAGCATTTTTATGTATCAATAACATCCAAGCTGAGAACTGAATCAAGAACACAATCCCATTTACAATAGCCACTAAAAAAATAGAATGCATAAGAATACATCTAACCAAGGAGGTGAAAGATTTCTATAATAACTACACACTGCTGAAAGAAGTCATACATGACACAATGAATTGGAAAAACAGTCCATGCTCATGGATTGAAAGAACTGGCATCATTAAAATGGCCATACTGCCTAAAGCAATCTACAGACTCAGCACTATTCCTATCAAACTACCAACGTCATTCTCCACAGAATTAGAAAAAAACGATTCTTAAATTCCTATGCAACCAAAAAGAGCCTGAATAGTGAGAAAAAAAAAGAAAGAAAAAGAAAAGAGAAAAACCAAAGCCAGAAGTATCACATTACCTGACTTCAAACTATACTGTATAGCTACAGTAACCAAAAGAGCATGGCTCTGTTACAGAAATGGTCATATACCACATTGGAAAAGAATAGGGATTCCAGAAATAAAGCTGCACACCTACAGCCATCTGATAATTGTGAAAGTCAAAAAAAAAAAATGACCTCCTATTCATTAAATGTTGCTGGCTATTCATATGCAGAAGAATGAAACCTCACCCCTACTTTTCACCATATACAAAAATTAACTTAAGATGAATTAAAGTTTAAATGTAAGTGCTCAAAAAGTAAGAAGCCTAGAAGAAAACCTAGGAAACACCCTTCTGGACATGGGCCTTGGAAAAGAATTTGTGACTAAATGCATTCAGCAATTTAGCAATTGTTAAATGAGCAACTGCAACAAAAACAAAAATTCACAAGTGGGGCCTAATTAAATGAAGTGTTTCTGCACAGCCAAAGAAACTATCAACAGAGGAAACAGATAGCCTACAGGATGAAAGAAAATATTCACAAACTATGACAAAGGTCTAATATCCAGAGTTTATAAGAAACTTAAATGATTCAACAAGCAAAAAATAAATAACTCCATTAAAAAGTAATCAAAAGATATGAACAATTTTCTAAAAAATACATACAAGTGGCCAAAGAGACACATGAAAAAATACTCAACATCACTAATCATCACAGAAATGTAAATCAAAACCACAATAAGATACCATCTCACACCAGTCAGAACGGCTATTGTTAAAAAGCCAAAAAAACAACAAATGTTGGTGAGGCTTCCAACAAAAGGTAACATTTATACACTGTTGGTGGGAATGTAAATCAGTTCAGTCACTGCAGAAAGCACTTTGGAGATTTCTCAAAGAACGTGAAACAGAACTACCATCCAATCCAGCAATCCCATTACTGTGTATATATTGAAAAGAAAACAAATTGTTCTGTTGCAGCTTTCTTACTCCTGTCGTTTGGTGAGCAGGAGGGAGTGGTGCCCAGCAGCTTCTTCACTCCCATAGTTTGGCGAGTGAGAGGAAGTGTTATAGCTCTTTCATTTCTGCAGTTCCATGAGTTCCAAGTTCTTCTCTTGAGACCAAGAGGAATGAGGTACATGGACACTGGAGAGTAAGTAAGTCTCATTAAAATTTATTGAGTGAAAGAAACACTCTCAACAGTGAGAGGGGACCCAAAAGTGGGTAGCCTTATGTGAGGCTGAGTCTGGGCTTTTTATGGGCTTAGACTGGGGAATGCATGCTGATTGTTTTATTGGTGGGCTTGGAAAAGACACCATTCGGTTGGTTAAAAGGCATCATTCAGAAGGAATCAATCAAGAGCATGGGTAAGGTGGGGATGGGAGTTCTCCCTCTGTCAGTGGATTCTGTCTGGAACTAGCAGCTTGGCTTTCAGGCTTTAGACTGTCCTGGGCTTGAAGGTGGAGTTTCACCTGGACCCAACCCTGTCAGCCTAGGAATTTGTCTGTCTCCTGTTGTTATCCATTCTACCAAAAGGACATATACATTTGTAAGTTGAATACAGAGCAATTAACAATAGCAAATACATGGAATCAACCGAGGTGTCCATCAACAGTTGACTGGATGTGGCAAATATACACTATGTATCACCAAGAAAATGTGGTGTATATACACCATGGAATACTACACAGTCTTAGAAAAAAATGAAATCATGTCCTTTGCAGTAACATGAATACAGCTGAAGGACATAATCCTAGGTAAATTGATGCTGGAACAGAAAACCAAATACCGCATATTTTCACTTATAAGCCAGAGCTAAACATTGGACACTTGTGGACATATAGATGGGAACAATAGACACTGGAGACTATTAGAGTGGGGAGGAAAGAGTGGGGCAAGGATTGGAAAACTAACAGTTCTGTACCATGCTCACTACCTGGGTGATGAGATAATTTGTATCCTAAGTCTCAGCATCACACAATATACCCATGTAACAAACTTAGACATGAGCCCCTCAAATGTAATAAAAACTGAAAACATATTGAATGAACTGGAAAGAGGACCCAGAGTCTCAGGTGGAACCACAGACCTGACCAAGAAATTGATTTCTGCCTGAGAAGACCCTGAGCAGCAGGCCCATTTTATCTTTACCTGCACTCATAACCCATGGCAATTCTGAAATAATAAATTTATGCTGTTTAAGTTGTTAAAACAAAAAAGCCCAAACCCCCACAAATGTATATCAGGATAATAAGGAGAGATTAGAACTCTGACATACAGTTGGATAGCAAGTTTTATATTTCTAAAAGGAAAAATGAACTAGTGGAGAATGAGGAATAGCTCTGCCATAATGACCCCCCAAAAAATAAGGCCTTAGAATGTCAGGTTGTGACGCCGATCTCTGTAAAAGAAGTTGTTGCTTGAGTAGCCCTGCGTTTTGTTCTTCATCCTGACTTTTTAGAAGCAAATTTGGGTGGTTTAGAAATATAAACATAGTGTTAACACAATTTTCAATACAAGCAGATCATACTTTACTTTCAGAATGTAAATTTATGAAAGAGTACGTATCCCATCTACCTTTACTCAGATCCATTCTAAGTTACTAGGAAAGTGAACCATGGTAAATTTGCATGAATAACAATGCTTTCTGTGTTTGAATTAGTCCATCTTCCTACAAGCATTACCACAACTATATTTTACTTCTCAGAGTCAACTTGTACATACTAATTGAATTGTGCACCCTTGTAGTTGGATTATCACATCCCGAATAAACTCACTCATCAGCAATCACCTTTATCTCCCACTTGCCTTTATGCAGTTAACTTAGCAAGAGTCACCTGGGGCAAACAAATTTCCATTGTTGTCTTTAACAAGAATATAATGTAGAACAAGTAAGCTATGGAAGCACCAATCTAGACAAACAGTGAGCTTTTAAAAATGTTTAACCAGGCCCAAATGGGATGCAATTTAGAACTCTGCTGGTCACCTTTGAGTGAGGGTCCCATACAATTTAGCTGAACAGTTCTTCTTATCTGGTTTATCAACTATAGACATTAAAAGCTTGATTTAAGTTGCTATATACAAAGTCAAAGAATTTAATGTTAGTGAAAAGAGCTGGAAGCAAAGAAAACTTTCAAATCATATTATCAATCAATGGTTTAATAAGACAATATGGTATTGCCAAAGCTCAGACTTTGTGTCAGAAAATGTATACTGCCTCATCTTTTCATTATGATTAGGGCAGGAAAATCTTTTGTCAGAGAGAGTTCACCCTACTAACATAAAAGAATGTGTAAATGAGTACCCATCAAGGAGTAGAGTTAGGGTAAGAAAACAGACCATTGAAACAAAACATTATTAACTATCAAATTATGTGAAATGATGACAAACAGGATTATATTAAGACACTAGTTTAAAATTCTAAATATAATTGCATTTTCAAAATTTTAAACACTTTTTAGGTAAACTGTTCATCAGTATTCTATGGCCATGAAAAAGAAATGAAGTATTTACTTTTTTCTGAGAATTTGTATATTTCACATGAAATCTAGTTTGAGGAATATGTATATGTATAAAGTACTCTGCAAAATAACATCCAACACTAACAAGCATACTTCCAACTTAACATATATGTATGTACACTCATTTGTGAGTTCCTCCAGTGACTAAACTTAGCCCAATTTTAAGCATATTGTGAATGAACATTGTGTCATCTTTCATAATATTGGCGCACATATAGGAGAAAATATGCTTAGTAATTAGAGTCCATACAAGGGGTAAAACATCACCCTGTTACATCAGACCTCTTAGTGTGTGAAAGAGTTACCTTTTGATACTGTTTTCTGAGCTAGGACTTTTACATGTGACCATTTATAACAGGACCCTATTTATAATAGGGACAACAATATCCACTACAGTTTTACTGCCTCACATATGTCTTGGTGATTGCTTTGTTGACTGCTTCTTTTACATCCTTATTTCTCAGACTGTAGATCATGGGATTCAACATAGGAATTACTGTGGTGTAAAACACAGCCACCATTTTGCCCTGCTCTACGGATTCCTCAGTGGGTCTCCTGAGATACATGAAGATGGGGGTCCCATAAAACATAGAAACAGCCGTCAAGTGGGACCCACAGGTGGAGAACGCCTTCCTCCTGCCATCGGCAGAGCGCATGCGTAGCACAGCTACTACAATGAGAGTGTAGGAGATGAGGACCACCGAGAGGGAATATGTGAAGTTAATTCCAGCAATAACAATCATTGTGATTTCTTTGATGTGCACTCTCCCACAGGCAATCTGGATGAGAGGGGGATCTGCACAATAGAAGTGATTGATTTCAAAGTTTCCACAGAAGTATAAGCCATAAGTCCATAGTGTGCATATTAGGCTGACAGAGAATCCATAGACATAAGGCACAGAGATGAGCCGAACACACACAGTCCTAGACATTTTACTGCCATAAAGCAGAGGGTTGCAGCCGGCCATGTACCTGTCAAAGGCCATCACAGCCAGGATATAGACCTCCACGTGGACAACGGCAATGAAAAAGTAGCACTGCACCAAGCATCCCACATAGGAAATGGTTTTTGTCTCTGATAATAAGTTTTCCAGCATTTTGGGGGTAACGTTGGAGGAGAAGCACACGTCCGCAAAAGACAGATGACTCAGGAAAAAGTACATGGGACTCTGAAGCTGAGGACTGATGCTAATCAAAATGATCATACCAATATTTCCCAACAGAGTGATCATGTAAACCGCTAGGAACACCACAAAAAAGAGAACCTGTAGCTCCTGACGACAGGTCAGCCCCAGGAGAGTAAATTCTGTCACATCCGTGAAATTAGGCATTGCCTTAGTATAGGCCAAGTCTGTGTTGCCTATGGAGAAATTGTTTCAAAAGGAAAGTAAATGAATTTGTTTTATTCTTGAAACTGAGTTGCGTTTGTCCTTATTTTAATTCAAATAATTTAAAAACAATGTACACTTTGCAAAAATGTACAATACAGGGTTTAAATATACTATACATAAAATGAACTGAATATATAACATAATAGACATTGCAGTTTTAGTTCTGATCCAACTTTCCTTTGCTATAGATGTCCATGATTGTAGTTTCACTTTTTTGGCTCATTATAAATGTCAAACTAGGTAAAGAGCTGCAGATGCTGTGGTCAGAGATTTTCCTATGTAAAAATTTCTGATCTCTACTGGTTTCCTGTTACTAACAGAATTTGACTTGGGTTAGTGTTACTACTGTATTAAGTATAAAATATATGAAATAAAGCATCAAGGCATCTAAGAAACATAAACTAACACTACATTTTGTTTCAGTCACAGTGTGATGTACTTTTCTTATTTTACACAAAATCATTAGCGCTTTAGCATTTAGGTTGCTGCAAAAGTTATTGTGGGTTTTGCCGTTACTTTCAATGGCAAAAATGCAATTACTTTTGTACCAGCCTAATATTAGTTTGTTTTGTTTACCTTGAAACTCCTTAAACTGTCTTGCTTAGTAGTTACATTTAACAGAAATTTAGAAATAGTTATACATATGATTTCTACATGCCCTGATCTCTAGATCCACTAAACATAGTACAATAATCCAGTATAATTAAAACTCTCTAAGAAATATTTTTCTAGAGGCAACAGTCCCAGCCTTGTAATACTTATAAGAATAGCTGTTATTGAATGTTCAGGAAAACTCTTCTACGCAAATGTCCTGTAAAACAGGTTTTATTTGCATGACCATTTTACAAATGAGGAAGCTAAACACTGAGAGATTAAGAAAGTCTCCCTGGGTCAGAGGTCTACTAATTAGCAGAATTGGGATGCAAACAAAATCATTTTAGTGTTGTGTCTTTAACAATCTTCTATTGCTGCATCTTTGACAGCCTCTTCTACCATTATATTTCTTTTCATTTGAAATTCAGTTTGCTCATCCTCCACAATATGTGGAAGTTATCTCTTTCATAGTTCATCTTTAATGGACTTTTAAGAGCTTTGGTTACCCCAGAGCAGCCTAAACCACTGAGATAGTAAATCACTGCAACTCTCTACTTGTCCAAGTTTATCATCCCAGGATCAGATGATAATGATTTCTGGGAGAAAATTAATTTAATACCTAAATGTGTATCATCTATCAAAATAATCAAGAAGATTGAATTTGTAATCGACAAATAAAACCCAAAATTCATTTCTATTAACACTTCAGGAATTTTTCATGAAGAAAACCAGTGAAGGCATAAATTACTGGACCAATCATGCCAACTGACCCTATATCCCCAACTCCATTCATACATATATTTAAACAATATTATGAAAGTTAATAGTTTTTGTCTGTAAAAGAGAATGAGAGGACAAAAAATGAGAAATGAGGAGTTTTGCAAATCTTCATTATAATAAGCTCATTCTTACAAAGTTTTCAACAAACCAGGGATAGAAATACAAAAAGTTCCCAATAATATAATTTCATACAAGAAGACACTCTGATAACAAAATAAGTCTGTGAATAAGGTATTAGTTGCCTCTTCAAGACAGAGAGTGAAATTAAAATATTTGACTACATCAATCTCTATTGTAATGAGTGAAAAACTTGCAGACCTACCTTCAGCATAGAGAGTAGAAAATGATAACTTCTCACTATTTATAATAATGTCTTAAACATTAGGAACACTGGGATCATCTCCCTAAAGGACGATTCAGGTAATTATGAAAAAAATAATAAGTAAAATTCTAGACACAGCTCAGGTATAGGAGCAGTTAAGGAGTGTGGATGAGAAGAAGATTTTTTAAATAAAATAGATCAAAATTCTTGATCAATAATATAATCTTATCTCTCACTTTCACATGGGTTCTGTCTTCTTTTATTTACATATTGACAATTATGCATTTCAGCAAAATATTGGCCTGCATCATATAAAATTTCAGTGAGTCCCTTTCTTTCTGGTTGGACAATTGTTCTAAAAAGTGCCGTCTGTCAGGATAGATGATCATAGGAATGCACGTCCTATGCATCTCATGGTTGTGTTACAATGTCAGATGCCTCAAAGAATAAATCATTGGTAAAATGAGTACAAGTAGAAGTTATTACTGAAGTCAGTCAGGTCTGGGATTATACCTTTGGTATACCACTTTCACTATGCCACCTTGGACAAGCAATGTACTTCAGAGCCTCAGTGTACTCATCTGCAGAATAGGGAAATGACTATCTTACATTTTGGTTGAGATGATCTTAGAATGATATAGGGATAACTCTCTTCCCAATGGCTGTTGCATGTGAAGCACACAAAAAGTTGTCATTATTTGTGCAGTTTTACCTCTAAACAGTTTACTAGTATTATCTTACTACTTCTTTAGTATTCTAATATTATCCTTACCTTGAAGAATAAAAGTATTCCTATGTGAAATAAGTATGATGTACCAGGCTTGGTGGCTCACACCTGTAATCCCAGCACTTTGGGAGGCCAACGCGGGTAGAACATCTGAGGTCAGGAGTTCAAGACCAGCCCGGCCAACATGGTGGTACCCCGTCTCTACAATAATACAAAAATTACCTGGGCATGATGTCGGGTGCCTGTAATCCCAGCCACTCGGGAGGCTGAGGCAAGAGAATCGCTTGAACCTGGGAGGCAGAGGTAGTAGTGAGTCGAGACAGTGCCACTGCACTCCAGCCTGGGCAAGAGAGTAAGACTCCATCTCAAGAAAAAAAAAAAAAGAGAAGTATGATTTTAAGTCTTTCCTTTTTTAATTTTAGGGTTGGGGTACATATGCAGGTTTGTTACACAGACAAAGTGGCTTGATGTACAGATTATTTCATCACCAGGTAACAAACATAGCACCTAATAGGTATTTTAGGTATTTTTTTGCTCCTCTCCCTCCCCTCACCCCTATTCTCAAGTAGGCCGTGGTTATGTTGTTGTTGTTCCCTGCTATGTGTCCATGTATTCTTGTTGTTTAGCTCCCACTTATAAGTGAGAACATGCAGTATTGGCAAGTTTACATACTATCAAGCCAAAGAACATGGATACATGGATGCAAACTTAAATTATTTAAACTCTAAAGCATATACTTCCTCAATTTAGTCTGAAAAATCAACAACAGAATTGTGTTTGGGCAAAGTTTTTTCCAGTGTCAAAGTACCCAGAATTTATTAATTTCTTCTCACCAGTTATTGAGAAAGTCTATTAGATGAGTTTGACATTAGGGAATTTTGACTTCATATGCAATATCTCAAGAAAATGTAGATTGGAAAAGAAGAAAGAGTGTGTGTGTGTGTGTGTGTGTGTGTGTGTGTGTGTGTGTGTGAGAGAGAGAGAGAGACAGAGAGAGACAGGAAGAAAAAAATACAGAAGAGAAATAGAGAAAGAGATAACTTGGCTTCATGCTTAGACGTTGGAAATGCTTAAATATGATTAAGCTCACAGATGTAGAAATAAGTGTGACAATACTATCTATTTTTAAAAGTACTTTACAGAAATATCTTGAAATTCAGATGGGAAAATTGCTTTAAGCTCTGCCAAAAAATCGAGACTCATGAAAATTATTAGGCAGAAAATACATAGGGATCAGAGTTTACAACCTTAAAAGTAACTGGATGGGTGAAAAAAGTGACTTGTCCAAGGTCATCCACAAATTCACTTGAAATTTGGAAACTCAAACCAGAAACATGGTTTGACCACTGACCTGGAGTCATCATTCTTTATGTAACACTAAACTAACCCTCAAAAGAATAAACAGAAACACATTTCGCCTTTGAAAAAGAGAGGTAACAAAGATGGTTCAAATTTACCTGCCAATAAGCTGCAGGTGATAAAATGCTTTCAAAACACATTTTGAAATTTATTAATAACAAGAAAATAATTTGGCATATCAAGGGTTCCCCAAAAATGGCAAATAAATGTTTTTATTGACAAAATAAATTACTTTCAACTTCGGAGTAATCCCAAAAGAAGTTGTGTACCTTAGATATTAAAAGTCTCTAGAGGTTCGACATCTTTCAACCATGCTGCCCATGATTTATGTGTATGTATGTCGAAATGAGTTCATTTCACTTATAGGTTCTCTTGAGGTAAATAAAATTCAATATTGGACAAAGAAGAATGCTTTTTTACACTTTCATCAATAGCAGATAAACATTTCTTTTTCTTCACAACCTTGCCAGCATCTAATTTTTTTGGCTTTTTGATAATAGCCATTCTGACTGGTGTGAGAAGGTATCTCGTAGTTTTGATTTCCATTTTGTTAATCATCAGTGATGTTGAGCTTTTTCTTATGATTCTTGGCCTCATGTATCTTGGTTTAACCATTGTGGAAGACAGTGTGGGGATTACTCAAAGACCTCAGAACAGAAATATCCAGCAATTCCATGCCTGGGTATATGCCCAAGTGAATATAAATTGTTCTACTATAAAGACAAATGTACATGTATATTCACTGCAGCACTATTCACAATACAGGTAATCAACCTAAAAGCCCATTGGTGATAAACTGGATAAAGAAAATGCACATATACATCATGGAATACTAGGCAGCCATAAGGAAAAAAACGAGATCTTGTCCTTTGCAAGAAGATAGACGGAGATAGAGACCATTATCTTTAGCAAACTAATGCAGGAACAGAAAACCAAATACCTCATGTTCTCACTTAGAAGTGTGAGCTAAATGTTGAGAGTACAAGGACACATAGAGGGGAGCAACACACATTGAGGCCTATGAAAGGGTGGAGATTGGGAGGAGGGGGAGGATCAGGATAATAATTAATGGGTACTAGGCTTAGTACTTGGGTGATGAAATATTCTGTACCACAAACCTCTATAACACAAGTTTACCTATAGAACAAACCTGCACTCCTACCCTTGAACTTAAAATAAAAGTTAAATAAAAAAAGAATGCTTTTCTCTCAGATGACACCAATCTTGCTTTATATTCACATCTTTGCAGATAATTTTAATTATTTAAATGTATAATATAAAATGTATAAATTACATTTCTTTAGCTATATATTGTTTGCCTCAAAACAGAAGGTGATTATTTATTTATTTGGGCTGAGGACGTAGACTTGATGAAATAAGTTAAGTTGTAGCTTCATCCTTATGCTTCACGAAATATGGTGCAAGAGAGATGTGAAATTATGTTCCCATTATTATGTCATAAAATGTTATTGATAACAACAAATAGTGCATGCTAAATACTGAATTTATTTTAAATGCAAAAGTTAACTAGAATATGTAAGTGCCATGTCTTGGTCACAGGTGTACCAAATATCCCACATGAGTAGAATGTAATTTATTCTGTGGAATTTGGAGAGCAATGGTTTTACAATGACAGCTTCTTCCACTAATTCTTCAACTCCTCAGTCAGAGTGAAGACACCAGCAGGGGCAAACCACAGTCTGGTGACTGGCAATCATAGAGTAGAAACACAGCAGTTCCTGGGGTCTGTGAAACAGAGACACTTACCATGTTGTGTTTCTTAAGAAACACCAAAAATTTAAAAATCATGAAATACAATAGTATTGCTATTTTCAAAGTAGCAGTCTCTGAACAGACCCTACCCAACATAATGAAAGACGCATTAAACAATAAATAATCTCATAACAATTAGAGAGACCAATATTTTATGTCTTCATGTTGGAAAACCAAATTAAATATCATGGGTTTTTTTTTTCTGCCCCACATTTGTTTTTAAGTGGGCAAATAAATATTTCTTAAATTCATGCACCTGCACTTTTCAATAAGAAAACGTCTTTTGGTTGCAGCTATTTGAGCAATTTCCCTTAGTACACCTATGAACTTTGGCACACATCACAGTTTCAATTAACTTATTTGTATGTAATTAATCTCCATACTCACATCAACAGAAATGAATCATTCCTCCTTATATTTTCTCAATTTGTACCACTTTTATTTTTCTTTTCAACCCACAGAATATCTTTATCTTAATGTTCCTAGGTACTGGGTAATAAACTTTTTCCAAACAAATAATAGAAGATAAAATTAAATCAAATTTGATTTTATTTTGTTTAACATGATCTGCTGATCACTTTCATCATGGCCTTTTTCACATCCTTGTTCCTCAGACTGTAGATCATGGGATTCAACATGGGGATCACTGTGGTATAGAACACAGCCACCATCTTCCCCTGCTCCACAGACTCCTCTGTGGGACGTCTGAGATACATGAAGATCAGAGTACCATAGAATATAATGACAGCTGTCAGATGGGACCCACATGTGGAAAAGGCCTTCTGCCTTCCTTCTGCTGAGCGCATTCGCAGAATGGCAATGAGGATGAATAAGTAAGAGATGATAATTACAGTCAGGGAATATGTGAAGTTAATGCCGGCAAGTATGATCATTGTATATTCTTTTACAAAGGTCCCAGCACAGGCCATTTTGATGAGAGGTGGATCTGCACAGTAGAAATGGTTGATCTCAATTTTTCCACAGAAGTACAAGCCGTAAGTCCATAATGTTGCTGCCAGACTCGTCAGAAAACCATAAATGTAAGGGAAAGTAATCAGTCGAATACAGACAACCCTTGACATTTTACTGCCATAAAGCAGAGGATTCCCAATTGCCATGTATCTATCAAAGGCCATCGCAGCAAGAATAAAAATTTCCACATGGACAAGAGCAATGAAGAAGAAACACTGTACTAAACAACCAGCATAAGTAATTGTTTTTTTATCTGATAACAGGTTTTCCAACATTTTAGGGGTGACATTGGAAGAAAACCACACATCAACAAATGACAAGTGACTGAGGAAAAAGTACATGGGGTTGTTAAGCTGAGGACTGACCTTGATTAACACCATCATGCCGATATTGCCCACCATGGTGATGATGTAGACCACAAGAAAGATGATGAAGAAGAGAACTTGCCATTCTCGACGGCTCGTTAGCCCCAAAAGAATGAACTCTGTCACATCGGTGAAATTGAGCATTTTCTGAATTCTAAGTCAATATCAGTTACAAAACTTTTTGATAACTAAAATAAAATAAAGGAAATATTAGAATATTTATTTATTAATTTATACCTTCAGATGCTCCCTTTATACAATATCTATTAGCACACTTTGCATTCTTTTCACAGATCTTTTCTCAGTGCCTGTTATGTAACAGGCTCTGTGATGAATAAATGTAGACAGTCCCTATTATATAACAATTATACAAAGTTTAGTGACTGAAATACACTGGTAGTAAGTAATGTGAGTAGTCATATTTCCAAGATTATTTCATTACTTCTTAAATATCCCTCATTTCCAATGATGGCATGTTTGGAGTTTTATATTTTAAAGATAATTACAATGGATTATAGTTATTTTCGTAATAGAACTTAAAAAGTGTACATTTTTACCTAATCTCTTTTTCATTGTAAGCATATTCTCAATGATTAGAGAAAAAAATCATATGATGAAATAATTCATCAGCCTAAAATGTTATAAAAATGTTTTTAATCTAATCTTATATTTGCATTATTTTCAACTGAAGAACAAAAAAAAGATGATAGTAGCCATCAAAGTCAAGTTAAAGGGTGAATTATTGGTCCATGTTCACACTATATAAACATTTCCTGGATATGGACTCCCAACTCTAACATGAAATTATAATCCACTAGATATCATATACTGCTGTGTTCTAGAGATTCAAAAATAGGTAAAACATACAGATTAATGTCAGTATTTATGAAGATACTAATGTAAACAAATACTTTTTAAAACTTGAATGTATTCTCATAGAGGTATAATAGGGACAGAAATTTAGGAAGTGATTTATTCTTCTTTGAGGGTTCAGTGGAATTCTAGGAAGGTTTCTTGTATATTTTGCAAATTTATTTTCAAATATAAGATGTATCATATAGGAAACTTCTTCTAGAAAATGCTTCTCAAATTATATTTCTAAGAAAACATTAGTGCTTGGCATGATCTTACTAGATATAATGGAGAATAATCCACAAATTTTTCTCCATCAAATGGGACATCTTTGTGTCCTGTCAAATCTCTTAGTGATTCACAATCTACCTAGTAAAGTTATTTACTGTACACATCATTCATTTAACATAGAAATTTACACTCACACGCACACACACCTCTATTTATGTATATACATATGTATATATATACACACACATATGTATATAAACATACATAAAGCTTATGTATATTTCTCTCATATATGTATGAGAAATTCCATTAATTGGATATTTTGTCAATGAGCATTCACATTCTGCAGAACAGAGTGCAAATCTATCTAATAAGAATCTTGAGATAGCCTTTCAGCAGGAAATACATTTGTTGGAGATGCGATTGTGTCAAACCTTCTAATGGCTATATGTTATCTCTAGAGCAAACAATTATTCCCAAGACCCTTCTTGTAATCTGCAATGTTAAACTGTATTCAATCACAATTTGATGAAATTTATCCATATTATTACTGGTTAGCAGTTACCCAGAAAATTAGCAGTCAGGAAGGTAAATCACAATGGATAGTGAAAATAAGTGAACATTTATCCATAGTAATAATCCAAAACTTTTCAACCACAAACTTGGAAAGAACATTTTTCTATGACTAGAGGAGAAAATTACTAATTGAAACAGATTGCATTCTACATGGCCCCAGAGGTTTGGTCTAATTAATAAAAATTTGAAGGATTAATTAGTGGGTACATTTTTAAAAATGAATAATAGTTAAAGTTCTAAAAACTGTGTATACTGCCTTAGAATATATTTATATATAGACTGTAAAATCTGTTACAGAGTTGTTAAAATCTCTAAGATCCTTAGATTTATATCCAAACGGAGATTACAGACATGTCAACAGATAACTCCAGATTTCTGGTTCAACAGTTTATGTCTGTGGCTGCCTGAAATGTTCTTGCTGGCAATAGAGGGATTCTTATTTGGAAAGTCATATCTCATTTTGTAGTGACGGGTGATTCAGCACAAACAAGGATGTAGAAGATGGCATTGTTAGTACTCCCCTCAAGCTAAATACCAAGAGCCCTGAGTGACGGTTATCCAGGTGATAAATAGCAATAGTAAAATTACAGGAAACTAGGGGTTAGATTTCATCCTAGGGGGTGCGAAGTGTACAAAGAAATAGAGATTAGGGGACCTCAAGAGTATTTAGAGAATTTCCTCACCACCTAAATTTAAAAATACACACATGACCTTCCCTTATTGAATTACTTTATTTCAAATTAAAATGCCCATAAATATGGATTCTTTTCCAGATCAGGTATGAAGCAATATTAAGTATCCTAGTTAAAGTGTTCTGTTTCTATCATCAGAGCTTGGTTGGATCCAGGCTCTATGATTTATTTTATAAAACTGGACATGTTTTATTCTTGTTTTGTTTTGCTTTTACTTTTTATGTTCCTCAGTAGGACTTAATGATAATATCCATTTCTTTGTGTGTTTGTGAATATGAAAAGATATATTAAGTATTAACACATAATAAATATGAAAACAATTATCAGATACACTCCATTATTCACTTGTAATTATCAAATAATATAATCCTATTGAAAATGTATCTCTCTTTTGTGTATCTCAACACATACATAACAGATAAAATCATGAATGCATTTCTATAAATCGTAAAAGAAAATAAAATCTCCAATGCAAGCTCCATCTGACAATTCCAGATAGATACATTTTTCACCAACCTGAGAATGATGAGAAATATTCCCAATGTGGTTGCAGAGTTGAAAAGCGCATGCTATATATGGGAATGGTAAACACTTTCAACCTGATGAAAGGGAAACTTGGAAAAGTCCACAGTGGAAGCCTCCCTTAACTGCTTGCCTTAGAAAGCAAGGAGCAATTAAGATTTATTTTATTTTTTCCCGTAGAAATGGCCCCATGGGAAATGAATCTCTAGAGAGAAAGCCAGCTGTTGAGTGTGTGGGTTTTTTTCATTAGAGTTTTCTACAATTTTATTTTTCCCCAAACTCCAGTTATTTCGAATGGGTTCTAGAATCAAGTAAAATGTCGGGGGCGATTTGTATCACACTAAACCTGTTTATGGGGTTACCCAAACTGTATATATCAAGTTCATGCTCTATACTTCACATTCTCTGCCGCTAGGTTTTGCAGGGAAGATAAGTCAAGTATTATTCCCTCTAATTAAAAATATAGCATATCAAAGCAGAAAAAATACATTTTCTTCAATTCCCTCATTTTATAAATAACAAAAATATTACTCCAAGTAGTAGTAATAATAATAGCAACAATAATGCATTTTTGAAGTAATACACACCAGATACTGTGCTAATTTATTGTAACTCAACCCTGAGGCAATTATTATTATTCTCATTTTATAGACCAGAAACTGAGTCTTTCAGAGGTTCAGTGATTTGGTCAATGTCACACTTTCAATGAACCAGACTCCTGATTCCAGAATTTGTACCATTAACCATCTCATCCTTTTGTCCAACAAGTAACCATTACAGGAAAAGAGACCAAATTTCTTATTTCCTAATCCTAAAAGACTCTCATTTTCGTTACATGACTGGTGTACATGATGCATTCTATTATGGTCTTTGTGGACTTAAGGGAACACAAATCTGTTTTTTGTATAGCAAAAAATTGTGGATTGCTTCAGTGTCATGTGCACTTGTCACTTTACTTGGGTGCCTGAAAATTTTCTCCCACAGCTCAAACTTGTTCCCTCTTCTGGCCTCCCCACTGCACTGCATTAACACCAGCCATGTTTACATTCCCACAAAAAAAATGTTGATTCTCACTTATGAAGTATTGGAGAAAATTGCTGGTTTCTCTACACATACATTTTTACTTCTCCATGGTAATATAATTTTGATAAAAGGGCCATTGACTGAATTGCCCCAGCCCTGCCCCAGTATTTATAACAGTATTTGGCACATGGTAGGTGTTCACAAAATATTTGTTAACTGACGAAAATGGTTAAAGTGATTGAGTTTTCAATAGATGACTAAATAGATAGGAGAGGTACACATCTAAGTATTCCTAAGTAATTCTCAGAATAATGTTGAGATGTTTCAGACACAAAATGAAGTTGTAGTTTAACGTTGAAGAACCTTGGTTAAGACTGTGAAAGTTAGAGGTCTGAGTGCATCTAGAGAGAATAATTGTTGGCATAAGAGAATAATTGTGCTATCTATTGCCAAGAGTTTACTATCCACAGAGGTCACGGGCCTCACATTATAAAGGGTAACCTGCAGTTCTCTGAACACAGACTGCTTTTCAGTTGCAAATTAAATAATTTTGATCTGTAGTAATATTGTGTTAGGTTTAATTTTTAAGGTCAGTCTCTACAAGATATTAAATAGCCTCATGTGGTTTCTCTGGGTTTTATGATGTAAATACGCTTATCAGTGACTGATAAGCTGGGGAAAGTCAACATTTTTTACATACACATTACATGCACACAGAAATATAGATAAGACTCATTCCATATAGAAAGAAAGTAAGCTTGCCTTATTCCAGTCCTAATTAAAGTCCTCTCCAAGATAGAAAGAAGGTAACTTAACTCAAGGGTTGCTTACTTGAATCATGCAAATGTTGTCTTCTCTTAAACACTTCCTGGAGGCTCCCATGTAAAATTAATAATCTCTACTCCTGCATTTTGACAGCCCTTAGCTCATATTGCTCATATTGTAGCTACCACATTTTATTACAGTTCATTTTAAGTGCATGTTTCATAATGCTAGACTATGAATAGCTTGAAACCAGACACAGTGTCTTAAACATTATTGCATTTTTGATGATTACATAATATTAAGTATTTTGCTAGATACTGTAGAAAGTCCAGTAAGGTGCATAATATTTCCCATCCTACTTGCTTACCTTGGGACTTACCCCTCACACACCCAGAGATATACACAGACCACACTGACCCACCAAACTCATCCCATGCCTCTAGCACGTACTCCAAGATGCAGCATCTTGTCTCAGGGTCCAGGGCAACTCAGACATTTTTAATTTATTAATTTTAATGATATATACATTTATAAGGTTTTGTGGTTTGACATTTGTAGGATTTTATCTGCAAAATATTTTAGAAATTTGAGATTATATTGTATATCACTAAAATTAAACAATGATATTAATAAATTAATTGAGGTCTCATGTTTTCCTAAATTGTTAAAACCAAGCTGCACCCTGACCACCTTGAACACAAGTTCTCAAGTCCTCCTGAGGGCTGTGTCACAGGCCACAGTCATTCATAATTGGCTCAGAATAAATTGTTTCAAATATTTTACGGTGTTTGACTCTTTTTGCCTTCCTGATTGAATCACTTCTTAATGGTCATACCTCTTAACACCATCACAATGAAAATTAAATTTCAACATGAGATTTGGAGTCAACATTGAAACCATAGCACACAGCCACGTGAAGATGGAGGCAGAGATTGTTATTATGTTGCCACAAGCCAAGAAATGCCTGGGGTTACCAGAAGCAAAAAGAAGAAACAAGATTCTCCTCTAGAGTTCAGAAAGGAGGATGGTCTTGTGGAAACCCTGATTTGGGGTTTCTAGCTCCAGATCTGTGCAAGAACACATTGTTGTTATCTTAAGCCATTCAGTGTTTACTTTGTTATGGCAGCTGAAGAAAACTAATACTTTACTCTTCAATTTGGAACTGTCATTTACATGAGCCTTTATTAGTCTCTTTGTCTAAAAAGCCCAGGAAGGTGGGCAGTTTTTCCTTCTCCTCTGGGACATCTTCAAACTGATCCAACCTTTCTAAGCCTCAGTAGCTCATTTTAAAATTAAACATTTTTGTAAATTTTGATTGGTCTCTGCCTACTTCTCATACCATCAGGTAGCAGTATCAGTCAGGGAATATATTTTTGTTTGTTCTCCAAGAATATCACACAATATCAACCACATGATAGACATTAAACATGTGAATGGATAAATGAAAAAAATACATTTATTATATTATAGTTGAAGAGTTAAGTAGATCTGGGATTATGTTGCTTTATAATCAACCCAACATAAAGTTTTGTTCCTGGACTCTGACAGCACCACACTTATCACTTGGTTCTAGGCTACTCCTTCCTACCCCCACTCTATTGTAAGTTATTGAAATCCTCAAATTTTCAAATAGTCTTTGAAGTATGAAGAAGTATGGCCTTCTACCTCAAATAATCCTGACTTTCAAATTTGCATATGAAATTGACATCTTTTCAAAGGACGTGATGATCATGTCCTCTTAATTTTTCCCTAATTTTATTAATGTTTTATTGTTTTATTTTGGGGATGGGGTCTCTCTGTTTCCCAGGCGGAAGTGCAGAGGCACAATACAGGTTCACTGTGGCCTCAATCTCTCAGTCTCAAGGAATTCTCCCACCCCAGCCTCCCAAGTAGCTGCAACTACAGACATGTGCCATCACTCCTGACTAGTTTTGTTGCATTTGTTTGTTTGTTTTTGTGCAGACAATATCTCACTATATTGCACAGGCTGATCTCAAACTCCTGGATTCAGTGATCCTCCTGCCTCTACCTCCCAAAGTGCTGGGATTATAGGCATGAGCCACCCTGCCTGGCAATTTTTTTTTCCAATTTTATACTCTATTTTTTCTTCAAATAACATAGAGCATTTTGGAGCTATCTTGCAAAACTGGATCACAGATTTGCCATCAGTGTCTGAAGTGGCTAAGGAATGGGAGGTAAAGCAGTGTTGTGGGGCTGAGCCTGTGTGATCTGAGGCAAGTGCCAGGTAGATAGTGTCAGAACTGAATTGAATTGTAGGAAAAGTTGATATCCACAGAGAATTGGAGAATTTAACACACACACACACACACACACATAAAAGTGTGTGTGAGTGTGTTGAAGGTAAAACAGTTTAATTTTCTTTCAGTTATTTGTGATCATGGAACATTAACATTGACTCAATAGAATTATGGTCTAGAACACAAGACGGTGTGGGCCATCTATCAGTTAATAAGATTTTAATAAATGCTCACAGGTCTCTGAAGATCATATTCCCTTTTCTCCTAAGCATAAAAATTACCACGATAAATTGTACCTCTACTGGCAAAATTATTTTAAATCCAAAGATGTCTTTATTGAACTAATGGTTAGATATTATTGGTTAATAGCAATATAACAAAATGATGATAGTCATTGTATTTATATTACTGCCTTATCCATTCCTTTAACTTTTAAAGCAGGGTTAGATGTGAGAAGAAACACCATCAGGCTTGGTCAGTACTTAGCATCTTTGGCACATCTTTGCTAGGTATTGCTTCTCTTGCTATGCAGTAATTCAGCTTGTGACCCCTAACAGTTTTGTGTCTGTTTCCAATTTTTAGATGGTTGGATAATGTGCTTTCATTAGCAACACAGAAGGAGAGTTCTAGGTCCTCAAATCATCCATGAGGGTGAGAAGAATCTTTAGATGGCTGGGTAAACAGCCAAGTAATCTGATTCCAACTCTTTCCTGATACTTGGATTTTATTTTATTTTATTTTATTTTTTCAGAGACAGGGTCTTGCTCTGTTGCTCAGGCTGAAGTGAGTGGCTGAGTGGCATAGTCACACCTCATTCCAACCTCGAACTCCTGAGCTCAAATGATCCTTCCACCTTAGCCTCCTAAAGTGCTGGGATTACAGGCATGAGCCACTGTGCCTGGCTGGATTGGAATTTTTTGACACCATGGCTTCACACTTATGAGAAATTTCCTTATGACAATGGTCCATGAAGACCACAAGTCCCCTCTTCTGACACAGATTATAATGGTGTATTTGCCTTTGCTGCTAAGACATTTTAAGATGGCCAGGTATGGTGGCTCATGCCTGTAATCCCAACCACTTTTTGAGGCAGAAGCAGTCAGATTGCTTGAGCTCTGAAGTTCAAGAGCAGCCTGGGCAATGTGTTGAAATCCTGCCTCTACCAAAAATACACAAAAATTTGCCAGGTGTGGTGGCATGCTCCTGTGGTCTCAGCTACTTGGGAGGCTGAGGGGGAAGGATTGCTTGAGCCCGGCAGGTGGAGGCTGCAGTGAGCCGAGATCGCATCACTGCACTCCAGCCTGGGTGACAGAGGGAGACCCCACCCATCTCAAAAAAAAAAAAGACATTGTAAGATATAATGTTGATCAATGGAGAAACTAAATAAGAAAATTTTAGCATACACTTGCTGATTGTTGATTTAACGTCAGCAGTGTTGACCCTTCTCTAACAACCTCTAAAGATTAAGGAATATTGTAATTTGGCTGAGGCCATATTAGAATCCTTCACAGTATGATGATAAGTGAAATGGAAGGAAAGTAAGAATATAGTAATTTACTTGCACTGGGGTGAGTCTCCCTGCTCATGTTGATATTTAAATACAACTAAACCTAAACATCATGATTTACAAAATAACTTTAGTGGAATGACGGTTATCAAAACAAAATAAAGCAAAAAATCAGTTTGGTTTAAACCACTATATTTTGCAAGAAGTGACACTTGCTGTTACAAGCAGGAATGAGAAAATTGCCTAAATGGCATCTATTTTTGGGTGGGGGGACAGCATCTTGCTCTGTTGCTAGGCTGGAGTGCAGTGGCACTATCTCGACTCACTGCAAGCTCCGCCTCCTGGGTTCAAGTGATTCTCCTGCGTCAGCCTCCCAAGTAGCCGGGATTACAGGCAACCACCACCATACCTGGCTAATTTTTGTATTTTTATTATGTTGACTAGGATGGTCTCGATCTCTTGACCTCGTGGTCCACCCACCTCAGTTTCCCAAAGTGCTGGGAATTGCAGGCGTGAGCCACCGTGCAAGCCTAAATGGAATCTTCTACTCTTCCCGTTTCAACCCGCTAGTTTCAGGAAGCTTAACTCAGTCAGCTACCTAACAGAAAATTAGAAATGAATTGTGCAAATGTAGCCTAAAATGTGACATCTAACCCAATGATATTATATCTCATTACTTCACAAATTTTTAATGATAGCTTAGCATTTTTATTTTCCCAATGTTTGTTTTCCTATTGCTTTTTTCAACGCCTCTTTCACATCCTTGTTCCTGAGGCCATAGATCATGGAGTTCAGCATGAGTATCACTGTGGTGTAAAACACAGCCACCATTTTCCCCTGCTCCACGGACTCGTCTGTGGGACGTCTCAAATGCATGCAGAAGAGGGTTCCATAGAAGATTGTGACAACTGTCAGGTGGGAACCACATGTGGAAAAAGCTTTTTTCCTTCCCTCTGCAGAATGGCTTCTGAGGATAGCGACAAGGATGAACATGTAGGATGTGAGAATGATCAGAAGAGACTGGACGTTGCTGTAGCCGGCTACTATGTACATGGACAGCTCCTTGCTGTACGTGTCAGAGCATGCCAGTTTGATAAGAGGAGGATCAGCACAGTAGAAATGGTTGATTTCATTTGTTCCACAGAAGGAGAGGTTGTAGGTCCTTAAGGTTTCCATCACACTGAGAAGAAAGCCATAGACATAAGGGACAATGACCAGGTGGACACAAACACCTTGGGACATTTTGCTACTGTAGAGCAATGGATTACAGATGGCCATATAGCGGTCATATGCCATGACTGCCAACATGCAGTGCTCTGCAAGGACCACAGCAATGACAACATAGCACTGCATCAAACAACCTGCATAGGAAATGGTCTTCTTCTCTGATAAGAAATTTTCTAGCATTTTGGGAGTGAAATTTGTGGAGAAACACAGATCTAGAATGGACAAACTGGAGAGAAAAAATTACATGGGAGTGTGAAGTCGAGAATCAACTTTGATTAAAATAATCATCCCCAAGTTTCCTACCACAGTGGCTATGTAGACAAAAAGGAACAGTGCCAAGAAAGCAACTCGCAGCTCTGGACGGCTTGTTAGACCCAAGAGAACAAATTCTGTCAGTTCAGTATAGTTTCTTCTGGACATTTCTTCATCTCATATGAGACGCATTGGTCTGAATATCTAAGGAGAAAGAGAAACTTTTTAAAAATCACTAAAACCCTAGTTAAATATCATGCTTTGTATAAAAAGAGCCAAAAGGCTTTAGTTATGTTATCTCAGTAGCAGTTCTGTAACTGAAGATGAACAGTTATACTATGAAGCAAGTCTAAACATTTGCAACAAGTGGTTTCCACTGAGGCTGAATTTGTAATCACAGTGTGCAATTAAGTTGGAGGCTTAATGCAAAATTATAAACGAAAGTATCCTTATGCTGTGGGAAATTTCTTTTAAAAATCTAGATAACTTATATGTTAAAGATTAAATTGTAATAGAGATTTTGAAATGCTTAGAACTTCTAATGACATGCTTACATATACATACAAAGCTACATGGAGAGGTAGAAAGGACTTTGAGGATAATGCAGGCAAAGCTCTTCATTCTGAAGACTGAGAGACTGAATCCTAGAGAGATGAAGTGACTAATCCCACTGAGATGCTTATCTCATACATCCCCATTCGGTGATCTGCTAATATACTATATATCTCACCGAGTTCAACTTACTGTCTCGGTGTATTTTTATATTTTGTTGTTTTTAGTAGTAGTGCTTTTCATTGTGATATGTATATTGGTTCTTTGTTTATAAGTTAGTTTTTGGGAACTTATGTAAATAAAGCCTTTCGTTTGAGTCTTAAACATTGATATCACGTGTTTATAAGCATTTTTTCCAATTTGCACATCCCAATTTAGCCTGTCTGTCTGTTGGGTTAAACAAGTGTATTTATGCTCCTTCATCAATATCTCAATTCTATATGAAATTTCATATGTATTATCTTTGAGGTATCAATCTATGTTTTAATTTGTTCCTATATTTTAATTTCTTGCTATTTTACAACATTCATGCTGCATAGAACCAACATTATAGTCCCCTGCTTGGCTCACATGCTCTTTTATATCTCTGTATAAAGAAGTCCTATATCAAAGAATTTCCTATTCCTCCATTATGTTAACCCTGATGTGTAGTTTAGCCATTAGGATAAAAGGAATTAACTCAATCACCCTAAGATGATTAAAAAAATGTTTTCAGGTTCTCAATCTATACTTACTCCCTGCTAATATACCCAGAATAAATTATGTGATCACTTTGATGCCATTGCCACACAACATTAAAAAGCCTTAAAAATGGGCTGGATGTGGTGGCTTATGCCTATAATCCCAGCATTTTGGGAGGCCAAGACGGGTTGATCACTTCTGGTCATGAGTTCGAGACCAGCCTGGCCAACATGGTGAAACCCTGTCTCTACTAAAAATAAAACAAATCAGCCAGGTATGGAGGTGTGCACCTGTAACCCCAGCTACTCAGGAGACTGAGGCAGGAGAATCACTTGAACACAGGAGGCAGAGGTTGTAGTGCACTGAGATCATGCCACTGCACTCCAGCCTGGGTGGCAAAGAGAGGCGAGAGTTCGTCTCAGAAACAAAGAAAGGAAGGAAGGAAGGAAGGAAGGAAGGAAGGAAGGAAGAAAGAAAGAAAGAAAGAAAAAGAAAGAAGAAAGAAAGAAAGGAAAGGAAAGGAAAGAAAGGAAAGGAAAGGAAAGGAAAGAAAAGAGAGAGAAAGAAAGAACTAAAAATGGAGAGAGATTCTTTGTTCACTAAGGGAAGGATTCAATAGCATAAAAAGGTCAGTCTTTCCTAAGTGACCCATAGAGTCAAATAAATTCCAATCAAAATTCAAACACAATTCTTGTGGAATAGCTGATTCTAATATTTATACGGAAGTATAAAATAACCGTAAGACTCAATATCTCTCAGGGCAATAAGCAGAGTTACTTATTAGATATCAAGATTTGCTGTAAAACCAGTATTCAGGACAGTGTGTTATTGACATGAAATTGGAAAAAAATATACACTTTAACTAATGTTCCAGAATAGAAAGTCCAGGAACAGCTACATGTATATAGGTGATGTGGCATATAACAAAGATGACATTTCAGATCAGGGTTGGAAAGAGGGACTATTTTAGTATTTACTATTGGCTTAATGGATTATAGATTATTTAAATGGGAAAATTATTAAATTGTGCATTTACTTTAAACAATGCACAGAAATTACTTATAATTCTAGGGAGTGGTTTAATGTGTATTCATTATATTTTGTAGCTTACAATTTATATAGACATTATGCATTTACTGAATTTATCACAAATTATCTTAAATATATAAAATATCAAATTAAGTTAAAATATCATATGTGTTAATCTGTCTCCAAATTTTGGTTAAAAACAATTTCAGTATACTAACAATTGCGTAAAATGAAATTTACATCTAATTTTTTTCCATGGGGCAATTCAGACATGAGCAAATGTCATTAGTGGAGAACTTGTCAGAAGCTGATAAAACTTATCTCTTCTGAGCAGTCTCAGGAAGTCAATACGAGTAGCACTTTATTTTTCACCTAATCTAAGAATATCAGACACATATTTTCTATTAAATTGTATGAGATCTTACAACAATTGCTAAACTCTTATTAAAGTGAAATTTTATAGTTAAAAAAACACTAATTTACTTTGTAATATGTTGTCAGCCATGCATTTGTGTATGCATGCGTGCTTATAGCAGATAATTATTGAGCATTTTTCAAGTTCCAGACATGGTGCTGGATGCTAGAAATAGAGCAGTGGACAATATAGTAGAAATAAATTTAGTTAGGTGAGTAACCAGGCTCAGAAAATTTGACATTCTGGTCCCAGCTTACAACTCATAAGCAGAAGAATCAGAAGACAAATCATATATTATAATTCTCAGAACGGTGCTCTCCTTCTGTAATATTTTACTTTCCCAGAAAGGTCTATCTCTTCCTTTGGTTCCATTGACTGGTTGGGTAATGACAGAAATTGTTTCCAAAATGTTAAAATTCAATTTATCTAATATTATTGCCTCCTTATCCTGTCCCAGGAAACAAATATGAATAAATGAGGACTTTGAGTTAGAGTTGTCTTTGAGTTACAGATGATAGTGACAAGCACTCTAACAAAGATAAGAGATGGATGAGGAAGAAGAAAGCGAGCCAGCCGAGGTATCAGTGCCGAAACTGTAAAGAATATGAAAAATCTGGGCCAAGAATCTAGAATAATGCCTATGAATTGTAACTTAATTGGCAAGAAGGAAGGCACAAGGGCTTCTTTTAACTCTCTGGTGGTGAGCAACTTCTTCAATCCAGGGTCTTGGTTTTAGTCCTGACTTAGTCTCTAAGGAGCTTTGCAAATTTGCTCAGGTTTCACTGGTCATCTGGACATGCACTTTTAGTGGAGACCATTATCGTTAACCATATTTTAATTCTAGCATTGCGGGACAATGGCAATCAGAGACAGCTAATATACAGATATAGAGCCCATGAGAAATCTGTCCACTGCTGCTGAGAGGCAAGAAACACTCAAAACAAACATTCAAATGCAGTCAATAACTTTGATGATGATGAATTTGATAATGACCCGAGAATGATTCTGTGACTACTTGTGCAGCCTAGAAAAATAGGTATGAGAATTTCATTCATCAACTTACTGTTTAAGGTCCTTGACACAAGTTAGTTATTTGATTAGAATCAGACTGATTTGATTATAATCAGACTGATTTGATTATAATCAGGCTGATTTATGTTTCAAGTATTTTGTTGAAAAAAGTAAAATAATATTCTGAAAACTAAAGTCTCACTGAGGCACAAGTATTGCTTGTAAAAAAACTAGGTCTCTAGACAAAAATAGGGCATTGGAAAAGAACCCAGAATCTTATAAAATAAGAGAACCCAAGAGAACTTAAGATCTACTCACCCAAGTTCGTTAGCTCCACATACTGAAGCTAATGGACCACTTTCACACATGTTTAATGGTCACAATAAAAAGCCTGTTTGAGCATTTATTTTACTTAGACGTCAGAAAAATTTTATGTGATTAATTAAGCTATGTAGACTTAAATTATTTTCAACTTGCCTTTTTCTTGTGGCGATTGGTGACAGTAGGCACCAAGACATTAGGCAAATGGAAAACACAAAAATAATATTACTTGAAACTAATAACAGTGAAAACATCTGCTGAAATAGCCATACTATGAAATTCCACCAGGATGTTTCAATAACACTGGTAATATCAAAAAAGTGAAAGATGAAGCTAAGTAAGCTCCCTACAGATTTTCTTTCATGGAAAATGCATTGTCTGTGCAAATTTGCCTCAAAACTACCTATTTAAACACATTGCTGTCTAAAATGTACACAATTTAACAAAGTGAATACAGACATTATTAGATACTGAAAAATAATATGCAAAAACATTTCCTTTCTTACCTGTGAAAATAAGGGTGTCTTTTTCATGACACCAAAGGTCAAATTCTGGCCAGTGCTGGAAGATATATACCCACATCACTGGCATCAGCATATATCTCAGGAGAATCCCCAAATGTGTAAGAAGAGGTAATTAGAAGTGAAATCACAGTGGAGAACATTCTCAAGGGAAATACTAATTGGTTGTACTATTTTATCTTGAATCAAGATGTTAGAAAAAAATCTATATTTTATACTTCAGTAGAGCTCAAAGCAATCACCTGTTATCCAACGAGGGTAGCACTTTATACAATACTGAAAAACAAATTTAAAATAGTCTGAGGACACTTAACTTCTCATGAAACCTGAATTCAGGTAATTGTCCTTCCCATCTCAAGAGCACTACCATATTTCCTCCATTGTTTGTCCTTTATCAAGTTCACACAAGAATATGTACTAAGTACAAACTTCAATACTATTTAATCTGAATAATAAAAATATTTTTAAAGGATTTCTTCAACAAAGGGATTTGCATTTTGATGGGATGCCTAAGATATGTAAACAAATAATACTAGGTACAAATAATTTCTGGAAAAAACATGAAATGTTTTAGAAACAGATAGATGAAACAATACAACAGGAAGAGACTGATGAAGAAACAATGAAACAGGTAGAAGAGACTGGTGACTGCCAATGATGAAAGTGACTGACAGGGACAATAATCATATGTTAAATAAATGAATAACTAACATATTTAACTTATTGTTTTGATCATGTTTCCCATGTTAAAAAACTTTCATGAAATTGAGTCCACACTGGAACTCAGCATACTTGCCTCAAAATGCAATTGAGGAAAATGTATATTAAAAATAATATTTGATATTCACAATAACTCCATGAAATGGGGTTTTGCATTTGAATAAACTGATATGGAGAGGGAACTTCTCTAAGTTTACCCAGCTAACAAAATAGTAATAAAACTAGGATTCAGGCTCAGTTCTGAATAATTACAAAGCCAAATATTTTTCCACAACTGTATTCTGTTTCAACTTGAAGAGAATGTTTTATCATCAGCTTATCACATGGCATAAATCTTAGGACGGTTGGCTATGAAAAAGTGATGCACAAGAATGTACTTTTTCAAGGATTGGATATTTCGTTGTCTCAATATATACCTGTTGTCTGATTCCCACCAAACCTCTTTTCTGTCTGAGCAACAATGAGGTCCCTTTTGTTTCCTGCACCTTAAATCATGACTCAGCCCTTCCCTTGCCTCTGTCCCAGACAGCCTAGTGTAATTCTGTTCATTTTAAAATAATTTTATTACACAGTGGTTGATTTTTCCATTATAACCTTGCTATAAAGATCAAAACTAACATTTATAAAGGTGATAAAAATTGTCAGTTGTTTCCCAAATGCTATGGATAATTATGATTGCATATCAAGGAAAATACACTGCTACAAAGATTTATTCCTCACAAATATTTCCCTTAACATCTTTTACTGTAGTTCAGCATTTATTGTTATCTGTCTCTCTGCTATGAAGAATAGGATGTAGTATGTGATCTTTCCTGTCTGCTGCCAATGAAATTACTTTCTCCAATTCTTGCTCAGTTATGATTCACGTTGCTGGGCTTTCAGTGGGCCATTTATGATAAAGAACTTGAACATGGTTTTCTTAAACTAAATGATCTATTGTTCTGCCTTGAATATATGTTAGGATGGGAGAAGCGAGTATCATGGAGAGAAATCTGTAATTGGCCATAATTACAGACAAAGGTAGAAAGTGGAAGGGATTGTTCTCACAGTTTCAAAAAAAAAATGGGCATCCTCCCTTTATAGAACACTATCTTAAGGTGGTAAAAATATAAAAACAAAAAGATGTGGTCCTTTCCTTTGAGAACTTGCTAAAATAGTGGAAGGAACAGATTTACATGCATATAATTATAGAACCATGTTATGAATGCAATAATATAATTGTGAATCTGTGGGTGAATCATCATGTGGTACCTAATGAGAAATACAAATAAAATCCTAACCCCTGAATCAATTGAACAGACTGCCTCTTGGTCAAGGAAACCTCAGAAAAACTTTAAAATCTGAGTTCCTGCCATGACAGATGGGAGATCAGACATGCCTCGTTATCTCCCCTCCCTTGCTAAACACCATTAGGCTTCCTACAATAAGGGTTAAACAGAAACCTGCCCTTGTGAGACTCGCACCACCACTGATATCTGCAAACCACCTGACACTGGACTTCTCTTTTTGCGGTTTCAACACAGCAATTGACCAGCATTCCTTCTTGATAAGAGACCACCAATAACCTAGTGGCTCTTGCCAGTCAACAGAGGCTGTGCACAGAGGGTCTTGGTGTCTTCTGATTCACCTTTTGGTGCATAGAGTCTAATCATGACACATTTAAATGTTAAGTCCCCACTCCAAAGGGAACATGGGATGCATGTTGCTTATATTAGCCTACTATTCATGCCTGTGCCTCTTCTTTGTGAATATTCATAGTTTTTTCTATAGCCTGTTGAATATGTATTATCATATATGTGTAATATATTTGGTCATCCCATTCAGCATAAATCCCTGTCTTACTCTTCATACTGTCGAAGTGTCTCTTTCCAACTTCTAGCTGGAGGATATGCTTCACAGCCTGTCAGAACGGTCACCCTACAGGCTACAACCCTTTATGAGAAAGTCCACCTTTCTAAATTTATGAATCTCATCATTCCTCAGTTGACACTACACATCCTGAATGTGTTAAAGAAACCTTGCAGGAAGAGATAATTCTTCAGCTAAGTCTATTTTCTTGAGATAGAATTTCACTCTTGTTGCCCAGGCTGGAGGGCAACAGTGCGGTCTCGGCTCACTGCAACCTCTGTCTCCTGGGTCCAAGCAATGCTCCTGCCTCAGCCTCCCAAATAGCTGGGATTACAGGTGTCCACCAGCATGCTCAGCTAATTTTTGTATTTTTAGTAGAAACAGGGTTTTACCATGTTGGCCAGGCTAGTGGCGAACTCCTGACCTCTGGTGATTCACCCACCTCAGCCTCCCAAAGTGCTGGGATTACAAACATGAGCCACTGCACCCAGCTCTTCAGCTAAGGCTGAAATGGTAAGGGTAAAGGAAAGTGTAGAAGGGAACCTGGGGCTGAATCGTAGTATAGAGCCCCATTGATATAAGTTACTCCATCTTAGAAAATGACTTCATCTTACATTTTTAAAGGCATCATGCCAACAAGGGCCAGATGTTTTGCCTAATCAAGAAAGACTGCATCCAACCAGATAAGGACATAACAAAGTCACTCTTCCACTATCAGTTCTTACTAGAGGACTCTGTGTCCATAAAAGAGCAGGATTTCAGCAGCTTGAAACAGCCACCTTAAAAGACACCATCTTGTTATCACTTGAGATAAGCATCTTGCATTTGCCACTGAAGGCTTTGCCCACAACGAAAACTCTTCTTTACAAGGTTATTGATGGACCACCAGGGCCTGAGTAGGCTATTCTTTTTGTTCATGTCACTCTCAGTGGACTGGTTCCTTAACCCATTTCCAGTCCCTTTATTCTTGATGATAAATGTTACTTTGTTTGCTGTACAATGTGTAATCTATTACATTTATAGACTGATTAAATATACTGTAATTCATGGACTGCAATACTGACTGACTTGTTGAATGACTTGAGCCTGTTTGCCCATGGCTCTGACTACTGAGTGAACAGGAAGTTTTAAGGAGAATTGCCTCCTCGGGAACCCCATGTAGCTCATGGATTTTATGATTGAAATAGCATCAAGAAAATTCTGACATTGCAGAAAAATACAAACATGCATGGACCTAGTTATCTCTGACCTTGTGCCACTCATGATAACAGCAGAAAAGTTCATTAACTGTTCCATAAAACTCTCTTTAAGACTTTTTTCTGTCTTATTTTTGTTGAATCTCCAGTTTGTTGCATATTGTCATGTAATCAAGTTGAATGAATGAAATGCCTTAAACCAATGATTGGAATCATTATCTTCAAATAACAGCTCTGCAAACAGAGCAGAATCCAATGGGAGGACAGAGAACGTCTGAGAAAAAAATATGGAAACTATAGATCATCTATTGTGTTTGACCCTATAAAGGTGCTTTACAGTTTAGTGACAGTTTGGGGAAAAGTAGCTACTATACAAAAAGAAGAGCAAAACTGGAGGCCATTGTCAACTTTATGAAAATCCAGTAACTGTGCAAGAAGAGAATTACAATCATAGTAGTATTCATATTATTAATAATTAATACTAGTGTTAGTGATGCTCAAAGTATTATAGTATACTTCAGGTATTATTAATGATACATTCATAGTAATTTTAACAGTAGATACTGATTAAGCCAAAAATTCAAATGTGATCCTACTGTGACAATGAAGAGAAAGAAGTGATCATTGTAGGGTAAGAATGAAGTGATTGGTGAAAGAATGATGGCACCTTATCTTTAATAAACAGATGTCAATAAATTATGTGCATATTTGAAAAATCAGTACAGAGGAATACAAGCATATAATTTAAAATGGGTTAATTTCCAAAGGAAATAACAAGAAAGTATTATCTATGGGGAGTTAGTGGTAAGGTAGAAGTGAGACAGGAGTTTATATATGGCTTGTAATATTATTTGACATTTAAAACTACATACATTAATCATGAGTAGGTTCAAATGGTAATTATAATAAATAATTTTAACTGAACACACATGTGTATGTAAAAGCATTAAAAATGACTACAAGAACACAAAACAAAATCTCAAATGTGATTTCTTCAAGGTTTGTGATGTTCTCATTCTATGTTATATAATTCAGCCTGTGTGAATTTGTATAATTAATATGGCATCAATCAGAATAGGCTATTTTGTGCTAGGGAAACAAGCAAACTCCACATATCATAGTAGCTTATGAAAACGTTATTTATCAGCCGTTTTGTATTGCCATTGTGAGTCGGATGAGAACAGTGTTCCATGTCTCCTGACTGGGCAGCCACTATATTAAGTCTTGCTGGTCACCATGGAAAAAATAAAAACAACAGATCCACTCAAAAATGTTCTAACAATCAATTAAGTATTCAACTGAGAAGTGACATATGTGAATTTTAATCTCATCTTCCAGAAATAGCCACATGATCTTACCTAAACCTAAGGGCATGGAGGTACAAAGCCATTCTGTGCACGGAAGACAAAGAACTTAAAATAACTGCTGAACAAGATGAATGACAACTTAAAACATAAAAGCTTTTGTGAACAAAATTGTACGTATTTGAATTTTAGAAAATAAAGTTTTTAGACTGGGCGCGGTGTTTCATGCGTGTAATCCCAGCACTTTGGGAGGCCGAGCCTGGCCAGCATGGTGAAACCCTGTCTCTACTAAAATACAAAAAATGAGTCGGGCATGGTGGTGTGCGCTTGTGTTCCCAGCTACTCGGGAGGCTGAGGCAGGAGAATTGCTTGAACCCGGGAGGCAAAGGTTGCAGTGAGCCGAGATCACACCACTGCACTCCAGCCTAAGACAGAGAGAAACTCCATCTCAAAATATAATAATAAAATAAAAATAAATAAAGTTTTGAAAACTGCAATGTTCTCCATTGATGCACTATATTTCTCAGCTAAAGAAAAAAGTCTAGGAAGGGCTTTAGAAACCAAAAGAATACTGATTTTTAAGAAAAGTATATCTTCATTGACAGCTCTTTGATTAATGCTTCTTTTACATTTTTATTTCTAAGGCTATAAATTATAAGGTTCAGCATAGGGATTACTGTGGTATAAAATACAGCTACCATTTTACCCTGTTCAACAGATTCCTTTGAGGGGGGTCTGAGATACATGAAGAAAAGGGTTGCATAGAATATAGTGACAGCTGTCAGATGGGAGCCACAGGTAGAAAAAGCTTTTTGCCTGCCCTCTGTAGAGCGAATCTTTAAAATAGCAGGGAAAATGTAAAGGTAGGAAATACATATGATGAAGAGAGAAAAAGAAAGGTTCCAGCCAGCCACAATAAACATTGACAACTCCTTGTTGTAGGTGTCAGAACAAGCCAGCTTAATCAGTGGTGGGTCCGCACAGTAGAAGTGATTAATTTCATTGGGGCCACAGAAGGCTAGGTTGTAGGTCCACATGGTCTCCATCAGGCCAGTGAGCGCTCCATACACATAAGGCACCGTGATGAGGAAGGAGCACACACTCTTGGACATTCTGCTGCCATAAAGCAGAGGGTTGCAGATGGCCATGTACCGGTCAAAGGCCATCACAGCCAGGATGTAGATCTCAACATGGACCAAGGCGATAAAAAGGTAACACTGCACAAGACAGGCAGGATAGGAAATGCTTTTCTTCTCTGAAAGGAAAATCTCCAGCATCTTTGGAGTCACATTGGAAGAGAAGCACAGATCCACGAAGGATAAGTGGCTCAGGAAAAAGTACATGGGCATGTGGAGCCAGGCGTTGGCCTGGATGAGGACAATCATGCCAAGGTTCCCTGCCACCGTGACCATGTAAATGGCCAGAAACAGCGTGAAGAGGAGAATTTGTAATTCCCGGCGACTGGTCAGTCCCAGGAGAATGAACTCAGTCACCAACGTGCAGTTTCTTCTCATAATTTCCTTCGGTGGAAGAAAGGAACTTTACATATATATTGGATTACAATACAATAGCAACATGATTATTACTATTACAGTAATGATCTTTTACCAAAAACGTCCCCTCTTTTTGGCAGTTTTCCTCATTCTATTTCTACTGAACTTTGTTTCAGGTAAACTAAATTAGGGATATTCAAAGCAGCTCTCTACCTTTTATGATACTGCCCTTTATTTTTCTTGTTTTCTTTCCATTTTCTTTCTTTTCACTCCCTTCAAATTCAGCTTCTGTTTTTCTATTCTTCTTCTCTCGTTTCTCCTCCCCTTATTCTGCCTCTCCTTTTATTTGAGAAATGTACTTTATAGGTGGACTTGCCCCAAAACATAACATTCAGAACTAAGCAATTTCTTTTTTCCCGATTATAATACTGGGCAGAGAATGCGCGTAAAGAGAGAAAAGGACAAGTATCAAAAAGCAATATTTGCCCGAGGATCTTGTTCTTTGTGAATAGTTTTCACCAATCCGATCCCTTCCTGGAGAAGCCTGAGCAAACAGGTTGGGCTCATTTGTTGCTTTCTTATTCCTCCAGGCTCAGTGCAATAGGGATTCTCCAGGCAGGGCATGATTTTTTTCCCCTTATTTTGAAAAGTGTCTGCATATTTGCCTTTTGAGGGTTGCACAGCTATTAAATTCTCTAGCCAGTAACACTCTCTTTGAATTTTTTGGAGGAAATTTTCCATTATGTGGAGTTAAGACTCATGGAAATTCTCTCCTCTTGATCTTCCACTTCTAGTTTCCACTGAGAGACCAGATTCTCTGTTTAGAAAGGAGTAGTCAGGGCAGGTGTGGTGGCAGGCGCCTGTAGTCCCAGCTACTCAGGAGGCTGAGGCAGGAGAATGGCGTGAACCCGGGAGGCGGAGCTTGCAGTGAGCCAAGACGGTGCCACTGCACTCCAGCCTGGACGACAGAGCCAGATGCTGTCTCAAAAAAAAAAAAAAAAAAAAAAAAAAAAAAAAAAAACCATAAAGGAGTAGGCAGGGGTCAGATGTTAGTCCCTGCTTGTCTTAAGTAAGTTCATGACTCAAGGTTGCAAAATATTTTTTCATCTAATTGATTACAGTGAAGTTTGAAGATCAGGCTGATGTTGCAAAGAAACACTGATTCTGTGTGGTTTGATCTGCTCAGCCTCCACACCTGCCTAGGCTGCTATCTGTTCTCTGAGCCTGGTCTTTTAACCGCACATTGATTTAGGAGCCCTAACATCCTTTCAGAATGTTCCGGTTTTGCTTAGCATAACCAGAGCTGTGTTCTGTTACTTACAACAACAACAAAAACTGTTAACACTGATATTAATGAAATGTACCTTCTATTTTTCTATATAAAAATCATCTATATTCACAAGAACAACTTATAGAAGGTTATTTTTGAATATCTGAAACAAAGATTTTATTTGTGATTTATACAACATTGAGTAAAAGCTGTGTCTACATCTATTCAATCATAGTAGTGATGTACCCTCATTCATTTTTATATATCAAGCTCCTGTCAGATTTCACCTTTGTTTCTTTGTTTAATGTTGTTTTTGCAATAATTTATATACAGTGAAATTCACATATTTAAAGTGCCCAACTTTGTGTGTTTGACAAATGCACACATCTGGTTGACATTCTTAAGTTTTAGGACTCAACCAAACAAAAAGATGAATGCTTTGATAAAAATGCAATAGGCTTAGCATAAAATCAGTTCACAGGATCTGGAGTTAGATATTTCTGAAATGCTGCTCTATTCTTTTGACATGTTCCTTATTCTGTGTTTTAGTTTTACAACTAATTTAACCAGCACTTACATGGTGTTTCTTATAATCCAAACGCTAATCTATTTTATAAGTTTTAACACATTCAACCCTCAAACCGATTCTATGACACTCTGCCTGTAATAGGTATGGATAATAGCATATTTCCCTCATGGTTAGTACAGAAGGAAATTCCACTACGAACCATAAAGCATACTGTACTGGTAGAAACATGTGCTTTGGAGTCAACTGGTTGAGATCACACTGTGATGTCAGAACTTCTGATCTGAGTAGTCTGGGTCATATTTCTTAATAACTCTGGGCTATAGTTTTTTTCTATTACTGATGAAATTAACAAACACAAAAGTGCTATTTTTAGGATTTCACAAAATGGAGTATGTAATATGCGTAGCACTGTGCCCAATGTGTGGTAAACCCTTAATAAATATTAGCTTTCATTTATATTGAGTGAAAGATCCTAGAGCATGCCTCTTATATTTTTATGCCATTAACTTCCATCCTCATTAATCAAAACTTTAACAAATAAAAGTATCTTAAATACTAACTGTCTACATTTTTCTGGTAATTGGCATTTTTCTTTCTACCTAGTCATTTAATCATCACAATCATATATCTAACTCTGAAAATACATACGATTGTATAGCAAGTAGAGTTCCAGGATTAAAAACACATGCAGAAACTTACCTATGAATAAGGGAAGAGCTGTCCTTACAAAGAATATCAATGGCTTTTCTGGTGACAAATACAGGAATAATTTATAATATTTGTATGATGACTTTATTTCCCTAAGGGATTTCACAGATATGCAAAAATGAAGCAATTACTCTGTTAGATTTTTTTTCTCACTGAATAATTTCTCTAGAGAGATGACATTTGGCACAACACAAATTTAAAATGGGAACTCACAACTCTCTGGTCCTTCTCTGCCTTATGTTTCAGTCTCAGCATTTTCCTTCTTACATTAGAAAATCCATACAATAACATTCCTGACTGCCATGGATTCTCACATTGCCTTAGGTTTACCATGTTACTTTCAACTTAATTCAACTTTTCTGATACAGTTTCTCTCCTACCAGTGTCACAAACTTTGTGTCAAAATTCTATTAGCATTTTACATTTCTTAATCTGTGTTATGGACTGGATTGTGCCTCTTCCCTCACTCTCCAAAATTCTTATGCTGAAGTTCCAGCTCCAAGCCCCACAGAGCGTGACTGTTGGAGACACGATATCGAAAGAGAACATTTAAGTAAGATAAGGTCTAGTGGGTGAGCTGTGCCCTAATCCAATATGACTTGCATCCTTATAAGAAGAGATTAGAATACAGATACACACAGAAAAAGAAAGTGTAAAGAGGTCGGGATAAGATGATCATCCACAAGATAGAAAAAGAACTCAGAATGAAACCAGTTTTGCCCACACCTTGATCTTGGACTTCTAGCCTCTAGAACTGTGAGGAAATAAATCTGCATGTTTAAGTCACCAAGTTCATGGTACTTATTTGTGGCAGCCCTAGCAAACTAATACCCTCTGTGTACTGATGGGTAAATAGAATGCTTTGATATTGGAATGAAGCTTTACTTGCTTGAAGTCTAGTACTATTTTTATTCGTTTTTAGTAACCTTTATATTGAAGTCTAATTTACACACAGAAAGTGTGCACAAAATGTAGGCGTACAGCTTCATGAATTTTTACAAAGTGAACATACTTGTATTACTTGCCTCTAAATCCTCAAGTAGAACATTAACAGTACTGCACTATCTCTCTGCTTGCCCTTTCCTAGTCACTAACCTCAAATTAACTACATCTTCACTTTTAACACTGTACATTAATTGTGTCTGCTTTTGAGTTTTCCATAATAGAAATTATACAGTGCATATTCTGTTAGGTCTAGCCTTCCAATGAACACTACATTGGTGCTAAATATTATGTTGGTGATTTTTATTCAAAATGAGGAGTGTCATGAATATGTAAATAATTCCTTCATCTCCACGGCTGTATAGTAAGTACACCAAAATTAATAAATCCTTCCTACTATTGATACACATATAGGATACTTCCAGGTGTGGCTGTTACAAAATTCAATCTTGTGCATATCTCTTCACGAACATATTCATGTATTTCTGCCTGTTAGTACTTTGGGCAGTAGTGTTGGTTTATGGAGTATAAATATGTGCAGCTTAAATTTATGCTGCCTAGTAGTTTTCCATACTGTTTATATCCATTTGCATTCCCACTAGCATTATATGAGAGGGTCAGTTGTTCCACAGTCTCTCCAATGCTTAACAATATCAGTTTTTCTGTCATTCTGCAACATACAGACACAGATATATAGGTACAGATATATAAAGATACAGATATCTTGTAATGTACACTTCCCTAATTATTATTCAGGTTGAGCACAAAGTCATAAGTTACTTGGTTCTTTAAATATGTTTTTATATAGCACCAGTTCATATTTTGCCATTTTTTTCTGCTATCAGTTTGTTTGTTTTTTAACCGGGTGATATTTTAACACCACCAATAGCCTTACTAACTTTGAAAGGTTGTTTTTTCTTTACTCTGGGTTGTGGTTTCTTTTCTGATTTGTGAAGGTGCTGATCAAGCCCATGGAGATTTACCTGTATATGCTGAAAAAAGTGTTGGCCAGATTGAGGTTGCTGGTCAGAGGTGCTTTAAGGATGTCCTGGGCCTGGAAGAGGTGGCTCTGGGCTGGATGCCAGCAGCTGCCTACTGTTTATATCAGATCCCCACACGAGAACTTCAGGAAAAAGTTGATTGAAGAACTGAAGAGACAAGAGGTAGTCCTAAAGGGTACTTCATGAAGCAGAGCATTGGGAACTTCTGTCACACAATTAGACTTATATAAGCAGTGGCCGATAACCAAGACAAACCGAAATTTGAGGTGGGTCAATCCTAAAATATTTTATTTCTGAGGTGGAGAAAAATACCACTTGTAGACAGCACAAAATCCTTTGAAAATAATAAGACCTTTCAGGCAGTTTATGATGCTATTGCATAGCAAGGCCAATGTCAGGCAGATGACAAAGTGAATTTTTGTTTTATTCTGTTTAGCAACATGGATGGCCACCTCTCTGAACTTGATGGATGAATGCCTTTCCCAGTGAACTATGGTGCCAGTTCAGAGGACTCACTGCTGCAGGACTGTAGAGATTAGGCTGCCAAGGTCTGTAGAAAATTTACTGAGGAGGAAGGAGAGAAAGGCAGCCTCTCTGCTGTAACCCTCTCCAAGACAGTCTCATGAGAGGGACTTAGCTGTTTCTTCCTCTTCCTTTCAATGTGAAAATTTATATACCTACCTATCCACTCTAAAATGCTTCAATGCTCTCCCTCTCCCTCTCCTTCCACGGTCTCCCTCTCCCTCTCCCTCCACGGTCTCCCTCTTCCTCTCCCTCTCCCTCTCTCTCCACGGTATCCCTCTGATGCCCAGCCGAGGCTGGACTGTACTGCCGCCATCTCGGCTCACTGCAACCTCCCTGCCTGATTCTCCTGCCTCAGCCTGCCGAGTGCCTGGGATTGCAGGCATGCCCCGCCACACCTGACTGGTTTTTGTATTTTTTGGTGGGTTTCGCCGTGTTGGCCGGGCTGGTCTCCAGCTCCTGACCGCGAGTGATCTGCCCGCCTCAGCCCCCCGAGGTGCCGGGATTGCAGACGGAGTCTCACTCACTCAGTGCTCAATGTTACCCAGGCTGGAGTGCAGTGGCGTCATCTCGGCTTGCTACAACCTCCACCTCCCAGCTGCCTGCCTTGGCCTCCCAAAGTGCCCAGATTGCAGCCTCTGCCCAGCCGCCACCCTGTCTGGGAAGTGAGGAGCGTCTCTGCCTGGCCGCCCATCGTCTGGGATGTGAGGAGCCCCTCTGCTCGGCCACCCAGTCTGGGAAGTGAGGAGCGCCTCTGCTTGGCCGCGACCCCGTCTGGGAACTGAGGAGTGTCTCTGCCCGACCGCCACCCCGTCTGGGAGGTGAGGACCGTCTCTGCCCGGCTGCCCTGCCTGAGAAGTCAGGAGCTCCTCCGCATGGCCGCCGCCACATCTGAGAAGTGAGGAGCCCCTCCGCCCGGCAGCCGCCACGTCTGGGAAGTGAGGAGCCCCTCCGCCTGGCAGCCGCCCCATCCGGGAAGTGAGGCGTGTCTCCACCCAGCAGCCGCCCTGTCCAGGAGGTGGGGGTCAGCCCCTGCCCGGCCAGCTGCCCCGTCCGGGAGGGAGGTGGGGGGCAGCCCCCGCCCGGCCAGCTGCCCCGTCCGGGAGGGAGGTGGGGGGCAGCCCCTACCCGGCCAGCCGCCCCATCCGGGAGGGAGGTGGGGGGCAGCCCCCGCCCAGCAGCCACCCCGCCCGGGAGGTGGGGGGCGCCTCTGCCCGGCCCCCCCGTCTGGGAAGTGAGGAGCCCCTCTGCCCGGCCGCCACCCCGTCTGGGAGGTGTACCCAACAGCTCATTGAGAATGGGCCATGATGACGATGGCAGTTTTGTCAAATAGATAAGGGGGAAATGTGGGGAAAAGAAAGAGAAATCAGATTGTTACTGTGTCTGTGTAGAAAGAAGTAGACATAGGAGACTCCATTTTGTTCTGTACTAAGAAAAATTCTTCTGCCTTGGGATGCTGTTAATCTATAACCTTACCCCCAACCCCGTGCTCTCTGAAACATGTGCTGTGTCCACTCAGGGTTAAATGGATTAAGGGCGGTGCAAGATGTGCTTTGTTAAACAGATGCTTGAAGGCAGCATGCTCGTTAAGAGTCATCACCACTCCCTAATCTCAAGTACCCAGGGACACAAACACTGCGGAAGGCCGCAGGGTCCTCTGCCTAGGAAAACCAGAGACCCTTGTTCACATGTTTATCTGCTGACCTTCCCTCCACTATTGTCCTATGACCCTGCCAAATCCCCCTCTTCGAGAAACACCCAAGAATGATCAATAAATACTAAAAAAATAAATAAATAAATAAAGGTGCTGAGAACATAAAAAAAAATGTAAAATGCTTCAATGCCTATAAAACACAGAGTCTCTCCTTCGGCCTGCAGATATGCTCGGAACTCTACATATTATATATAATTATTGCTTTATATAATCAGTCTTTGCATATATATGTACACATACATATATATACACACATATATATGGTCTTCGAATTTTAATTTTCACACTTATTTCAATGATTAAATATCTTTATTTTATAATTTGCATCAAGTAATCCTAATATCTGTAATAAGTTGAAGGTATTCATTTGTGCTTTTTATTTCTTATTTTCCTGGAAAATGTCTGTCAATTAGAAACTTATCTGCGGGATATCTTTGAAGTCTGAGTAGTTGATAATTCATTCTCTGACTTATGTTTATATTTGCTTATTCCAGTGTCATGAGGTTTCTTCTAACCTGGGCCTCTTTATGTTTTGTTTTTTGTTTGCTTGTTTTTGTTTTTGTTTATGTTTGTTTTGAGACAGAGTCTCCTTCTGTCACCCAGGCTGGAGTGCAGTGGCTCAATCTCCACTCACTGCAAGCTGCGCCTCCCAAGTTCAGGCCATTCTTCTGCCTCAGTCTCCTGAGTAGCTAAGACTACCGGCGCCCGCCACCACGCCCTGCTGATTTTTTGTACTCTTAGTAGAGACGGGGTTTCACCGTGTTAGGCAGATGGTCTCAATCTCCTGACCTCGTGATCCAACCGCCTGGGCCTCCCAAAGTGCTGGGATTTCAGGTGTGAGCCACCACGCCGGGCCTATTTCATGTTTTTTTAGCTTCAGATTTGATAGCCCATCAAAGCAGTGTAAATATAAACGCTGAATTAATATGACCGTTAATCTATTGTCATAAATTCTTAAATAAGACTTTTTAACTCCTCCATGAAACAAAGCCTAAACGGACTAGTTTCATCCTTGTTGTTGCTGTTGTTGACTCTGTCCTACTCTAGAGGTTGCAGCCCTTCAATAATCCGAATTTCCTGAGGGCATCTCTGTTCTAATTTCTCACCTTGCACACACCTCATCATTAGTCTCTCGTCTTCCTTGTATGTGATTATATCTTAAGTTCTAGGTTACCTCTAGGGGAACTATAGGCCTCCACACCCAAAAACACACATCTTCAAGATCATTACAACCACATGTTATACCTTTTGGGTTGATGTGGTTTTAGACATGCATTGAACAGATTATCTGTTAGCCTTGGGTCTCCTTAGACAGACTTTTAGGTAACATTCAATTTAGAATCCTACTGGTCATTTATTTTTCCTCTAAAAAGCCAAGAAATAAACCAGATATGGACTGTGGAAACATAAGTGTGCCTCACTGTGGACCAAAGCATTGGTGTGTTTTAGGCTGGAGATGAGGTTGGTACAGGCAGAGGAAACAGCTGAGATGACAACTGAGTGTGCAAGGGATGAGGCTTACGTTTTAGGTTGGACATGGTAAAGTGGAATGCTGACTTCCTCTGTAAGATAGGCAAAAGTATCTAGTAGAGTTTAGCAGAAGTGCTCTTTTTTAAACCTTATTACAGGCTGGGCACAGTGGCTCACCCATGTAATGCAAACTCTTTTGGAGGCCCAGGCAGATAGATCACTTGCACTCAGCAGTTCAAGACCAGTCTGGGCAACATGATGAAACCCCGTCTCTACAAAAAATACAAAAATTAGTGTGGTATGGTGGTGCACACCTGTAGTCCCAGCTACTGTGGCAGGGGTGAGGGGTGTAAGTGGGAGGATGGTTTGAAACCCTGAGATCAAGGTTGCTGTAAGCTGTGATCATGCCACTGCACTCCAGTCCATCCTGGGTGATGGAGTGAGATGCTGTTTCAAAAAAAAAAAATAGCTTAATATATGTTTAAGAAGCAGTTTAAAACTATATGCCTAACTCCTTCCAAAAAGAAAACCCAGGTCTGGTTTTAAGGGTTTTATTTTCTAAAATACAAATTAGATTTTTTTTTATTTACATTGATTCCTCACTATAGAAATTTTTACTTTGGGGTATGGGCAGTTAAAACTATATTGATATCAAACTATCTGTTAATTGATGTAAATACTCATATTTCTTTTATTCACACTTCATAAAAATTCCCTAACCCTTCAAGGAAAATGTATAATTTTGGATAAATTTGTATTGCACTAAGCTCTATGAAAAAATTATAGGCTAAATAAAATGACAGCATGACAAAAATCAATACTGATGTTTATTTAGGAAACAATTTTCTTTTGAACAGTTCTTTGGATAAAGCCTTTTTCACATCCTTGTTCCTCAGACTGTAGATCATGGGATTAACATGGGGATCACAGTGGTATAAAGTACAGCTACCATTTGTCCTTGCTCCATGGACTCTTCTGATGGAGGTCTGAGACACATGAAGAACAGAGTTGCATAGAAAATAGTAACAGCTGTCAGATGGGAGCCACAGGTAGAAAAAGCTTTTTGCCTGCCCTCTGTAGAGCGAATCCTTAAGATAGCAGGAAAAATGTAAAAGTAGGAAATAAATATGATGAAGAGAGAAAACGAAAGATTCCAGCCAGCCACAACAAACATTGACAACTCCTTGTTGTAGGTGTCAGAACAAGCCAGCTTAATCAGTGGTGGGTCTGCACAGTAGAAGTGATTAATTTCGTTGGGGCCACAGAAGGCTAGGTTGTAGGTCCACATGGTCTCCATCAGGCCAGTGAGCGCTCCATACACATAAGGCACCGTGATGAGGAAGGAACACACACTTTTGGACATTTTGCTGCCATAAAGCAGAGGGTTTCAGATGGCCATGTACTAGTCAAAGGCCATCACAGCCAGGATGTAGATCTCAACGTGTACCAAGATGATATAAAGGTAACACTGAACAAGACAGGCAGGATAGGAAATGCTTTTCTTCTCTGAAAGGAAAATCTCCAGCATCTTTGGGGTCACATTGGAAGAGAAGCACAGATCCAGGAAGGATAAGTGGCTCAGGAAAAAGTACATGGGCGTGTGGAGCCGGGCATTGGCCTGGATGAGGGCAATCATGCTAAGATTCCCTGCCACTGTGACCATGTAAATGGCCAGAAACAGCATGAAGAGGAGAATCTGTAATTCCTGGTGATTCGTCAGTCCCAGGAGAATGAACTCAGTCACCAACGTGAAGTTCCTTCTCATAATTTCCTTCAGTGGGAGAAAGGAACTTTACATATATATTGATTGCAATACAATAGCAACATGATTATTACTATTATTACCAGTAGAGTAATAATCTTCTTACCAAAAGTTTTCCCCTCTTTTCAGCAGTTTTCCTCATTTTATTTCTAATGAACTTTGTTTCAGGTAAACTAAAGTAGGGATATTCAAAGCAGCTCTCTGCCTTTTTTGATACTGCCCTTTATTTTTCTTGTTTTATGTCCCTTTGTCTTTCTTTTCATTCCCTTCTAATTCAGCTTCTGTCTCTATTCTTCTTCTCTTCTTTCTCCTTCTCTTATTCTGCCCCTCTTTATATTTGAGAAATGTACTTTATAGGTGGACTTGCCCCAAAACATAACATTTAAAACTAACCAATTTCTTTATTCCTGATTATAATTCTGGCAGAGAATGAGTTTAGAGAGAGGAAAGAACAAGATATCAAAGAACAATATTGACTGAATGATCTTGTTATTTCTGAATAGATTTCACCAGTTCAATCCCCTCTTGGAGAAGCCTGAGCAAACAAGCGGGGCTCACTTGTTGCTTTCTTCTTCCTCCAGACTCAATGCAATAGAGATTTTCCAGGCAGGGCATGATTTGTTCCCCTTATTTTGAAAAATATCTACATATTTGCGTTTCGAGGGTTGCACAGCTATTAAATTCCAGCCATTAACACTCCACTTGAATTTTTTGGAGGAAATTTTCCAATGTGTCAAGTTGAGAGTCATGGAAATTCTGTCCTCTTGATCTTCCACTTCTAGTTTCCACTGAGAGATGAGATTCTCTGTTTAGAAAGGCTTAAGCAGGGGTCAGATGCTAGCCTCTCCTTGTCTTAAGGGAGTGAGTTAATGACTCAAGTTTGACAAAATTTTTTTTCATCTAATTCATTACAGTGAGGTTTGAAGATCAGGCTGATGTTGCAAAGAAACACTGATTCTGTGTGGTTTGATCTGCTCAGCCTCCACACCTGCCTAGGCTGCTATCTGTTCTCTAAGCCTGGTCTTTTAACCGCACATTGATTTAGGAGCCCTAACATCCTTTCAGAATGTTCCGGTTTTGCTTAGCATAACCAGAGCTGTGTTCTGTTACTTACAACAACAACAAAAACTGTTAACACTGATATTAATGAAATGTACCTTCTATTTTTCTATATAAAAATCATCTATATTCACAAGAACATCTTATAGAAGGTTATTTTTGAATATCTGAAACAAAGATTTTATTTGTGATTTATACAACATCGAGTAAAAGCTGTGTCTACATCTATTCAATCATAGTAGTGATGTACCTTTGAAGGGGTGGCCTGCCCCTCCACACCTGTGGGTATTTCTAGTTGGGTGGGATGAAAGACTGAGAAAAGAAATAAGACACAGAGACAAAGTACAGAGAAACAACAATGGGCCCAGGGGACCGGCACTCAGCATATCAAGGACCTGCACCAGCCTCTGAGTTCCCTCAGTTTTTATTAATTATTATCTTCATTATTTCAGCAAAAAGGAATGTAGTAGGAGGGCAGGGTGATAATAAGAAGGTCAGCAACAAACATGTGAGCAATAGAATCTATGTCATAATTAAGTTCAAGGGAAGGTACTATGACTGGACATGCACATAAGCCAGATTTATGTTTCTCTCCACCCAAACATCTCAGTGGAGTAAAGAATAACAAGGCAGCATTGCTGCAAACGTGTCTCACCTCCCACCATAGGGCAGTTTTTATCTGATCTCAGAATTGAACAAATGTACTATCGGGTTTTATACCGAGACATTCAGTCCCCAGGGGCAGGCAGGAGACAGTGGCCTTCCTCTATCTCAACTGCAAGAGGCTTTCCTCTTTTACTAATCCTCCTCATCACAGACCCTTTACGGGTGTCGGGCTGGGGGATGGTCAGGTCTTTCTCATGCCACAAGGCCATATTTCAGACTATCACATGGGGAGAAACCTTGGACAATACCCCGCTTTCAAGGGCAGAGGTCCCTACGGCTTTCCGCAGTGCAATGTGCCCCTGGTTTCAGACCATATTTCAGACTATCACATGGGGAGAAACCTTGGACAATACTCCGCTTTCAAGGGCAGAGGTCCCTGCGGCTTTCCACAGTGCATTGTGCTCCTGGTTTATCAAGACTAGAGAATGGCGATGACTTTTACCAATGTATACTGCTTGTAAACATTTTGTTAACAAGGCATGTCCTGCACAGCCCTAGATCACTTAAACCTTGATTTCATACAACACATGTTTTTGTGAGCTCCAGGTTGGGTCAAAGTGGTTGGGTCAAAGTGGCTGGGGCAAAGCTACAAATTAACAACATCTCAGCAAAGCAATTGTTTAAAGTACAGGTCTTTTTCAAAATGGAGTCTCTTATGTCTTTCCTTTCTACACAGACACAGTAACAGTCTGATCTCTCTTTCTTTTCCCTACATACCTTCATTCATTTTTATATATCAAGCTCCTGTCAGATTTCACCTTTGTTTCTTTGTTTAATGTTTAATGTTGTTTATGCAATAATTTATATACAGTGAAATTCATATATTTAAAGTGCCCAACTTTGTGTATTTGACAAATGCACACATCCGGTTGACATTCTTAAGTTTTAGGACTAGACCAAACACAAAGATGAATGCCTTGATAAAAATATGATAGCCTTAGCATAAAATCAATTCACAGGATCTGGAGTTAGATATTTCTGAAATGCTGCTCTGTTCTTTTGACATGTTCCTTATTCTGTGTTTTAGTTTTACCACTAATTTAACCAGCACTTACATGGTGTTTCTTATAAGCCAAACACTAATCTATTTTATAAGTTTTAACACATTCAACCCTCAAACCAATTCTATGACATTTTGCCTATAATAGATATGGATAATAACATATTTCCCTCATGGTTAGTACAGAAAGAAATTCCACTACAAACCATAAAGCATACTGTACTGGTAGAAACATACGTTTGGGAGTCGACTGGTTGAGTTCACATTCTGATGTCAGAACTTCTGATCTGAGTAGTCTGGGTCATGTTTCTTAATAATTCTGGGCTATAATTTTTTTCTATTACAGATGAAATTAGCAAATACAAAAGCACTCTTTTTCGGATTTCACAAAATGGGGTATGTGATATGCATAGCACTGTGCCCAATGTGTGGCAAACCCTTAATAAATATTAGCTTTCATTTATATTGAGTGAAAGATCCTAGAGCATGCCTCTTATATTTTTATGCCATTAACTTCCATCCTCATTATTCAAGACTTTAACAAATAAAAGTACCTTAAATGCTAAGTGTCTACATTTTTCTGGTAATTGGCATTTTTCTTTCTACCTAGTCATTTAATCATCACAATCATATATCTAACTCTGAAAATACATATGATTGTACAACAAGTGTTCCAGGATTACAAACACATGCAGAAACTTATTTATGAATAAGGGAAGAGCTATCCTTACAAAGAATATCAAATGGCTTTTCTGGTGACAAATACAGGAATAATTTATAATATTTGTATGATGACTTTATTTCCCTAAGGGATTTCACAGATATGCAAAAATGAAGCAATTACTCTGTCAGATTTTTTTTCTCACTGAATAATTTCTCTAGAGATATGACATTTGGCACAACACAAATTTAAAATGGGAACTCACAACTCTCTGGTCCTTCTCTGCCTTATGTTTCATTCTCAGTATTTTCCTTCTTACATTGGAAAATCCATAAGATAACATTCATGTCTGCCATGGATTCTCACATTGCCTTAGGTTTACCATGTTACTTTCAACTTAATTCAACTTTTCTGATACAGTTTCTCTCGTACTAGTGTCACAAACTTTGTGTCAAACTTCTATTAGCCTTTCACGTTTCTTAATCTGTGTTATGGACTGGATTGTGCCCCTTCCCTCCCTCTCCAAAATTCATATGCTGAAGTTCTAACTCCAAGCACCACAGAGCATGACTGTTGGAGACACAATATCTAAAGAGAACATTTAGTAAAATAAAGCCTAATGGGTGAGCTGTGCCCTAATCCAATATAACTTGCATCCTTATAAGAAGAGATTAGAATACAGATACACACAGAAAAATAAAGTGTAAAGAGGTCGGGATAAGATGATCATCCACAAGCCAGAAAGAGAACTCAGAATGAAACCAATTTTGCCCACACCTTGATCTTGGACTTCTAGCCTCTAGAACTGTGAGGAAATAAATCTGCATGTTTAAGTCACCAAGTTCATGGTACTTATTTGTGGCAGCCCTAGCAAACTAATACCCTCTGTGTACTGATAGGTAAATAGAATGCTTTGATATTGGAATGAAGCTTTGCTTGCTTGAAGACTAGTACTATTTTTATTCGTTTTTAGTAAGCTTTATATTGAAGTCTAATTTACACACAAATAATGAGCACAAAACGTAAGTGTACAGCTTCATGAATTATGATTTTTTTTTTTTTTTTGAGTCAGAGTGTCGCTCTGTTGCCCAGGCTGGAGTGCAGTGGTGGGATCTCGGCTCACTGCAAGCTCCGCCTCCGGGTTCATGCCATTCTCCTGCCTCAGCCTCCCTAGTAGCTGGGACTACGGGTGCCCGCCACCACGCCTGGCTAATTTTTTGTATTTTTAGTAGAGACAGGGTTTCACTGTGCTGGCCAGGATGGTCTCAACCTCCTGACCTCGTGATTCACCTGCCTCGGCCTCCCAAAGTCCTGGGATTACAGGCACGAGCCACCGTGCCCGGCCTGCTTCATGAATTTTTACAAAGTGAACATACTTGTATTACTTGCTTCTAAATTCTCAAATAGAAGATTACCAGTACTCCACCATCTGTCTTCATGCCCTTTCCTAGTCAGTAACCTCAAATTAACTATATCTTTGCTTTTAACACTGTAGATTAATTGTGTCTGGTTTTGAATTTTCTGTAATAGAAATTATACAGTGCATATTTTGTTAGGTCTAGTCTCCAATGAACACTACATTGGTGCTAAATATTATGTTGGTGATTTTTATTCATGATGATGAGTGTGATGAATATGTAAATAATTCCTTCATCTGCACTGCTGTATAATAAGTACACCAAACTTTATATATAGGTTATTTCCAGATGTGGCTATTACAAAATTCAGTCTTGTGCATATCTCTTCATGAACATATTCATGCATGTCTGACTGCTGTAACTATGAGTAGAAGTGCTGGCTTATGGAGTATAAATATGTCCAGCTTAAATTTATGCTGCCTAATAGTTTTCCAAACTGGTTGTATCCATTTGTATTCTCACTAACATTATGTGAGAGATTCAATTGTTCCATAGTCCCACCAGTACTTAGCAATATCATTTTTTTCTTTTTGTCATTTAGCAACATATAGGTACAGATATATAAAAACACAAATATCTTGTAATTGTAATGTGTACTTCCCTAATGATTATTAAAGTTGAGCACAAAGTCATATGTTACTTGGTTCTTTGAATACATTTTTATATAGCACCAGTTCTCATTTTGCTGGTTTTTCTACTATCTGTTTTTTAACAAGGTGACATACATTTGTTTTATTACACTTTAAGTTCTGGGATACATGTGCAGAACCTGCAGGTTTGTTACATAGGTATATATGTGCTATGGTGGTTTGCTGCACCCATCAACCTGTAATCTACATTAAGTATTTCTCCTAGTGCTATCCCTTCCCTAGCCCCCGAACCCCTGACAAGCCCTGGTGTGTGATATTCCCCTTCCTGTGTCCATGTGTTCTCATTGTTCACACCCACTTATAAGTGAGAACAACATGCAGTGTTTTGTTTTCTGTTCCTGTGTTAGTTTGCTGAGAATGATGGTTTCCAGGTTCATCCATTTCCCTGCATAGGACATGAACTCATCCTCTTTTATGTCTGCATAGTGTGCCATGGTGTATATGTGCCATATTTTCTTTATCCAGTCTATGGTTGATGGGCATTTGTGTTGGTTTCAAGTCTTTGCTATTGTGAATAGTGCTGCAATGAACATACATGTGCATGTGTCTTTATAGTAGAATATTTATAATCTTTTGGGTATGTAACCCAGTAATGGGATTGTTGGGTCAAATGGTATTTCCGGTTCTAGATCCTCGAGGAATCACCACACTGTCTTCCACAATGGTTGAACTAATTTATACTCCCACTAACAATGTAAAAGCATTCCTGTTTCTCCACGTCCTCTCCAGCATCTGTTGTTTCCTGACTTTTTCATGATCGCCATTCTAACTGGCGTGAGATGGTATCTCATTGTGTTTTTTTGATGTGCATTTCTCTAATGACCAGTGATGATGAGGTTTTTTTCACATGTTTATTGCCCACATAAATGTCTTCTTCTGTGAAGTGTCTGTTCATATCTTTTGCCCACTTTTTGATGGGGTCGTTTGTTTATTTCCTGTAAATTTGTTTAAGTTCCTTATAGATTCTGGATGGATAGATTGCAAAAATTTTCTCCCATTTTGTAGGTTGCCTGTTCACTCTGATGATAGTTTCCTTTGCTGTGCAGAAGCTCTTTAGTTTAGTGAGATCCCATTTGCCAGTTTTGGCTTCTGTTGCCATTGCTTTTGATGTTTTAGTCATGAAGTCTTTGCCTGTTCCTATGTCCTGAATGGTATTGCCTAGGTTTTCTTCTAGGGTTTTTGTGGCTTTAGGTCTTACGTTTAAGTCTTTTATCCCTCTTGAGTTAATTTTTGTCTAAGGCATAAGGAAGGGGTCCAGCTTCAGTTTTCTGCATATGGCTAGCCAGTTTTCCCAACATCATTTATTAAACAGGGAATCCTTTATCCTATTGCTTGCTTTTGCCAGGTTTGTCAAAGATCAGATGGTTGTAGATGTGTGGCATCATTTCTGAGGCCTCTGTTCTGTTCCATTGGTCTATATATGTGTTTTGGTACCAGTATCATGCTGTTTTTGTTACTGTAGCCTTGTAGTATAGTTTGAAGTCAGGTAGTATGATGCTTCCAGCTTAGTTCTTTTTGCTTAGGATTGTCTTGGCTATATGGGTTCTTTTTCAGTTTCATATGAAATTTACAAGAGATTTTTCTAATTCTGTGAAGAAAGTCAATGGTAGCTTGACAGGGATAGCATTGAATCAATAAATTACTTTGGGCAGTTTGACCATTTTCATGATATTGATTCTTCCTATCCATGAGCATGGAATGTTTTTCCATCTGTTTGTGTCCTCTCTTATTTCCTTGAGTGGTGGTTTGTAGTTCTCCTTGAAGAGGTCCTTCACATCCCTTGTAAGTTGGATTCCTAGGCATTTTATTCTCTTTGTAGCAATTGTGAATGGGAATTCACTCATGATTTGTCTCTCTGTTTGTCTGTTATTGGTGTATAGGAATGCTTGTGATTTTTGCACATTGATTTTGTATCCTAAGACTTTGCTGAAGATGTTCATCAGCTTAAGGAGATTTGGGGCTGAGACAATGGGGTTTTCTAAATATACAGTCATGTCATCTCCAAAACAAGGAAGAAGCCAAATCCCTGGATAGATCAATAACAAGTTCTGAAATTGTGGCAATAATTAATAGCCTACCAATCAAAAAAAACCCAGGACCAGATGGAATCACAGCCGAATTCTACCAGAGGTACAAACAGGAGCTGGTACCATTCCTTCTGAAACTATTCCAAATAACAGAAAAAGAGGGACTCCTCCCTAACTCATTTTATGAGGCCAGCGTCATCCTGATATCAAAACCTGGCAGAGACACAACAAAAAAAGAAAATTTCAGGCCAGTATCCCTGATGAACATCGATGCAAATATCCTCAATAAAATACTGGCAAACCAAATCCAACAGCACATCAAAAAGCTTATCCACCACGATCAAGTTGGCTTTATCGCTGGGATGCAAGGCTAACTTAACATACCCAAGTCAATAAACATAATCCATCACATAAACAGAACGAATGACAAAATCCACATGATTATCTCAATAGATGAAGAAAAAAAGGCGTTCTATGAAATTCAACACCCCTTCATGCTGAAAACTCTCAATAAACTAGGTATTGATGGAATGTATCTCAAAATAATAAGAGCTATTTATGACAAACTCACAGCCAATATCATACTGAATGGGCAAAAGCTGGAAACATTCCCTTTGAAAAGTGACACAAGACAAGGATGCCCTCTCTCACCACTCCTATTAAACACAGTATTGGAAGATCTGGCCAGGGCAATCAGGCAAAAAAAAAATAGGGTATTCAAATAGGAAGACAGGGTGATATCTTAACACCACTACTAACCTTACCAATTTTGAAAAGCTGTTTTCCCTGTACTCTGTGTTGTGGTTTCTCTTGTGATTTGTGAAGGTGCAGCTCAAGCCCATGGAGGTTAACCTGTAGATGCTGAAAAACCTGTTGGCCAGGTTGAGGGTGCTGGTCAGGGGTGCTTTAAGGATGTGCTAGGGCTGGAAAGGGTGGCTCTGGGCTGGATGCCAGCACCTGCCTACTCTTTGTATCAGAGCCTCACACAAGAACTTCAGGAAAAATTGATTGAAGAACTGAAGAGACAAGGAGATAGTCCTAAAGGGTACTTCATGAAGCAGAGTATCGGAAACTTCTGTCACACAATTAGACTTATACATGCAATGGCCAATAACCAAGACAAACTAAAATTTGAGGCAGGTCAATCCTGAAATATTTTATTTCTGACATGGAGAAAAATATCACTTGAAGACAGCACAAAATCCTTTGAAAAGAATAAGGCCTTTCAGGCAGTTTATGAGGCTATCTTATAGCAAGGCCAATGTCAGGCAGATGACAAAGTGAATTTTTGTTTTATTCTGTTTAGCAATGCGGATGGCCACCTCTCTGAACTTGGTGGATGAGTGCCTTTCCTAGTGAACTATGGTGCCAGTTCAGAGGACTCACTGATGCAGGATTGTAGTGATTAGGCTGCCAAGGTCTGCATGAAATTTACTAAGGAAGAAGAAGAGAAAGGCTGACTCTCCAAGACCACTTAAAGCCTCATGAGAGGGACTTAGCTGTTTCTTCCTCTTCCTTTCAATGTGAAAATTTATATACCTGCCTATCCACTCTAAAAATGCTTCAATGCCTATAAAACACAGAGACTCTCCTTCAGCCTGCAGATATGCTTGGAACTCTACATATTATATATAATTATTGGTTTCTATAATCAGTCTTTGCATATATATATGTACACATACATATGTACACACATATATACATGGTCTTAGAGTTTAAATTTTCACATTTATTTTCAATGATTAAATATCTTTATTTTACAATTTGCATCAAGTAATCCTAATATCTGAAATAAATTAAAGATATTCATTTGTGCTTTTTATTTCTTATTTTCCTGGAAAATTTCTGTGAATTAGAACTTTTTCAGTGGGCTATCTTTGAAGTCTCAGTGGTTGATAACCCATTCTCTGACTTATGTTTATGTTTGCTTATTCCAGTGTCATGAAGCTTCTTCTAACCTGGGCCTCTTTATGTTCTTCATTATTTAGCTTGAGATTTGATAGCCCATCAAAGCAGTATAAATATAAATGCTGACTTAACATGAGCATTAATTATTGTCATAAATTCTTAAATAAGACTTTTTAACTCCTCCATGAAACCAAGTCTAAACGGACTAGTTTCATCCTTGTTGTTGCTGTTGTTGACTCTGTCCTACTCTAGAGGTTGTAGCCCTTCAATAATCCGAATTTCATGAGGGCATCTGTGTTCTAATTTCTCACCTTGCACACACCTCATCATTAGTCTCTCGCTTCCTTGTATGTGATTATATCTTAAGTTCTAGGTTACCTCTAGGGGAACTATAGGCCTCCACACCCAAAAACACACATCTTCAAGACTGGAAGACAGTGATCCCATGCAAATCTGTGATGATAGTATCATTACAACCACATGTTACACCTTTTGGGTTGATGTGGTTTTAGACATGCATTGAACAGATTGTCTGTTAGCCTTGGATCTCCTTAGACAGACTTTTAGGTAACATTCAATTTAGAAGTCTACTAGCCATTTATTTTTCCTCTAAAAAGCCAAGAAATAAACCAGGTATGGACTGTGGAAACATAAGTGTGCCTCACTGTGGACCAAAGTGTTGGTGTGTTTTTGGCTGGAGATGAGGTTGGTACAGGCAGAGGCAACAGCTGAGATGACAGCTGAGTGTACAAGGGATGAGGCTCATATTTTAGGTTGAATATGGTAAAGTGGAATGTTGACTTTCTTTGTAAGACACAAAAGTATTTAGTAGAGTTTAGCAGAACTGCTATTTTTCTTAAAGCTTATTATAGGCTGGGCAGAGTGGCTTACACCTGTAATTCCTAAACTTTGGGAAGCCCAGGCAGGTAGATTACTGGAGCTCAGCAATTCAAGACCAGTCTGGGCAGCATGGTGAAATCCCGTCTCTACAAAAAAAAACACAAAAATTAGTCAGGTATCATGGTGTACACCTGTAGTCCCAACTACTATGGCAGAGGTGAGGGGCTGAGGTGGGAGGATGATTTGAGCACCAGAGATCAAGATTGCAGTAAGCTGTGATCACACCGCTGCACTCAGGTCCATCCTGGGTGATGGAGTGAGATGCTGTTTTCTTTTTGTTGTTGCTGTTGTTGTTGTTGTTTTTTTTAAAAAAAGCTTAATATATGTTTAAGAAGCAGTCTAAAACTATATGCCTAACTCCTTGCAAAAAGAAAACCCAGGTCTGGTTTTAAGGATTTTTTTTCTCTAAAGTATAAATTAGATTTTTTAAAATTTACATTGATTCTTCACTATAGAGCTTCTTACTTTGGGGTATGGGCAGGCAAAACTATATTGAATTCAAAATTCCTGTTAATTGATGTAAATACTCATTTTTTCTTGTATTCACACTTCATAAAAATTCCCCAACACTTCTAGGAAAATATATAATTTTGGATATATTTGTATCAGACTATGCTCTATGAAAAATCATAGGGTAAATAAAATGACAACACAACAAAAATCAGTAGTAATGTTTATTTAGAAAACAATTTTCTTTTGAACAGTTCTTTGCATAATGCCTCTTTCACATCTTTGTTCCTCAGACTGTAGATCATGGGATTCAACATGGGGATTACAGTGGTATAAAATACAGCTACCATTTTCCCCTGCTCCATGGACTCTTCTGATGGACGTCTGAGATACATGAAGAAAAGAGCTGAATAGAAAATAGTAACGGCTGTCAGATGGGAGCCACAGGTAGAAAAAGCTTTGTGCCTGCCTTCTGTAGAGCAGATCCTTAGGGTGGCAGGAAATATGTAGAGATAGGAAATGAGGATGATAAGGAGAGGATAAGTGAAGTTGAAACCAGCCACAACAAACATTGACACCTCCTTGTTGTAGGTGTCAGAACAAGCCAGCTTAATCAGTGGTGGGTCCACACAGTAGAAGTGATTAATTTCACTGGGGCCACAGAAGGCTAGGTTGTAGGTCCACATAGTCTCCATCAGGCCAGTGAGTGCTCCATACACATAAAGCACTGTGATGAGGAAAGAGCACACGCTCTTGGACATTCTGCTGCCATAAAGCAGAGGGTTGCAGATGGCCATGTACCGGTCAAAGGCCATCACAGCCAGGATGTAGAGCTCAACGTGGACCAAGGTGATAAAAAGGTAACACTGCACAAGACGGGCAGGATAGGAAATGCTTTTCTTCTCTGAAAGGAAAATCTCCAGCATCCTTGGAGTCACATTGGAAGAGAAGCACAGATCCACAAAGGATAAGTTGCTCAGGAAAAAGTACATGGGCGTGTGGAGCCGGGGCGTTGGCCTGGATGAGGGCAATCATGCCAAGATTTCCTGCCACCGTGACCATGTAAATGGTGAGAAACAGCGTGAAGAGGAAAATCTGTAATTCCCGGTGATTGGCCAGTCCCAGGAGAATGAACTCAGTCACCAATGTACAGTTTCTTCTCATAATTTCCTTCAGTGGGAAATGAGAATGTTGGATTAGTAGATATTTTCTAAAGGGCAAACATTTTTATATTTTCTTGAAACATTGTTTTGCATTGCTCCTCTGCAGTTTTTCTAAATTTGTTTTGTGTCAGGAGACACTAGAGATAGTGATTTAATTGAAACAGGGTCTAATCTTTTCGGTTTATGTCACTTAATTTCTTACTCATATTCATTTCTACTGTGTCTATTTTTTTTTACATTTTGCTTTTTTATCTCACATCTTTATTGCTCAGATTTTGCCACTAGTGCTAATAAACAAATGAATACTCAGCACTTTTGTAAATTAATTGTTTAGATAACTTAGCTATAAGTTATCTAACTTAACTGTAAGTTGAGAACCTGGTACCTGACATTCTTTTTCTGATTACAGTTAATTCTTCCATGCCATGTCAGATAAAATCCCTTAGGTTCCTGTTATAAGGATAGGTAGTAAAAAACTAAAAATACATTTTAGCTCATTCTTTATGTGACAAACAGAATATGCTAATTTAGACTAGCTGCTACTTTTGGGGGAAAATAAAAGATAAATATTTGAGGAGGATACCAATTGAAAATTTTACAGAAAAATTTTCAAAATGTCTACTAACATGCTTCTAGTTAATTTCATAAACTTCAGAGTAGGTAATTTTTTGGAGCGACAGACCTGAATTAGAGCATGGAAATGACTTTGTCCAACATGTCTGTCTATATTTGTGCATACTGAGCATGCATAGCGAAGTGATTAGATGGCTAAGTGATCATCCAGACATCCAGACAACAGACAGATTTGACAGAGCCTGAGCCTGCACTAGAAGCTAGTACCTTTCCCTTAACCAGGTTAAGTATTTGCTCCTCAGAGCCAGAACTGATAATTATGGGACAGCTCTTAAAAATAAATAAGTTAAATAAATTTTAAAAAACAAAGCCAAAGAAAACAAAACAAAAATGACCAGAATTTCCTTTTTTTAAAATTCTAAAATTAGATTTGCTATGGCAAAAGGGTAGCTTCTGGCCAAGAGAATGTAATAAAAGAAAATTAAGCTACTTTTATCCATCCATTGATAAAACAGGTTTGCCCTTCCCTTCTTCTTTTCTGCCTCTCACTGGCTGTAATGTGGATATAGTGCTGAGCCATCCTGAATCATATAGATGAGAGTAACTCTTTATAGAAAGCAGAGAAAGAAGAGTAAATTAGTTGGAGCTCCTAAAACCTTGGCAGAGCTGATATGACATACTAGCTCAGAATTTTACATAAATGAGAAATAAACTTCTAATTTGTTTAACTGTTATTTTGTTTTGTTCTCATAGGAATTTAATCCGTTATCTAACTAATATAAATACTCTTAAGGTTGGTGCTTAATAAGATTATTGTAAACTTGACTGCTATATAAGATGAAAACATATGAAGTGATTGTTATTAGTTAGAATTAAATTAATCTGTGAGAGATTATATTCAAGGACTATGGTATGACTTATAAAATGTAAGGATAATGCTTAGATAATCCTGATGTCAGCAACTTGAGACCTTTCAAAATCATCTTAAAACTCCTATCTATTCCACGCCATTTAGAAATCTGTAATGTTTACAAGTATGCAAACACACAGACACAGATAATATTGCAACTCTGTGGAAGGCAAGTAGAAGATAGATATTTGTTGCAAAAGAGAATAAAAATTAAAATTAAAACATTAAATCTATTATATTTCTCAAATTTTCTACCTGTTGCCTAATCATAGAGGATTTGTCACCGGTTATTTTACAGCACTTAACCCAATTCATGATACCTCCCTGGTTTCTCTTAATTCTACTCCCCTCCTATTTCTCACCTCTCCTTCCTTCTCTTCTAAAATGACCTCAAAAACTGTATTTTTCTCTATATTTTTATTCTAAGTTCTTCACCTTTTGGGGTCTCCTAATCTCAAATTCTACTCTAGCTCCAACTTTGCCTAGTGAACACATTAAGGTGCTTTGACGAACTAAAAGGCTGTTCATGTAATAGGAACTATTATCTTTAGAAGGATGGTGATTTAACCTCTCTCTCTCTTCCCCTGACTATGTATATAAAGTCTCCCTGACTATGTATATTGTATGTATACACATAGACATATATAATACACACATGTGTACATGCATGCATGCATACACATGTAGTTTTTAATTATTTCAGTGTGCATGCATATGTTTTCATGAGGATTGGGTAGTTAGATGCTTTGCAATCTTTTCTTCATCTTTTTTTCTGGAGAACACTGGAACATCATCTTGCACTCTTCTATATATTCATGTCCTAACCTTACATCCCACCTTCCTTAGAAATAGTCTGCCATGTACATTTGTACTTTCCAAAACATTAAAATTATTTTGTGCTAAAATGTTTCCAACATCCTTAGTACTGGTATTCATCTCCCAAAACCAACTCAAAAGTTTTGGAACTTGCCTTATTTGACTTAAAAAATTACAACTATGCTGCATGTTAGCTCTACAATTGTAGACAGCTTACATAACTTTTTTGAGCTTTAGTTTTCTCACTTCAAAATGTTGTTGAAGGAATATCTTTTGAGGATTAAAAGTTATAATCTATGTAAAGATCTGACAACATGTGAGGCACATAAAGCCATTGCAAGAAATTTTACTTTCTTAGTCCCATTTGTTCAGTAGTTAGAACAAATACAAATTCTCAGATTGTGTGCATTGATACCTATATAACCACCCATACTCCTATGAAGTTATTTAACTATTTCTAATCATGCATCATTTCTACTGAATAAGTATTTGGCTTCTAAATATAAATAGCAACACTTTGTCTAGTTCCTAACACACACACACAAATAGACAGCCCTACCTATAAAGAAGCAGGAAAACCAATGGGCCTTCAGAGATAATAAATAAGGAAAGGTTTGCTTGTGTTTATAAAGTTGACTCCTTTTCCCTGTTGCATTAAAAAGAAATCACAAAGAAGCAGTCATTTCTGCCAATTAAATGTTCCCTGAAGACAGCTCAGTGATGTTGAACATGGATTTTAAAATGGCTTAACATCTCTTCTGTGTCCTCTTTTTCACATCTCTTGGTAATGACTTTACTTATTGCTTATCGTGTATCACTGGGCATCGTTCTACCTCACTCCCTCCATTACTTGGCAGAAAGAACTGCACTCAAAAAGGAACACCTTACTCACTCTTTTCACTTGGCCACTAATGCAGCAAAAACATGTTCTACCACACGGTATCATTACGGTGAGCATACATTCATTTGAAAAAAAAAAAAAAGTCATAGGGTATTTTTGCTCCCCTTCTTTTTCTTTGTTTATTTTGTGTTGCTTTGTTTGTAGAAAAGTCCAAGAGTAAATGAATATAATTGAAGAAATCTAGAGTGCAAATGATTAGGATAATTTTTATTATTCTTTATTTTCCTAGGCCATGATGTACCACATACAGATGTTAAAATTTGGGGTAATTAAGTATACTTAAAATAAAAAGTTTTTATAAATTCAATGTACAGAACTTTTTATGTATAATTTTATGTAAATATTAAAAATATGAAATAAATATTATTAGACCCATTATATATTGAAGGAACTGAGCCTTAGAAAGAAAATTCAATTTTCTCAAATTCAAAAAGCTGTTGAGTGAGCTCACTGAGAGAAGAAAGCAGCTTTGACTATGAATCTCCTCTCTCTAGCCACTAACATGCACTAACATGCTTCACTTGCTGTTATTTCATCTAATTTCATGATTAAACATTGATTACAATGAATCAAAATGTCTATGCTTTCCAGGTACACGGAAGCAATATCTGGTAAATTTATTACGACATTTAACTAGAAATAAAACCAAGGAAAGGCAGTTTAGTTCTACTGAGAAACCCTGTTTTCTTTTTTTTTTTTTTTTTTGAGACGAGAAATCCTGTTTTCACAAGCTAGTCCATTAGTTTTAGGCTAGTCACCCTATTTCAGTTTCCACATCGTTAAAATATATGATTGTACTACATACAGTACATCCCAGCTCACTTCCAGTTAAAAACTAAACATATATTTATGTATCTCTCTGGATTCTTTGCCCTAAAAATCCCAGCTTTTCCACAAGATCTTTGAAATGCTTTCAGGGTCATCCTCCCATTGTCTTGATAAATCCAACCTGGATTCCTTCTATTTATGTTCATCTCTGTAGCAAATGATTGTTGGAAGTAAATGTTCGGTGCTACAAAGTGAAACTAGCACTCAGGCAAAAGTTTTCTCACCAAGGCAATTTACTTCTATAGAAGGGTGCATCTCAAGGATGGAGCGATGGCGAGAGCACACCGTACAAGGGAGGGGAAGAGGTGCTTATCCTAAAGCAGCTAGTCCCTACTGCTGTCTTTCCCCTATTGGCTGGGGTTGGACCACACAGTCTAAGCTAATTCTGACTGGCTATTTTAAAGAGAGCAGGGGTATGAGCCAGAGTGGCAGGGTGAGTAGTTTCGGCGGGAAGGACGGTTACAGTGTAGATGACTAGATAACTAAGGACAGAGCAGGTGACTGAGGATGACTAAGGACAGAACAGGTGATAGAGGCTAGGAGGGGGTTGTTTACTGAAACTAGGGGCAAGGAGATGTAAAGAACGAGGAGGTTAAACTTTAAAATGGAGAACAAAGAACAGGGAAGCTAAACATACTGACATATTGATTGGTTCTTTGAAGTGGAACTCAGAACTCTTTGTACTTAACAATTTTTCTCCTTCTTGAAGTTAACAGGCTAAACTTTGAAGAGGAATTTACTGTATCCTACATGAACACTTCCTTAGTATTCTGTCCCAAACATGCTTTTTTATTATTTACATGGCCAGGCTAAGAGTTTTCTAAATCGCTTCATGCTGCTTCCTTTTCATTACAAATTCTATCTTTTTTTTCTTTCTTCTCTCATTTTACTGTAAGCACCCAAAATAAGCTGTGCACCACCTTTAATTTTTTGCTTCGCAGATATTTCTTCTTCCAGATAGTCTAGCTCACCACTCTTAAGTTCTGTATTCCACAGAGCCCTGCTACATGGACACAATTCTGCCAATTTATTTGCCACTGTATAAAAAAGATGGCCTTTACTCTAGTTTCCAGTACATTGTTTCTCAGTTTCACCTGAGATCTTTTCAGAATGGCCTTTGCTACCCCTATTTCTACCAGCACTTTGATGATAGCCACACATGTAGTCTTTAAGAAGTTCCAGACTTTCCCTACATTTCCTGGCCCTCACCATAATCACCCTTAAACCTCCACTCATGGCATTCTAGGCTTTTTCTAGACTGTTCCTGCAAATTCTTTTGGCCTCTACTCATTACTCAGTTCTAAGGCCACTTTCACATGTTCAGCTGATATAGAACAGCCACACTTCTGAGTACCAAATTTCTCTTAGTCTGTTTTATGCTGCTACAACAGAATAACACAGACTAAGTAATTTATAGTAAATAGAAATGTACCTGTTTTATAGTTCTGGTAACCGAGAAGTCAAAATGCATGGTGCTGACATCTATCTAAAGGCCTTCATGCTGTGTCAGCCCATGGAGGAAGGCAGAGGGCAAGAAAAGGGGACAGCAAGTTAGAGAACTTGCAGCCTCAAGCCCATTTATAATTGCTTTTTTAAAAAAAGTAATCCTTTATTTAGCCTTTTTATCAATCCCACAAGGTTGTAACTTTTGTGACCTAATCACATCCCATTAGGCCCTACTTTTTAACACTGTTACGGTGGGGATTAACTTTCCAACACATTATTTTTGAGGATACGTTCAAATCACCACATCATGTAGATCCAATTAAGTCTAAATTTGTTAAAAAAGCATTTCATTCTTGCCTTATCTGATCTAGTTTACTATTCAACTTTATTATTTACTACTTTCCTATCTATTATTTGTGTCATAAGCACAACCAAGCTATTCTTCTTGATCAGTTGGTTCACTCTTTAGGAAAAGTCTTTGCAATTCATCCTCTACCCTTTGAAATTCCTACTCAACTTTCAAAACCCATCTCAGTGGTTACCTTCTCTGGGAGAATTACCCAAAAAGCTTTTTGTCAAGATAATTTTTTTCTTTCTTTGTGCTCACAAAACACTTTAAATAAATTATTTCAACTATTTCTTTTACCCAAGCTCCACAAGTAGGAGGACCAACATGGGGATTCTGCCAGTATGTCTATTCTATTTATGCATTTTAGAACCAGAGAAATAACCACAGGCTGAGTTCAGGGACCCACTGGGCCCACTTTGAGATGGAATTCACTGATAATCTAATCATCATAAGCCCCTACTGACTGAAGGGGCTATAATGATGTTGTGAGCCTGAAATTGTCAGTTCAGAGCCAGTGTCAAGTAGTACTCAAAAGTCTGATTATCTCCTTTTCTCCAATGCAGTTACCCAGATAAAAGGTCCCTCTCTGTGGGACCTAGCAATATATGGAAATCTTCCTTGAGAAGACCTTGTCTCCCCTTCATTTAAGGAGTTCTGGGTCTGTAAACTGCCTCAAGTCTACAAATTGATTGAGGGACTGTAACTATCAGTTATTATAATTCAGAATAGACTTTTGTTCACTTGACCTAAAATGTTTTTGCATATTCAGATCAAGTAAGAATTTAGTGGGCTTTCTATTTACTTATACAACTGGGAACACCATAATTAACTAGCCTGTGCTAGCCAATGTCATAGATACGTGTGGGTCAGACTATTCTATTTGATGCTTTAACCTGCTGTTCATTATGGTAACTATGCCCACCTTGCCTTGGGCCATTGAAAGCCACCACCTGGCCTCTGCCACCCCATGATCTAGTTACTATTACTGCATTTTGATTTTCCAATTGTGTGGTTGCAGTTTCCCCTCACAAGTTTATTTATCAATGTATTGGTGAAAAGCTTGTCTTCTGAACCCTTCCAGTATGGGTGAGTAGGTCTTCAATGGCAAGTCCACTCTTGAATTTTAATTTCTCTAGACCTTTGAATTCCTTCCTCTACATTAAACCAAGGGAAGTTAAACATTTCCAGTTTACTCACAGTGGACCATCTTTTGATTCATGTTTCAGCCAAACAACCAAACTTAGAGCTTTTTCTAACTCCCCAAGTTGCAACATTAAATGGAGAATCTCTGTTTAATGAGCTCATATTGACAAATTAGACCTGATCCAACTATATCTTCATTCTACTCTTTTACCATATGCTTAGTATCCATTCCTACACATGTTCCCTGGATTTCTGTTTGTATAAATTAGAAAACTCATCTACTTTTTTAGTGCACCACCTCATGGTCTTGCTTGGTACCTCTTCTTTCAGGGGCTGTTGGTACTTGGGTTTAGTTATAAGTTTAGAAGCAAAGAAGGGTGGTAAAGGTGGGCCCCAAAAAGAATCTGTATTGTCTTGTATGGAAACTGCCTCAGGGGAAGTCTTTACCATTTATTCTGGCAATATGGAGTTAATTACCCAAGACATAGGTGGAAAAGCTGATACCACTGGGAACGGGGAGGCCAATTCCACTAGGAGTATAGGAGTAGGGAAACCTCTTTCACTGTCAGATAGCACTTATCAGAATTTAGGGGCTCAGTCTTTCCAGCTTCATCAGGATCTTCCCACAAACCCCCAACGCAACATATAGGATCCCTTTCTGCAATTCTCTAATTGAAGCTACAGGAGACAAGGATCTCCTTCCAGACATACATAGAAGCTCTCAGGGTTGGACTGGAAATTAAAATCCCCAAGCTCATCCTTATCTTTCAGCACTTTGTCCAGTGACATTAAGAGTAACCAATCAATATCGTTATAATCCTTAGTTTTCTAAGAAAGTACAAAAGTATATAGAGAGTCACATAGTTCCTTATATCTTATAAGTGTCTGATGAGGATAATCCAATGTGGATACTTTGCATATATGTATAAACAGTTTATGTCATGGACTATCAATGCTTTTTCGACTACTCTAAATAGTCATTAGCATCTTTAAATCTAATGAAATTAAAGAGCCAATTCCAGAAACCTCAGAAACAGATAAGAAAATATATCCTTAAAATTATGTTGCTCTAGAACCACTCTCAATACCAAAATCTGTATTCATCAGGGTTCTCCAGAGAAAGAGAAGCATTCTATATATAGAATGAAGATTTTACATATATATATATATATATATATATATAACATTACATGATTACACACACACACACGCACACACACAATGGAAACTGGCTCATGCAACTATAAAGGCCAAAAAGTCCTGTGATTTGCCGCCTGCAGGCTGGAAAACCAGGAAAGCTGGTGGTTTAATTCAGTCTAAGTTTGAAGACCTGGTAGGGGAACAAATAGTTTAAGTCCTGGTCAGAGTCTGCAGGTCCGAGGTCCAGGAGCACCAACATTGTCCAAGAGCAGGCGAAGATTGATGTCCCAACTCACCCAGAGAAAACAAATCTGCTCTTCTTTTGCCTTTCTATTCTATTCAGGCCCTCAGCAGATTGCATGATGCCAGCCCACATTGGTGAGAACACTCTCCTTTACTCAGTCTTCCAATTCAAATGGTAAAATCTCTTCCAGACACACATTCACAGACACACCCAGAAATAACATTTTACCAAGTATTTGTGCACCCTGTCGCCCAGTCAAGTTGACACATAAAATTAACCATCATGCTACTATTTTCAAACGTTACGTTCTTTCTATTTCTATTTATTTGGTTGTTCAAAAAGAGTCACAAACATATAGGGCAGCTACTGTTTTGTGTTATTGATTCCTTCAAGGAGGTAACATTATCTAGACATATTCATAAGGTGAAATTCAAAAACAGAGAAGTTTTTCTGGCTTACAAAGAGTAGAAAGATTCCAAATTTGTTTGGAAAATATAAAGTTAGAACTCTCATACACTTCCATCACATTATGGAGTAGCAACATGGCGTGTGGTGAAATTTGGTTTTATTTGGTCGGAGTAGCCACAAGGTGGCAGGATATGATGCTATTCCATGTCGTCAGCTCTGGGGATAACACCATGTTAAATAAGTTTACATGAAATGCAAACATAGAGAAGGACAGCCATATAAACGTGGAGCACTTTGGACCCAATATTGTGACTACATGGAAGGCAGATGACCATGTGGATGTGATTGCCACAGATGGCTGCAGGGACAAAACACTGGGTTAACGGGAATGTGACCATGTTATGCTGTTCATATAAATTGGCTATGGAATTGAACTTGCCAAATAAAAAGTTAACCAGAATTTGTAGGATTGAGAGATTGGCAAGGAGACAGTGTGAGGATGTGATGTGCAGATTTAGGGCCAAGTTTTCCAGAAAAAGAAAAATACAAATTAATAGAACCAAGAGAAAGAAGACAAGATGCAACGCCGGGCAACTGGCCAACCTCAGGAAGATAAATTTCTTCTCTCTGGTTTGATTTATTCTGCACATTTCCAGATGAATTCTGTTGAAGGAGACAAAAGCAGACTGATTATACATGAATAAAATATACACATTTAAGTTACCATCAGTGTTTTGTTTTGCAGGAAAATCCCATTACCTTACAAAACTAATATTATAATCTCCATTATTTTTTTTACTTCTTTTTTTCTATCTATCTATCTATCTATCATCTATCTGTCATCTACCCATCAATCATCTATCTATCATTTTTTAGGGATCACATACTACATACCAGGCTGAAAAATAGAAAATAATTGCTCTCAAAACATCATTGTTTCTGACCTCATGTCACTTACAATATTATAGAGAACACAGACATTAATTATATCCAAAGAGTAATAAATGTATTAAAAGAAAACATAGAAGGTTATGAAAGGAACCTAAGTCTAAGATAGGTAAAGTAACTTTCCAGTTAATAATTAAAACAGGTACCTTTTATTGAGTAAATACTATGTATCCAGTACTGTCCTAAGTGTGTTTCATGTGTTAATTAATATCTTCTGTGAAGACAGCATCCTTATGAAAAATCACTATGTCTTCACTTTATAGAAGAGGGCACTGAGGCCGAGAGAGGTTGTATAACTTGCTCAGTAAATCAGATTCCAGAGTTCATGCTCATAACTACTCATTTAGCTAATAAATGATGGAGTTAGGATCTGACTGCAAAAATTTGTCTTATGGAACAAGTTAAATTTATCTATACATTATAAAAAGAATTTTTTATAGTGCATTATATCCTTCAGTGTGCATGCAGCTGTCAAATACATGATCAGCAATACTTCTGGAAGATAGAAAATAATTATATTTTTCATTGTATGATTTTGCCTTCAATGAAGTATAGTGGCAAAAGTATAATAGTAACACAAACAAACAAATAAACTTTAAAGCCAGGCATATTTGAGCTCCCCTTCTAATCTACCTATGTGCTTTTAGGTTAACAACTTGTAAATCTGTTGTCTTTTCTTTAAAGTGGAGATTATAGTACTGAATGCATAGTGTTGATGGGCAGATTAAGTAAAACAACTTACATTAAAATATTACCTGAACTATAATAAAAAGTATTACTCTGTCTTATTTTTGTGTGTATGTGTGAGTGTGAGTGTCTAAATATTTTTCACTTATTCATTGTTCCCAAAAACATCTGTTATATGAGTAAAGACATTAGGCTCATAACATCACTACTCCCTATAACATTTAGTATTTTATACACATGTATAAATTTTCCTGAAAGGAATATCAGAGTGATGATCTTTTGGATAGGTGAGGAGAAAATAATATATCATATTTATTGTTCTTTTCAAAAGTACAGTAAATATTCTTTATTTTTTCTGATTATTTCTTCATTGTATTACCCAATTTGTCCAACAAATAAAGAATTCAGCAGAATTAACTTTGAAAGAAAAGAGACATGAAATTGGAGACTCTTCTTGAAATCTCTTATGACAGACTTTAATAATGGGATTTTAATGTCATCAATAAGAAAGTTATTCTTTACTTTTTAGCTAAAATCCAGGGCCTACTAAAATAACATATTAATACCAAAAATTTTCATCAGCACATATTTATTTTATGTCTAATACAATATGATATGGACTTAGATAGTCTTAACAGGCTGATAGACGTGATTCCAGCGAGCCAGTCAATTCATGAAAGCACTTGGTGTAATTCCTTTCTATCTTGAACTTTTGTGTATATGGGCGTAACTATTGGTTTTGTATTGCTAAAGTCAGTCATAAACATCAATGACATTATGGTTACTTGTATTTCTGAAAAGTAAGTTGGCTTATGACTAATAACATATTCCCTCAGAGTCATCTGCTGGTCTGTTCAAAGACACTTTTCTTATAAATTCTAAAATTGAGGCACTTTGTTTACTTTGAAAGTGGACATTCATTAACTTTTAATAAAATTGTGTATGATGTGTACTCTTTCATGCTGCAGTCATTGAACCTTTCTTCGGTGCCAAGCTAGGCTGTACAGATAGAAGCATGGGCCCTGAGATCAGAAAATTTTATATAATTAAGAAGCTGGTTTCACATAACTAAAAACATATGTGTATTTAAACAGGAATACATCTAGGTATGTGTCTAAGCGGAATTCAACAATTGTTAATTAAATGTAAAAAATTAGTAAAAATAGCTTTTTTATTTATATGTGTGTTTTAACAGAATTTGTGGGCAATCTGACTTTCAAAATCAAGGTATTTAAATAGGAACATGTAGTAGTACAAGGTTTAAAATAATTATATGCAATAATATAAAATGAATGAGTCTGAAAATTTCTGTAGAAATACTAAGCAGAGATTAACTCGAAGGTACAAAGAAAGCTTTGAAATACAACTGAGAAAAAATATCATGTCTTTTTGAGTTGTGACTTGTTATAGTTTTATGGTTTTTTCTTTTTCATTGAAACTAACATCTACATATTTGATCACAAATTGGTTCTTAATTATTTTGCTCAGACCCCACCTGACATTACGTCATACTAGGAGCTATGGGAGGGCTGAGGAAGGTGCATAAAGCATAAACAAGTTCTAGTCTTGGACAATCACAGGGCTAGCTTCAATTTGCCCAGAGATAATTTTTTCTTTCCTCTCTTTCGTTAGCACCTCCATAGTCTTACAGCATTTAACAAATTGTATTGATCTTTCTGTTTACAGTTTCATGACCCCTGTAAAACTATGCCATTGTCGAGCTCCTTGAAAAGTCCTTGGTGTTAGGAGAAGTGTGACTTATTGTAGATACTCAGCACACATTCATCAATTTTGCTTATGTTATCAACTGCAAAGTCACCAGATTTGTCACATCCTTAAAATATCAACTTGTCCTTTGCTTCCTTTAGCACTAAAATACTTACAAACAAGTCGACATATGTCATTCTAAAATTAGGTATATAATAACTAACTGTGACAAAGTACCACTGTGAGTAAAATTTGAATGATGCTACTAATAAAAATATATGATCTATCCTGAAAAATAGATTAAAAAAGCAGAGGTGAGAGAAAGCATGAAGGACTCTAGTCCCCAGAAGTGTAGAATTGAATTGATAAGTTCTGCAGAAGTCACAGTTATTTGCAGCCAGTCATATACCCTTATAGGAGCCATTCTTTGTCTGCTTCCAGAGTTAATATTTGAAAAATAACTGCTGGGCTGGCCTCATGTCCTGTCGTGGCAGAAGGAGAAAGGTGTCTTATTGAAAGTGACTCTCACAAGTGGAGAGACATAAGTGGGTGTCAGGCATGGACACAGAGGTGTTATCGTAAGTTTTCTCTCCTAGAGAAACAGCCTAGAGGGACAGCAAGTCTCACCAGCAGTTGTGACATTCCTCTAAACCATGAGACTGAAGTTTCTTGGTAGTAATTGCTACAGAATTGTAAACCACTAAAAAGCAACCATGACAGTCAACTTGTGTTTTAACAATCGTGTATATATGTGTGTACATATAACCACACATTTGTTTGTAGATACGAAGAAATTAAAAAAAAAAAACTAAAGAAACTGTTAATCGTTGTAACTCTAGGAAGTGAGAATAAAAAATCAGGGTGTGGGAAAGAAAATAAAATATTTTAATCTCTTACTTTTTACCTTTCCATAGAGACCTAATGTTTTATTACAACAATGTATAATTTTTTATAATGTAAAAAATATGTTGTTATAAATGTAATTTACATGTAAATTTACATGTAAATTGTTACACATGTAAATTCATACATGTAAATGTATGCATGTTATGAATAAAAGAATAATTATTCCTCATACATGCATATACACCTCCCTACCCTTCACACACACATATTTCACTCATATGTAACATGTAAAACCATAAATTTTCTCTATCTATGTCTATGTTTTGTTGTTAGATTATAGTTTTTCATTGGGGATCTAAAATTGACTTTACTGTAAAGCTACTAAAGTTAAATACAGTTCTCATAAATAGAAAGATTTTTTTATTTGACTAATAAAGATACACTGATTTTACTTCAAAAGCACGTTTCTTCTGATCAGTTTCCAAAAAGCTTGTTTCACATCCTTGTTCCTCAAACTATAGATGATGGGGTTCAACATAGGGCTTACAAAAGTGTAGAAAACAGCAATGACTTTGGACTGTTCCACTGACCTGTCCGTGGGAGGTCTAACGTACATGCAGAACAGGGTTCCATAAAACACAGTCACTGCCACCAGGTGGGACCCGCAGGTGGAGAACGCTTTGTGCCTACTTTCAGCAGAACGCATCCTCAGGATGGCAATGAGAATGAAGATGTAGGAGATGAGGATTATGATGAGGGAGCTGGAGAGGTTAAATCATGCTACCACAAACATGGATGTTTCCTTAATGAAAGTGTCAGAGCAGGAAAGTCGGATGAGGGGTGGGTCAGCACAGTAGAAGTGATTAATGATATTGGAGCCACAGAAGGTCAAGTGGTATGTCCACATGGTTTCCATCAGTCCACTAAGAAACCCATAGACATATGGACCAGCAATCAGGCGAATACAGAGCCCTTTGGACATCTTGCTGCTGTAAAGCAAAGGGTTACAGATGGCCACATACCTATCATAGGCCATTACAGCTAGCATATAATATTCAGTAATCACCACAGCAATGAAAAAATAGCACTGGACTAAACAAGCAGCATAGGAAATGGCTTTCTTGTCTGAGAAGAAGTTCACCAACATCTTGGGAGTCACATTAGTGGAGTAATACAAATCCAAGCAGGACAAACTAGCAAGAAAGAAATACATGGGGGTGTGGAGGCGTGAATCTATCCTGATCAACACCAACATCCCAAGGTTCCCCCCGACAGTGATCAGGTAGATTAGCAGGAACAGTACAAAGAGGATGGGCTGAAGCTCTGGAAGATCCTTTAATCCCAAGAGAATAAATTCCGTCACCAAAGTAGAATTTCCTCTAACCATTTTCTTAGGTACCAGCATTTTTCACTTAAATGGATGAAAATAAATCAAGGTGAATGAGAAGTCCATTACATGTTACCTTTTTTCTCTTTCTCTTATTTGCTCTCTCTCTTTTTCTTTCTCTCTTGTTCTCCCTCACACAGCCAGTCAGGCAGGACTCAAGAATATAGGGCCTGGTGGTCTTAAAAAAGCAAAGGCCCCAATTAACTGGGTGTATCATATGCAGATGATTCCTAAAAAGAATGGTTTCTGTGTTACCAACGTGTTTTGGAATGAGGGAATAGTGTCCTAAAGTTTGTCGAAAAATGGATTAAGCCACTAACTGCCTTTTTCAGTTGACTATACAATCATGGGCTTCCTTTATAACAACAGTCCCCAACCTTTTTAGCACCAACGACCAGTTTTGTGGAAGACAATTTTTCCATGGATGGGGGTTGGAGGGTGGGGTTGTTGGGGATAATCAAGCATTAGATTCTCGTAAGGAGCACACAACCTAGATAGCTGGCATGCGCATGCAGTTCACAATAGGGTGGGTGCTCCCATGAGAATCTAATGCCAAGACTAATCTGACGGGAGGCGGAGCTCAGGCAGGAATGCTCACTTGCTGGTGGCTTGCCTCCTGCTGTGTGGCCCAGTTGCTAACAGGACATGGACCATACCAGTTCATGGCCTGGGGGTTAGGGGACCCCTGCTTTAGTGTCTCCACCTTTGAGAATTTCACTGGCTATGTGCTGTATTAGAGAGTCCAGAATCATAGGGGTTTGAAGGAAATTCTGGGTTTTTTTTCTTCACTTTTTTTTTCTTACTGCTATACCAACAAAATCAAAAGCAATTCATTTCTTTGTGAATAAACCAAAGATAAGGTTTCTAAATTTGGAATAACAAGGGCCTATATGAATTACTAATGAAGGAATTTTCAGTCGAAGGAGTTTGTAGGAGTAAAGCAAGAGAAGTTGCCAAATGTTATTTCATAGATTTTATCTACTGGTCCATTTATGTTTTAATTTAATCCTGAATGCATTTAAGGGGTTTACAGCATATAACAGAATGTGACAAATTTGTTCTGCTAGTGGAACACAAATTTGTTTCAGGTTTCTAGCAGCATTAGTTCAAACTTCTTTATAATATTATAATGTCCAGAATAATAAAATGAAAAGTAATCAAGAGAGATAGAATTATTCCTAGAGTTCAAACAATACAAATTATAATGAACAGATTATACTTTCAGATAATATTAATTCAGATAATATCAATTGTAATGAAATGAGACAATGGGAAATTATGGTGCTGGGATTCTATACAATAATTTTTTATTATAAATTCCCAATGTTGCCTTGTGTTATTTTATAAGTAAAACACTAAAGGAGATAAGAGATCAAAACTTAAATGTCTATGGGAGCCCTTTAGCTAATAAGAATGAGTGAAGTGGGTTGGGTTTAAGAGTCCACTGAAGTGAAACATAGAGTGGTTCCCAGTGTAGACTCAGAAGTCACTCAGGCCAATAGAATTTTGCTTTATGTTAGCAGGGACCTTGTGTTGTAAGGTCTTAAGAGCTTTACATTTTAAATATCAGAATTCATTGTTTTTATGGGAAATCTACCAAAGATAGTGTTGGCAATTCATTCGATTTTTAAATTTATCTTAATCCAGGGCACAAAACAGAAGTCTGTAGGCTTGAGCTAGTGGGATACAATTCCTTGCAACACCAGTGTCTTCAACTACATACTTCAGTGTCTAACCTCTTCCCGGAAATTGAATTAAGGGTTCACACAAGTTAGCTACTTTGACTCTGTGATGCTTTCAGGATGCTAAATGATTTAACCATTGTAATATGGTTACATTTGTGCACAAACAGCACTGAACACTCCATGCATGCAAGTTGCTTTGCTGGGGAATTGAAGACAACTGATCACAGTGCTTGCCTTGAAAGAGCTGGTTGATTTTCATGGTAAGGAGCATGAAAATTAAAGTTAAATATGATTAGTTCAATAATAAAAATACAAACAAAATAACTAATTGTTTCAGGAATCAGGGTAAGCATCAAAGGACAATAATCTAACTGGGGCTTGAAAAATAACTAGGAATTTCCTAGAGGAATAAGAGTGGGGAGCAGTTTTAGCTAGTATGAACAGTACATGCAGAAAATTGTCTTAGGCAACTTTCAAGAGAAATTAAACATATTTCACATAGATGCAGGGATGACTTTTCTATTGTGGCAAATAAGACATTTAATAAGCGGTAAGTAGTCAAACAAAACTTAAAGTCTCCAACACATACCAAGAAGAGTGAACATGCCTCCTGAAATCTACAAGGAAGCACATCTTTGAATTTGTCTTTGACACGCAGTTTTTGAGTGTGTGTGCCTGTGCGTGTGTATGGCACCCAAGTGATGGTGATGAATTAGAACTGACGTTCCCTGTTACTTGGAAATTGAAATGATTTCTTGTCTTAAATCTACAACTTTGGCCTTTGAGAGGAAAATGCAATAATTAGAAAATAAAGATTTATGTAAAGAGTAAAAGTGCCCTTTCCTCACTCTCCAGAAGGATGCATCATTTTGGAAAATATTCACCTTAGTAAATATAAATCTTATGTTTTAATGGCATAAATATATTTATCTAATCTTTACATTTATGCAATATATCTTGTATATTATCATCTGTTTAATCATCATATTATACTTAACAAATAATAAAATAATGACAAAAATAAAGAAAAAAGGATAAAAAAGATACTATAATTTAATTTTCTATGTCCTGCTCTTTCCTTTAAATATATGCAGCAACCTACCCTCTACAGCTTAAAGAGAAAACTCATATTTGGATAATAGTATCTCCTCCCATTGACATAGGCACTTTAGGTCTACAAAGAAATCACACCGCTTCTGTTTCATTTCACTTTTAGAAAAGCCCTTCAACTGATGTAGAGCAAGTACCATTAGGAGTAAGGAAAAGGGGTTGTAAACATGTTAATCTTGCTATCGTCTGAGTTTTTAGGTTAGAATTTTCAAAACTTTGTTCAGAAGAACCACTGAATATTAAGCAACAAAATAGGCCTATGGGGAAAAAAAAGTTTGGAAATACTGGGTTTAAGTGGGGAAAGGTAAAATAGGTTGCTCTATTGCAGAACATCACAGATCCTTCTATATGGACATGTGTAAAGTAAAGCTCCAGAAAGTGGGCAAAGGCTTTCAGCATGTCCCAACCTTCCTTATTCAAAGACCCAAGAGCACTATCAAATTTTCTCTTTAGGCTAAAATCCCTAATTTCACACTGAGCAGCAGGGAATGCTGTCATCCCTGAACCTCAAAAACTAAACAAAATTCAAGGAAGTAAGACATAATCTCCACAATTTGGGAAACCAGCTTCATTCAGCCGTGCCACTAGTAGAGAACTATCATTGATTATAGGAAAAAAAATGCTTGGGGTAAATACTGAGCACTGAAGAGGCACTCCATAAATGGGGAGAGAATAGAAACAGGAGAAAAAAATGTTAAACTCTGAGGAAAATAAAACAGAATGTGATATCAGAGCTCTGCGTATCAATTGCAGGTGGACGTGAATCCATTCTACTCTCAAACAATCTGTATTGTGAAATCCTAAATACTAGCATTTGTTTATTCATCATATCATATTTAACAAATAATCATGGTTGCTTATTAAGTGTTTATTGGTTGTAAGGCATAAGTCAAACTAATAGACAGACAGATAGATGATAGATAGATGGAGAGATAGATAGACAGATAGATAGATAGATAGATAGATATAGATAGATAGATAAATAGATGTAATCCATGAGACAACGTCCAAATATTTAAAATACTCTCATATAACTTGCAAGCATTTTTTTCCTCTTTTGAATTTTTTACATGTTAACCTGTTCTTTGATCACACATCCTTAGTTTCTTCTCTTCTCACTTTTCTCTTGTTATCCACAGCCCTCTTCCCAAGAACTCTCTAATTTAGTTGCTTGCATGAATCATATTTTAAAGGCTAAAGTACTTGGGAAATGTCTTTCTCAATATTTCAGTAAAGAAAAGCTCTTTGAGATCTGGAATGTTTTTAATTTATAATTTCCTGGGCAGGAGATTATGAACTTAGTCATATTAAAACATTCAAGTTTCACTTCTAGAGGGCCTCAGTGTAACATACAAGCACCTCTATATATATTCATGTATGTGTATATATATGTTGGGGGGGCATATGCTCAACTGAGATTACTAAAAGCATGCATATGACAAATACTATTGGTAAATTTAAAATAATTTTGATAACTCCCATGATATATTCAAATTTTCTGCATCAGAGCTAAAGCCTTTAGTCTACTGAAAATAAATAGCTGAATGATTGTGAAATGTTTAATAACACGTCATCTGAAGATCATTTCTAGTTCTTTATTTAAACTTCTACTGGGTAAAATAATTTGGACCTCAAAATTCTTGTAGTAGAGTTAGTTCATGGTATTTAATCCAGGTGCTGGGAAGTAATATTTTATGGAAAGCCTGGTGAATGTGTAACTTAGCAAAATGTTATTTATTTGCCAATGGTTAAACTGGGTTGCTGAAATGTATCAAAGGTGATGTTTAATGCCTGTAGGAATTGCCTTTGATAACTTATTTAATGTTTACCATGCGCAGTGTGCCCTGTGCTTAGAAAAAGTGCACACTTATTTAATATTTGTGTAAAAAGTAGCAAAATTTATCTTTCATGACTCTTATTTTCTAACTTGTATTCCAATATAGATTGCCAAGTAATTCACATTAAAGCATTAGAAAGAGTGCTGAATCAGTTTTGTAATAGCTATACATACATTGTTCTCTGTGTGAGAAATAACACACAGAAAAATAATTAAGCCTCAATGATGGATTAAACCAGATGTCCTTCTGCAAAGGGGTTTTTCCATGACATTGGTGTTCAGTCTGAAATTTCTGGGTAATTAGGAATCAGTGTAGACATCAGTGAGTTTTTTAAAGTCTATGTTTCTTATTGCAAGAAATATAACCAAAATAAAACTCCAAATGTTTCACTGCTTCAATAATGTTAACTTGCTTCGCACTGTATTGGAATTACTAAAGATAAACTAGATAACAAAGTCAACACATATTTTTCATGTTGGTAAATTTTGATTCACAGGATATCTATATCCATATGTTTATTTTTATTACATGAAGATATTTTTCAAGTAACATTATTTGTCATTTAGTAGCCTGTTTGAATATATTGTTGAACAGAAAACTAGAGGTGTCATTTATGGTAAATTGGTAAACATGGTAAATATTTGGGTGAAATTCGGAGTTCCAAGATTTTCCCATCCTCCCAACTAAAAAAAAAATTACATTGATTCAATAAAAGTGCAAAGTAAATTTCTACAAATGTTACTGATATCTGAGTTACTTGTGGAAATGTTCATTTGGGAATAAGTTTGGCTTCTTCAGGCTCCAGTTAAAATGCAAGGTCAGGCAATGTGGCTCATGCCTTTACTCCTAGCACTTTGGTAGGCTGAGGCTTGAGCCTAAGAGTTCAAGACAAAACTGGGCAACATAGGGAGACTCCATCTCTACAAAAACAAATATTAAAAAAAAAAACCATCTCCAGGTGTGGTGGTGCATGCCTGTGGTCTCAGCTACTGGGGAGGTTGAGGTGAGAGGCTCCCTTGGGCCCAGTATGCCATGATTGCACCACTGCACTTTAGCCTGGGTGACACAGTGAGATCCTGTCTCATAAAATAAAATGAAATAAAATAGAATACAAATATTTGAGATAGCAAAATAAGATAGCACGGAACTGCTTTCATAGTTACTAAACATTCTGTATACATCAGGTCACCATTATGTCATCCTATAAAATGAATTGTGTGGGAGACTAGGAGAAATTGAAGCCAAAGAAAAGACCATAGAAAACAGAGGTAAAGATTACTGAAGCTTATTTTCAGTTATTGAGCCCAGGAACGACCTCAACTGAGCAATAAGACATAGATAAGTCTGCAAGAACTGCTGGGCAAATAATGATATTTTACGATCTTCAATTAAAACAGAGGTAGATAAGTCTAGTAGTTGGTGGAGCCAAGCAACTCCTGTGAATATCAGTTTCTCAGCCAGGAGCACCTTCCTTGTCTACACAGTCACAATGGACTTCAGCACCATCCCTTTCTCTTTGTTTTCCATTCTAGTGTCTCACAAATAAAATAACAGGGCACATTATCTAAGCACAGTGCATGAACCTAAGTTCTAGGGCATGTTATATGTTGTGGCTTTATTCTTGCCTATGATATGTCAATAAAAACTCATTTAAGTCTTCATTTAGAAAGCAGTCTCTTTACCTCGATATGGTGATTTTTTCCTATGAGCTTTAGAATTC